>NC_000003.12:47888787-48191818 GCF_000001405.40 Homo sapiens | reverse complement strand
GTGTATATATGTATATATACATATATATGTATATGTATATATACATATATATGTATATGTATATATACATATATATGTATATGTATGTACACATATATATGTATATTATGTATATATACACATGTATGTATATTATGTATATATACACACATATATGTGTGTGTGTGTATATATATATATATTTTTTTTTAGTAGAGATGAGGTTTCACTATGTTGGCCAGGCTGGTCTCGAACTCCTGGCCTCAAGTGATTCGCCTGCCTCAGCCTCCCAAAGTGCTGGGATTACAGGTGTGAGCCAGACCTAAACAGCATGTTCTCTTTTGTGTCTTCCTTCTTATGTTTGACATTGATGTGAGATTCACTCCTACTGTGGGTAGCGCTTCTGTCCTTTTCATCACTGTATAAAATAACTTTGTTCTATTTACCCATTTTATTGTTGATGGGCATTAGGGTTGCTTTCTGTTTGGAGCTAAAATGATTAACATGGCCATGAATATTTGTGTACATGCATTTTGGCACACTTGAACTGTATTGTAGCTTCTGTGCCAACTTTTCCCTTCCCATGGCCTTCTGTGGCCACCTCCTCGCCTTCCTACATGATTTCCATAGTTGCCTGTGACCTCATTCTGGCCACCTTCAGTGACTCTCCTGGGTGCACCTCTGAACTATGGACTCGGCTACTCCCTTGTGGTTTCTATCTCAGCCCCAGCTTTGCGGTCCTGTCTCACTACATCAAGTCCTCAATGCTGGTGCTCCCCAGATCCAGGGTCCTAAAAACCCTTTGTACATCCTCAATGGGCATTACCATCTTCATGCTAATCAACACCAAATCTGCCTCCTGACTACACCCCCCAGCCAGTCCACCAGCACAAAACTGAGCTCATCAAATTCCTCCAAGAAGTATGCCTCCAATTGTTGAAATGTTACATCCACCCAGGTACTTGAATCATTACCTAAGAATCATTCTAGCCTCCTCCCTTCCCTCTAGCCCCCTACAATCTTAACTCTCAATTATCAAAATCTGATGAGATCTACCTCCTTCAGGGCTCACAGAATCATTCCCTTCCTTTGTCTCCAAGGCCCCCACCTTGCTTCAGAATCTCCCAGACTTTTGAGACAGCCACCTCCTTTTTCCTCAGGCCTCCCCACTCTCCTCCACTGATCCACCCTAAAGCAAATCTGATCCGGTTATCACACACCCTCCACTGTCCACAGGATAAGGCCAAACTCTTCAGCAAACTCCAATCCTTTCAAGAACTGTCCCTCACAGCCAGTCCCATGTGCCCATTCTAGAACCGACTGGATCAACTCAGGAGTAGCTCCCGGCAAGTACGGCGTTCCTCCTCACCTCCTGGCTGCCGAGGGCCGTTTCCTTAGAAAGCACTTCCCACCAGCCCCAAGCTCCCCTTCTCCAGCAACCTTGACCTTTAGTTTTAATCTCCTTTAGGACGTGCCCCCCACCGTACTGCCTTCCCCAGTCCCCGCCCCTCCTCTAGGTGCCCACCATCCCTCCACAAACCACAGCTATTGTCATGGTAATAATTCCATTATTAGAAGGAGCTTTATGCTCAGCGGACCAGAGCTCCCTGAGAGCAGGGATTGTGGTATTATTTCAAGCACTGAATTTGTTCTAGTAATCCTTAAATAAACATATGTTGAATGAATGAATGCAGTAACAGGAATGTTGAGCCAAGTTTTGTTTTTGTTTTTTGAGACGGAGTCTCGCTCTGTTGCCCAGGCTGGAGTGCAGTGGCTCGGTCTTGGCTCACTGCAAGCTCCGCCTCCCGAGTTCAGCCATTCTTCTGCCTCAGCCTCCCGAGTAGCTGGGACTACAGGCGCCCGCCACCACGCCCGGTAATTTTTTGTATTTTTAGTAGAGCCGGGGTTTCACCATGTTAGCCAGGATGGTCTCGATCTCCTGACCCCGTGATCCGCCCGCCTCGGTCTCCCAAAGTGCTGGGATTACAGGCGTGAGCCACCGCTCCCGGCCTGTTGAGCCAAGTATTAAACCACATAAAACACAGGAGGAGAGGAAAGTATTCAGAGATACGACAGGGAGAACTATTTGAAACAGTGGGACCACAGACCATGTGAACTGTGCAGAGAGGCCTAAATAGCCTGGGGTTTCTGGAGGGAAGGGAGGTTCCTGGGTGGTGGAGCACTGGTGCACAGAAAAGGAGATGAATCCTGAGAGAGAGGTTCCTCACTGTGAAGGGTCTGGTGTTGGGGCCAAAGGTTTGGGGTTTCCACCTGTCCAGCATGGCTTTTCAAACTGTAGGGTTTTTTTTTTTTGAGTGGGGGGCAGGGGGTGTCTCACTTTGTTGCCCAGGCTGGTCTCAAATTCGTGGGCTCAGGCAATCCTCCCACCTCGCCCTCCCAAAGTGCTGGGATGATAGGCGTGAGCCACTAAGCCCAGCAGTAGGTTGCAATTAAATCATGCACTTATGGCCCTCAAAATCCGTCTAGGAGCTGCCACAGGTTCGGCGCTGTAAAAGTAAATATGCCCACTTAGAAAATGGGGATAATTCCTATGTCACAGAGTTGTAAAGATTAAATGAATTAATACAGATTAACACACTGGGAACAGTGTCAAGTGCATAAGCATTATGTAAACTTTAGCTATTATTTGCTATTATTGTGTTTGCTGTTATTTCTCTCTAGGAGCTCCCAGGGGGCTAAGAAGTGGTGGGAAAGAAAGAAATGATTCTAAGAGCATCCAATAAGGGCTAGAATGGAAGTGAGCAAAAAATGCTGAGGCCCACAGCACAGGTTGTACTGCGGGGTTCAAATCCCATGAGGCCAGCAGCACCCAGGGTCTGTGAGCCCTCCAGAGTTGGGCCCTGGTGGTCGAGTCCAGTCCTGGGGGTCATTGCATTCCCTCCCTCATTATAAAATGGGGCCTGGAGGCCCGGGGCGGAAGAAAGGGGTCCACAATACTGCACGGTTAGAGGCCGAGCCAAGGCTGGATCCGGCCAGACCTCCACAGGTCTTCCTTAGCCTCCACATTGCCTCAGAGTGTGGGGCGCCCGGCTGGGGGCGAGGTAGCGGAGGCCCAAAGGGGGCCGAAGCTAACTGGACGGCAGCTCGCGATGGGAACTACGCTTCCCAGCATGCGACGGGGCAAAGGGGCCTTTCAGCCGCGAGCAGCGCCTCGCAGGTTCTGCTGGGAGTTTTCATTGACCTCTGCTCCCCCTCTCATTTTGATCCCCGCTCTTCTGCTCTGGGCTCCGCCCCCTTCTGAGAGCCGATGACCTGGCAGAGTCCCGCGAGCCGCTTTCTTCTTCCCCTCTCATTGGCCCAGCCTAGCTGCCATTCGGTTGAGAGGAGGAGAAGTTGCTTACTGATTGGTGGATTCCGTTTGGCGCCAACTAGGAAAGGGGGGCGGGGCAGCAGCTGGCCCCACTGAGCCGCTATTACCGCGAAAGGCCGGCCTGGCTGCGACAGCCTGGGTAAGAGGTGTAGGTCGGCTTGGTTTTCTGCTACCCGGAGCTGGGCAAGCGGGTGGGAGAACAGCGAAGACAGCGTGAGCCTGGGCCGTTGCCTCGAGGCTCTCGCCCGGCTTCTCTTGCCGACCCGCCACGTTTGTTTGGATTTAATCTTCAGGTTGCCGGCGCCCGCCCGCCCGCTGGCCTCGCGGTGTGAGAGGGAAGCACCCGTGCCTGTGGCTGGTGGCTGGCGCCTGGAGGGTCCGCACACCCGCCCGGCCGCGCCGCTTGCCCGCGGCAGCCGCGTCCCTGAACCGCGGAGTCGTGTTTGTGTTTGACCCGCGGGCGCCGGTGGCGCGCGGCCGAGGCCGGTGTCGGCGGGGCGGGGCGGTCGCGGCGGAGGCAGAGGAAGAGGGAGCGGGAGCTCTGCGAGGCCGGGCGCCGCCATGGAACTGGGCCCGGAGCCCCCGCACCGCCGCCGCCTGCTCTTCGCCTGCAGCCCCCCTCCCGCGTCGCAGCCCGTCGTGAAGGCGCTATTTGGCGCTTCAGCCGCCGGGGGACTGTCGCCTGTCACCAACCTGACCGTCACTATGGACCAGCTGCAGGGTCTGGGCAGGTAAGGAGAGACCGGCGGGCGGTGCTCCGGGCCCCTGGCCTCGGTGTCGGCCTCGGAGAGATCAGGCCAGGAAACGGACCGGGAGAAGGGCGAGACCCGTCCGTCCGGGTTCGCCGCTCGGGGACAGCCGGGCTAGGGCCTGCCATGTGCACCCCCGCCCGGGCGGAATGTTGGGCGGGAGAGGCCGTCGGGACCTTCCAGGGGAAGAGGTGGAGATCCTTGGGCCTAAGCCCGAGCCAGGCCCACCTTCACCCCTTTCGGATTGCTCCGTACTCTCCTTCTATCTCTATCCCTGGAAGCTCTTTGGAATCTACCCCCGCGGGGAAAATCAGGCTCTTCTAGGCACTCACTTTCACCCTTTGCTAAACCATCCTCAGGATCTTCGTTTGCTGTGATCTTTGTTCCTTCTCAACAAAGGACCATGGCATTTTCTTTCCTGGCGTTTATGTAAAATCATCTCAGTCCCTCGCCCTGTGCACATTCCTGATGTCCACTCTGCTGCTTTCCTAAGGCCAGGTCTTTTTACCCAACTTTCAGAAAGCTTCCTGGGCTTTTCCTGATAGCAAAAAATGCATCCCACGGTGTTTCCCGCGGAAGAGCTACTTTCCCTTCAATCTCTGGCATCCCGTTTGCTAAGCACATGTCTTGTGCGTTTCCCAACTTCTGAAAAGCAGAAAGTGTCCTGTTCAACTTTCATCCCGACTCTGTCTCAGTACTTAGAACACATGCTTTTATTTTAGGAAATACCCCAACATTTGCCATAGCCATCATAACCTGCAATGTGGTCCAAGGCCATGCCCACCCACTCCTTTTTTCTCCTTTGCCCAAGTGCTAATTGGGTGTTCAGAGTGGCAAAGTGGGATCTTTGCCACTTGTGGTGTGGCCTAGAAATGGTTTCTGGCAGCCTGGCTGCTTCTTAATCTCATGGCCTATCTCCTGCATGTGACCTTTTAATTATATCCTATAAATCATTCATGGTTTATTTCTGTTGGTTTCAGTGATTATGAGCAACCACTGGAGGTGAAGAACAACAGTAATCTGCAGAGAATGGGCTCCTCCGAGTCAACAGATTCAGGTATTTAAGTCTGCTGTGTGGGGAGCAATACTCTGAATTTCCTGAAACATGCCTTTTCACCCAGGAGGTTAGTTTTGGTGAGAACTTGAGGAAGTCATGGCATTGGGTGATAAACTTTTTTTTTTTTTTTTTTGAGACAGAGTTTCGCTCTTGTCGCCCAGGCTGGAGTGCAATGGCATGATCTCAGCTCACTGTAACCTCCACCTCCCGGGTTCAAGTGATTCTCCTGCCTCAGCCTCCCGAGTAGCTGGGATTACAGGCATGCACCACCACACCCGGCTAATTTTGTATTTTTTAGTAGAGACAGGGTTTCTTCATGTTGGTCAGCCTGGTCTCGAATTCACAACCTCAGGTGATCCGCCTTCCTCGGCCTCCCAAAGTGCTGGGATTACAGCGTGAGCCACCGCGCCCGGTGATAAACATTATTGAGAACAATACAAAGGAGCCCTTGTGGCTGTTTATGAAGAAAGGAAATAGGTTTCAAATGTCTATAAGGAGGTGGTGTGTGCTTGCCCTTGAAGGATGGGTAGTAAAGTATAATTCACCATACCACTGTAAGTGGCATTCAGGCAATCTTACTGGTTAAAATACAGGATCAAATGATTGGAAGTACAGTGTCATGAAATCATTTCAGTGATGCTGCTATGGAGGAAATTGCCAGTGCATTTCATTCTTCATGAATTCATATTACTGCAGAGTTTATCTGTATTTGTACAGATAAGACCATTGGTGCAAAGATCCTTTAGGTTAAAGGAACTGCAAGAGCAAGTCTTAAAATGTAATGTAGGCTTCTGTATGTAGAATGTAATTTAATATAGAACTGGGGATAGGATTATCACTTGTAGCAGTGTGGTGAGCAAGGGCTGTAACACCTCACTTTCCATAAGGCTGTATAGACACATGAGCTATGGGTGGGTGGGTCTGCGTCATCTGAGCTGGCATATTAGTAATGCTGAACAGTGTCTCCTTCACCCTGCTGCCTTTTGTGAGATGGACACCTTGGTGTCATTTTGTTAAAGGCAGCAAGTGCTTGCCTTGCATGTCATGACCAGTAGTTGTATTTTTCTTTTTCATTTTGAGACAAGGTCTCAACTCTGTCACCCAGGCAACTCTGCCTCCCAGATTTAGAGAATTCTTCTGCCTCAGCTTCCCTAGTAGCTGGAATTACAGGTGTGGGTCTCAAACTTCTGATCTCAGGTGATCCACCCACTTCGACCTCCCAAAGTGCTGAGATTACAGGGGTGAGCTACTGCACCTGGCCTTTTTTTTTTTTTTTTTTTGAGACAGGGTCTTGCTCTGTTTTCCAGGTCTCAGGCTGGTGTACAGTGGCACAATCAGGGTTCACTGTAGCTTCAACTTTCCGAGCTCAAGCGAACCTCCCACTCCAGCCTCCCCAAGTAGCTGGGACTACAGACACGTGCCACCACACCCAACTAATTTTTTTTTTAACTTTGGTAGAGTCAAGTCTCACTATGTTGCCCCAGGCTTGTTTTGAACTTGTGGCCTCAAGCCATCAGCCTGCCTCAGCCTCCCAAAGTATTGGAATCACAGGTGTGAGCCACTGTGCCTGGTCAGTAGTTGTATTTTTCAAGCCTCATATGATTTGACAAGGTAAAACGTTTAAAAACTATGCCAAGAAAATCTGGTACCTATTGTTTCTATGGTTGGAACTCACAGAAAGTTATCTGGGTCACCTCTATCTGAATAACCAAACAATCATGATATGAATCAGTTTTATTCACCCTCTTCTCAAATCCTATTTCCCTTGATGTTATTTGCAAATAGGAGAAAAAACAGTAAATACGCTATGAAAATATTAAGACTTGTACAAACATGACATTTTTGACAATCTAATAGACGTAACATCAATTCTGGCAAAAGTACAAGCCATGAATATTTGTTGCCTGACTTAAATAAAGACCCAGGTACTTTGTTTAGTGTTTTAATTTTAATGACAAAATGGTGTTTTTTGTATTATTTCTTGAGAGGTTTTTTTTTTCCCCATAGGTTTCTGTCTAGATTCTCCTGGGCCATTGGACAGTAAAGAAAAGTATGTATTCACTGCTTTCAAATGTTTATATGTAGAAAAAACGTGTCTAAACTTAAATACCTTATTTAAATGAAGTTCTTCATACACTGGACTGGAGCCCTGGATTTACCTGTGCCTAGAAACACTCTGGAATCTCAAGAATGAATAGTTTGTGTCAGCAATTTTCAGAACTTTTTCTCCTTTATTTTAGCTATAATTTTGGTGTTCTGTTTGGGTCTTACCCAAACCCTTACTCTGTGCTCTGACATCATAGCCTTACAAGAACATGTGGGGTTTTTTTGTTTGTTTGTTTGTTTGTTTCTGAGGCAGAGTCTCACTCTGCCGCCCAGGCTAGAGTGCAGTGGCTCACTGCAACCTCCACCTCCCAGGTTCAACTGATTCTCCTGCCTCAGCCTCCCGAGTAGCTGGGACTACAGGAGTGCACCACCACACCCGGTTAATTTTTGTATTTTTAGTAGACACGAGGTTTCATCGTGTTGGCCAGGCCAGGAGTTCGAGACTCCTGACCTCGTGATATACCCTCCTCGGCCTCCCATAGTGCCCATAGTGCTGGGATTACATGTGTGAGCCACCGCGCCCAGCCGAATGTGTGTATTTTAAGAAAAGACATGGGTTTGTTTTTTTTCACCTAGAAGTCTAGTGTTGGGGGTGCTCCTGAGAACAGGACAGCTTCAGAAATTTATTCTCCCATCTCTTGCCTAAAATGGGAGTCTGTGACTGTACCCCCAAGCTACAGGCTAAACACTATCTCTCTGCTAATATGAATACCTCTTTACTTGTTTTATTCTCATTATTTACCTTCTGATCTCATTACAGCCTTGAAAATCCTATGAGAAGAATACATTCCCTACCTGTAAGTTAGTTCCTTGTTTATTTTGAGCTAATACCTGTTATCTGTTCCTTAGCTACCAGCATGACCTTGATAGGAGACTTAATTTAGAGAGTAAAAACTGCTTTTCTTTAGTCTCTTTTGAGACAAGGTCTTGCTCTGTCACCCAGGCTGGAGTGCAGTGGCAAAATCTTGGCTCACTGCAACCTCTGCTTCCCTGGCTCAAGTGATCCTCCCACCTCAACTTCCAGAGGAGCTGGGACTATATATAGGTGCACACCATCACACCCGGCTGATTTTTGTATTTTTTGTAGACATGGGGGTCTCACTCTGTTGCCCAGGCTGGTTTCAAACTCCTGCCTCGGCCTCCCAAAGTGCTAGGATTATAGGCAAGAGCCACTATTCCCAGCCTTTCCTTAGTCTCATAAGTACTCAAGATGTTCGGTCTGGAGGAATTTGTCCTCCATCTCTAACAGAGCTTTATTAAACCAGGAAGGGTTCTTTTGATGCAAATGTTATTTGGGGATTGATTTGGCACTGTAATCCCTGTTGAGGGGGGCACTGTAGACCTTGTGAGGTTAGCTGTAAACCCATGGAATGGAAACTTCTATGCTGTGTCCTGGCTGTGTCCTGGCAAGGTGGATTCCTGGCCACATTTACTGGTTACCTACTGCAGTGTGTGAGGAGCTAGTCTACCCCCTATTCAACCCCCCTTTTTTTTCTTTTGAGAACTGAATTTTCCACTGAAATTTTATTTGTGTGCCTTAATTATTTTCCTTTTTTACTTTGATAGCAGAAGCTGTTGGGATGTAGTCCAGCTCTGAAGAGGAGCCATTCTGATTCTCTTGACCATGACATCTTTCAGCTCATCGACCCAGATGAGAACAAGGAAAATGTGAGTGTGACTTCAATGTACTAACCTGAGGCAGAGGTGAAACCCACAGGCTGTCAGTGGCTTAGAAGTGGCTGGGCTGCTTTCTGGGAGACTAAACTTGGCCATTATGTGCGGTCTTTGGAGTCAGAGAATTCTGGGTTTGGATCCTGCTTACTAGCTGTGTGATGTTGGCAAATTCTTCTCTTTTTAATCTTTGCTCTTTTGTAAAATAGGAGTAGTAATACCTTTTAGGGATGTTGTGGCAATAAGTAAGATTATGTATGAAGTATTGAAAATGGTGCCTGACAGGCGGGAGTTGCTCAGATTGTAGCTCACAGGAGTAATTACATGTACAAATAGTGTTTGTCTGGAAGGCTCTGCCCAGGCTGTCCTTGCCTCTTTGCTCTGACCCTGAAATGAATTGTAAGCTTAGGAAAAGGCTCTTTGGCAGTATTTGTAAGAACGGGGTCAACAAGTTCTAGGGAATCTCAGAGTAACTGAAATGGTGGCTTGGAAGGTGAATTTCTGGTTATCTACCCTGAATGAGCCTGGCTTTTTTGTTCTTTTAGACATTGCACAGAGTAGGCATCCAAAACAGTTGTAATTTTTTCAGCCTTCTCTCTACTGTATTTCTATATATTTACTTTCTCCCCTTTTCCATTCCTGCTGAAATGCCACAGTTCATAATCCTTGTCCTTACAATCTTCAGGTTTAGTGTGAAACCCACTGCCTCCATGAACTCTCCTGATGATTTCTTTATCAACCTGGGAAGTGTCATGAGAAAGAATATGGAAATGAGTTCCAGCCTTGAGTGCTTGGAACAGTGTATCAGCCTCTAGTGCTTTTTACCAGGGCAAAGCTGTACTGATGCCTGGTTTTCCCCCGAAATAGCTTCTCAGGGTTGCTTGCCTGGAGCTTTGTTTTAAAGGGAAAACAGCATAGATGGTGGTTAAAGAGCTCTCACTCTGGAGTTGTCCTGTTTTACTTCAATATTTTGGGCACATTCCTTAACCTGCAAGGTCTAGTTTTCTCACCTGTAAAATCGGGACAATCAGGTTGTATTTGATGGTTAAAAAGTTAATGCACAGAAAGTACTTAGTACTGTGTTGGCATAGAAATCACTGTAATATTAGCCATTACTGCTTTTTTTTTTTTTTTGATTCTTCATGGTTTTATTTCTCTCAGAACTTTAAAATGTGAACATTCTATAATTCAGCCAGTCTTTACTTCCAGGTAACTTCTTTATTGGGTCGCAATACCCTTTTAAATAACATGCTCTTGTTCCGGAAGGTAGTTAGCCGTTCATCACTCTTTCTGTCTAAATAACATCCAGTGACAAATCCCATAGGGACAAGAACATGAACCCAGTGGTCCCGCACAATCTGAAGTAAGTTCACCATGATAGCTGCAGCCTCAGTGCCGACCGCGACCCCGAGACCAAGGGCAACGGGGAACTCAGCCACCCACGCCAGTGCTAGCCATTACTGCTTTTAATACTTAATTATGAGTTCTTAAGTGAATATTTTAGGGCAAGGGACCTGTGAGTGTTTTCATTCCATAAAGTGGAATCATACGATATGTATTCTATCATATCTGGCTTTAAAAAACATTATGCTTGTAAGAATCGTCCACGTTGAGTAAACCAGTAGGGCTTTTTTTTTTTTCATTGCTTTTAGTATAGAATAGAATAATTATAAGTAGAAAAAATTATCTCCAGTTGGTAGGAAGAGGTGGAAAATATGAAGCCCTGAAACAGATGGACCTAGATGGAAAATTTTGACAACTATTCACAGGCAATTATATTAGATTTTATTTATTTTTGCTTTAGATTTCAGAAAGTTTGTGATTTAGCTTATTCATCGTGTTTTGTATATTTGGCAGATACTTGTGTTAGGAAATACAGTATGACAAGAAAAAGATGTTACTTTAGAAGTTAGCTGTTGACAGAGCCTTGGAAATTCTTAGTTACGCAGATCTATTGTTGGAATTAGGTGAAACTTTAATTTGGAGGCAGAAAGGTGATCAGTGCCCACTTTCTTGCCTCTTTCACCCAAGCTGAGGCCTGAGTTGGTTTTCATGGACAGTAGATGTCTCAACTATGTCTTGCAGGAAGCCTTTGAGTTTAAGAAGCCAGTAAGACCTGTATCTCGTGGCTGCCTGCACTCTCATGGACTCCAGGAGGGTAAAGATCTCTTCACACAGAGGCAGAACTCTGCCCCAGCTCGGATGGTATGTGCTCTGGCTTTCATAGGGGAATTCCTGACAGGAAGAAAGGATTAAAACACCTTCTTTCATCCAGAATTGAAGGCACTACAGTAGCACTAGCTGTTTTTACCTTGACTTTGTCTTTTGAAATTAGACTGTCAAGCATTCTTGGTGGTTTTGCTGTGTCTGGAGAACAGACAGGCGGTAGTAAGAGTGGGAGATGGTGTTTGAAATATTGGAGTTGTGCAAGGAATAATCGACCTTGTTAATCTGGGAAATCCTGGGTCATCCTAAATGTATGTATGGTGGGATTATATCTCTTCCTATTTTTTTCTTTTTTTCTTTTTTTTTTTTTAAGGGCTTTCTGGCAAAAACCGGAAAGCCTGCGAGACAAATTTTAAAAGAGCCGTAACACTAGATCTCTTACTTAAAACTTGGTCTTTACTATGCATTCTAAGTGCTTCTCAAGGAACTGGAGAGAGAGCACTTGACTTCTTCCAAAGGTGGTTTGTTAAGAACAGTTATGGGCCAGGTGCCATGGCTCATGCCTATAATCTCAGCACTTTGGAAAACTGAGACAGGAGGATCGCTTGAGTCCTGGGCAGCATAGTGAGACCACATCTCTATTTTTTTTATTTTTAATTTTTTTAAAGAACTATTATGGATTACAGTGAATGCTCAGGCTGCTGGGCAGTTTTGGGGTCACTCGTTTCAGGGCTATGTATTTGCCAGACAGGGACTGTCATTACTTCCAAAGTTTCCTGCTGTTGGTCTGAATTGGATTAACTGATAGCATCTATAGATTGGAGAGGCCCAACTTGAGCAAGATGACCACATTTGGCTTCCAGGTTTACCTAGGATCTTAAATCTGAAAATATACCTTTCCAATCTGCTTTGTGTTCTGAGGTTCAGCCAGTATTGTTACTCTGTCTATCATTTGCACAAAGCACTTTTATATGTTCTTGTCTTGTGAAGTGGAGTTAATCCACTTGAACAGATTAGGAAAGTACCACTAGAGAGGTTTGGATGATTTACCAAAGGATATACATAAGTAGGAAACCAGGATTTAATGATCTCTGGCTGGGTGTGGTGGCTCATGGCTGTAATCCCAGCACTTTGGGAGGCCGAGGTGGGAGGATCACATGAGGTCAGGAGTTCAAGACAGCCTGGGTAACATAGTGAGACCCTATCTGTACAAAGTTAAAAAATAAGCTGAGTGTGGTGGCTTGTTCCTATAGTCCCAATTAGTCGGGAGGCTGAAGTGGGAGGATTGCTTGAGCCCAAGAATTCGAGGCTGCAGTGAGCTATGATCAGACCACTGTACTCCAGCCTGGACAATGAATCCCTGTCTCAATAAACAATCTCTAAATTCCCAAGTACACAGTAATGCTTTAAGAGTTGGGTATCAGAAACAATATATTTGGTGTGTGCTTAGCGACTAGAGCCTGTATCACATCTGCACCTAGGAATCCCAGAACATACCTCACAAATGTTGGTGTGATATAGTGTGAGCTTTCGTGATAAAGGTACTGCCCCATAATAAAGTTATCTACCCCTAGGCTAAAAAAATTTGCCATTTCCCAGAGTGTGCACTTGGGGAGGACTAGAGACTGCTCAGAACTTGTTTTATATTGTGAAGCAAAGCTAATGCCAGAACCAGAATAGGCCAGCTGCAGAGAGGATTCCTTGGTGCATGATCCACTCAGAAAATCAGAGGGCCACTTAACTAACAACAGATTCATACCCCAAAGAGATTTGGATTTTAAGGATTACTTGTAGGTCATAACATTGGGACTACCCTGCTACTGTGAAAAAAATAACTCTAAACTTTTTTTTCTGGATTTGAAAGTGCCTAGAAAATAAATAATTCAGTATTAGCAGTGTTTGTATTGGTAGGATTTATCTTCAGGTGTGGATTTATGAGCAGTTTTTCTAAATTTTCTATATTCCATGTTTAGAGGTTTCCCAAAAAAAGTATGACTATAGGTTGGCTAATGAGGTACCGCCATTTTAATTCCAGGAATGGTTTTCTCCTAGGGAGATAGTGTGGTGAGAAGAGTTTGGATTTTGGAGTCAAACAGATGAGGTGTATAATCTTGGTAACCTCTTAAGCACCAGTTTCCTGATTTGCTAAAGAAAAAGGAAAGGATTAGCTACCTTTAGTGTATTGTGAGGCTTCTATTGGATTATATGTATAAAGATTATATCGTAGTATCTGGCACACAGTAATTCCTCGTTTAAAAACTGAGCATTTAAATCCCAAGTCTAAAGAACGAGGATAGATTTTATAGAAGGAAGTTACCCTTTATTCCCCCCTGTCAGAACTGGAGTTATATATAAGTGCATTCTCTAGGCCATTTTATGGTCTTTATAGAGATTTGCATCTGCTTGCCCTAACTCATTTCAGCAGATTCTCATACTGTCACAGTCCTCAATGCTGATCGGTGTTCACTGATGCAACCTTCTAATAAAAGAAACCTTGTTCTTCACAAGAGGCTATCTCTAGTACCCATTATAAGGTGAATTGCTTCTGGCAAGAGTTCTCTGTAAAGGCTACTGACTACTCAGGGCTGTGTGTGGTCATCAAATCATTTATAATCTTGGGATACATTTTCATATAATCAGTAATGGCTAAAATTTTGCTTTGTATAACAAGTATAACATAGTATGTTTTCATCATAAAAACTAGTGACCCATTCAAGGAAATGAAAGTGGATCAGAGCTCTCATTATTAATCCATGAATTTTGTCTTACAGCTTTCCTCAAATGAAAGAGATAGCAGTGAACCAGGGAATTTCATTCCTCTTTTTACACCCCAGTCACCTGTGACAGCCACTTTGTCTGATGAGGATGATGGCTTCGTGGACCTTCTCGATGGAGAGAATCTGAAGGTACCGTGTGTGTGTGTGTGTGTTCCTATTTGTTCTACTAATTAATTACCTCTGGAGAAGGCATGTGATGTGAAAAAGAACAGCAACAGCAGTTCCCCGGGGCTTGCTTAGCTGATATTTTTGTTCATTTGGTGATAATTCATTTAATAATAGGGCTACCAGCCTTATTAAATCCTTTGGATTGGGGGATGGGGGCATCAAAAGAAGACACATGATCCTTCTTACCCTGAAGGAGCTAACTAACAATCTATATGCAAGAAACATGAAATCAGAACGGTATAGGATGGTACATTAAGGATACTTCCTATCCAGGCCTATCTGGTATTGTTCAGGGAGAAACACACCTAAAGCACTTAAACAAATGTTAGTCTCTACAGGCTCTTTTTAAAATCAGTTTTTCTGTTTCTTTAGAATGAGGAGGAGACCCCCTCGTGCATGGCAAGCCTCTGGACAGCTCCTCTCGTCATGAGAACTACAAACCTTGTGAGTTGTTCTAGTGTGTCTGGAGGAAGCCCTGCGTGATTGGGGCACTGGACAGAGTAGTCCTTAGTTGAGTATAGCCAAAGATTGAAATGCATGATAGGATTTGGGGATCTGGGTTTTAGGCCTCACTTTGGCTACCTACAAATTATGACCTTTAGTCATGATATCTCTCTGCATGTCTCCTGATGTATAAGGAGTGTGGGTTAGGAGGGACCATGGTCATTCCTAGCTTTTACCATCTAGTCAGTTTGAAAAAAGCCTATCTGAAGCCTTTAGCCTGAATACTTTACTTTTTTTAGGTTATTCTCATTTATATTCCACAGAACCTAGCATAAAATTAGACAAGCAACAGTAACTCACAGGATTTTTTTTGTTTCTGTGTTTTTTGTTTTTTTTTTTGAGACGGAGTCTCGCTCTTGTTGCCCATTCTAGAGTGCAGTGGCACAATCTTGGCTCACTGCAACCTCTGCCTCCCAGGTTCAAGTGATTCTCCTGCCTCAGCCTCCCGAGTAGCTGGGATTACAGGTGCCTGCCACCACACCCAGCTAATCTTTGTATTTTCAGTAGAGACGGGGTTACATTATGTTGGCCAGGCTAGTCTCGATCTCCTGACCTCAGGTGATCTGCCCACCTCGACCTCCCAAAGTGCTGGGATTACAGGCATGAGCCACTGTGCCTGGCTGGATGTTTTTTGTTGCTGTTTTGTTTGTTTGTTTTGTTTTGTTTTGTTTTTCATTGAAAATACCTACCTGAGGCTGGGTATTTTCAGGTAGATATTTTCGATTTTAAAAATTATATATAATATATATTTTATATATATATATATATATATATATATACTCACACACACACATACACAGTATAGATTTGTGTTTCCATCAGGGATACTTTCAAACAGAAAGCATAGTATATGTAGATACAGAATCTATAGTGTATGTGTGTATATATATTCAAAATCACATATATATACACACACATACACATGCTATAGATTCGTGTTTTCATCATAGGGATACTTTCAAAGTTAGAAGCAAGAATGTGCCTATACAGATATATACACCTGTATGTTCAGAGATATACACCCTTAGGTACACATCTAAATTGATAAGTTCATATTTTTTAATTCTCAATAACCTGAACTATAATTACAGAACAAATGAGCTACAGTTTTTTTGTTTGTTTGTTTTGTTTTGTTTTTGAGACAGAGTCTCCCTCTGTTGCCCAGGCTGGGGTGCAGTGCAGTGGTGTAGTCTTGACTTGCTGCAACCTCTGCCTCCTGGGTTCAAGTGCTTCTTCTGGCTCAGCCTTCTGAGTAGCTGGGACTACAGGCTTACGCCACCACTCCCGGCTAATTTTTTTGGTATTTTTAGTAGAGACGAGGTTTCACTATGTTGGCCAGGCTGGTCTCGAACTCTTGACCTCAGGTGATCCATCCACCTGCCTCCCAAAGTGCTGGGATTACAGGCATGAGCCACCGTGCCCAGCCAAGCTACAGTTTTGAGATCACTTATGGATTATAGTACATTCATGTGCATAGCTTTTGAGAAAATATGTTAACGCAGTACAAATGTTATGAGTAAATTTACCAGGTCATTTTGATAGGCATAAAATTACATAAAATGTGAGAACACTTTGGAAGTGGCTGTTAGTTTTATAGATTTGATTTTAGAGTCATAAGCATGGGCTTGTAAGCTCTTAATAGTGGGGAAATGTCTTCCACAAATGGTTATTACAAACTAACCATTGCTGGGAGCTGTAATGGAAAATAAACTTCACACAAAAGAGGAAGAAAATCCCCGGTCTCTATGGGAGCAGATGTGGGAGTGATCCATTCTACTGGGGACTATCAGGAAGATTTCAAAGAAGTGACATTGAAATGTTAGCATCAACTTGAAAATGAATGGTTTACTGAGATGTGAAAGGACATTCTGTGCAGAAGGAAAAGCCAGGCCAAGACACATGGAGTCGAGAATAGGCTGAGATGCGTTTAGAGAGCTGACTCTTGCTACCACTGGTCAGATTGGCTTCCCTTGGGCTCTGGAAAATTTGTCTTTATTTATTTATTTATTTATTGAGACAGAGTCTTGCTCTGTCACCCAGGCTGGAGTGCAGTGGTGCAAATCTTAGCTCACTGCAACCACCACCTCCTGGTTTCAAGTGATTCTCGTGCCTCAGCCTCCTGGGTAGCTGGGATTAAAGGCACGCACCACCACACCTGGCTAATTTTTTTGTATTTTTAATAGAGATGGGGTTTCTTCATGTTGGCCAGGCTGTTATTGAACTTGTGACCTCAAGTGATCCCACAGTGTTGGGATTACAGGCGTGAGCCACCGCGCCCAGCCTGGGAAATTAGTCTTTAAAAGACCAAGTAGAAAAAAAGACTTTGAACACAATTTTGAAAGGCATTTGCTACTCTGCCCATCCCCACTCCCTCCAAATTTACCATCTTAACTATACCTTAACCAAAGATGCCCCCATTTTTATTATAACCTGGCTACTGTGCATCTTTTCTGGATTTAAGTGGGGTATTTAAACCCGTTGACCTGCTTAATTAAGCAAGGTGCAAGTAATAAAATGGAGGGGAAGATAGGCAAGCCAAAAATGTGTTCCTGACTGGAAGGTCACACTTCTCTTGACGCAGGATTATGTAGACAGTTTTTGTGAGGGCAAAGGACGTTTTGCTCATCTCTATATAATGTCAGCTGAGTATATATTCATTGAGCACTAAGTGCTCAGTGCCTACTATGTGCCAGGCCCTGTGAGAGTTGCTAGGACTAGATGAATCGGCAGTGTCTGTTGGCTAATTTAGAATTGATCTTAGATCATCCCAGGAAACCTTCGGTTTATTTGTCTTACCATTCAAGTGAACAGGTTTTAATGAAAGATGGGTCTGTCTGTTTTTTTTCCTGTAAGGACAACCGATGCAAGCTGTTTGACTCCCCTTCCCTGTGTAGCTCCAGCACTCGGTCAGTGTTGAAGAGACCAGAACGATCTCAAGAGGAGTCTCCACCTGGAAGTACAAAGAGGAGGAAGAGCATGTCTGGGGCCAGCCCCAAAGAGTCAACTAATCCAGAGAAGGCCCATGAGGTTAGTTTCCTAGGTTCCTTTTTGCTCTAGCACAGATACTGTATTTTTCAGTTCTAAAAATTTCTACTTAGTGGTTCATTTATTTTCTTTGCTAAGATTTGCTGGGGTTTTGTGGGGTTGTGTGTGTGTGTGGGTGTGTGTGTGTTTCTTTTAATAGAGATGGGATCTAGCGATGTTGCCCACGCTGGTCCTGAACTCCTAGCCTCAAGTGATCCTCCTGCCTTGGCCTCCCAAAGCACTGGGATTACAAGTGTGAGCCACCACACCTGGCTGATACTTGGCTGTTTTCATGTTGGTTTTTCATTTGCTTTGAGTATGTTCATAATTGCCTGTTGAAGCATTTTTAAGATGGCTGCTTTAAAATCTTTGTAAGACAAATCCAACATCCATCCATAGTGTTGTTGGCATCTGTTGATTGTCTTTTCCTGTTCAAGTTGGGATTTTTCTGGTTCTTGGTATGACCGGTGATTCTTCCATTGTCTCCTGTATATTTGTGAGTCTCCGGTCTATGTAAATTTTACGTTTTAGCAGGCTTCCTCTGATACTGCAAGAAAGGCATGGGTGGAAGTCCGGGTTCCCCAGCACAAACTCCATTGACACCTTGGGTGGGGACTTGTCTCATTATTGCTGGGAGGGAGTGGAAGTTCATTCCATCCCCGTGGGGTGGTGACTGGGGCACTGTATGACAGCTGGGCAAAGGTGGAGGCCCCCGCTTGCTGTTGGCCATAATTGTTTCTGTGTTGACTAGTAGAATGATTATTGTCTAAAAGTCTTCTGCCTCAATAGGCCATCCTTTGCCTAGGGAGAGCAGGCTTTTCTTGGGGCTTGTTGTGTTGCTGTCTCCAGCTTCATGAGTTGAATGGTTAACTCATTCGTTTTTAATTTTCTTATTTCTGGATAAATCTATTTGAATCTATGAATTTCCCACTGCTTTAGATTTGTCTCATAACTTTTGACCTGAAATGTTTTTATTATCATTTGTTGTAGATATTTTATTTCCTTTTAATCCAGACCTATCATGGCCTATTAAATACTTGATTTTTATAAAGGTCTGTCTTTTTTTTTTTTTTTTTTGAGACGCTCTGTCGCCCAGGCTGGAGTGCAGTGGCGCGATCTCAGCTCACTGCAAGCTCTGCCTCCCGGGTTCATGCCATTCTCCTGCTTCAGCCTCCCAGTAGCTGGGACTACAGGACCCCGCCACCACGCCTGGCTAATTTTTTGTATTTTTAGTAGAGACGGGGTTTCACAGTGTTAGCTAGGATGGTCTCCATCTCCTGACCTTGTGATCCGCCCGCCTCAGCCTCCTAAAGTGCTGGAATTACAGGCGTGAGCCACTGCGCCCAGCCCTGTCTGTCTAATTCTTCAAGTTAATTCATTGCATTGCTCATAGTTGTATAGGCTGTTTTGTTGTTTCCTGTTTCTGAGACAGGGTCTCTCTGTCACCCAGGCTGGAGTGCAGTGGCATGATCTCCGCTCACTGCACTCTCCACCTCCCAGGCTCAAGCAGTCCTCCCACCTCAGGCTCTCAAGCAGCTGGGACTATAGGTGTGTGCCACCAAACCCAGCTAATTTTTGTATTTTTTGTAGAGACAGGCTTTCGCCATGTTGCGCAGGCTGGTCTCAAACTCCTGGGCTCAGGGCAATCCTCCCGCCTTGGCCTCCCAAAGTGCCAGGATCATAGGTGTTAGACACAGCACCTGGCATGGGTGAGCTAGTGTCATGGTTGTCTGGGCCTAAGTCCTATGGTCCTTTGTGTTATTTTTTCTATTTATTCTGTGGCTAGACACACAAAACACTGGTTTATTTGTATGTTTTTCCTTCATTATACTGTCCTTATATTGAGGTTTGGTATTAAGCATTATAAAATGGTGAACTACCTGTGTTTTCTGTGGCATGAAAAGGTTTAAGTAAATCTCATCACAGTCTTAAAAGGTTAGAGAGATGACAGCTAGGAAAACATTTAGCATTTAGGCCTACTGCCTTATCGTATCTGCTTTTGTTTTTAATGCTTTATGAATGTTTTTAAAGTATTGTTCTAAAAGAATATTTTAATAATTGCATAGTATTTTTGTTTTGGGAGAGTTGTTTGGTTTTGGTTTTTGTTCTTTTTGTTTGTGGGGGGCACAGGGTCTAGCGCTGTCACTCAGGCTGGAGTGCACTAGCACGATCACAGCTCAGTACAGCCTCCATGGGCTCAAGCACTCCTCCCGCCTCAGCCCCCCTAGCAGCTGGGACTACAGGCATGCACCACCATGCCCAGTTAATTTAAAAAAAATTTTTTTTTATTTTTTGTAGAAAAGAGGTCTTACTGTGTTGCCCAGGCTGGCCTTGAATTCCTGGGCTCAAGCAGTCCTCCCACCTCAGCCTCCAAAGTATCTGGGACTACAGGCACAGGCCAGTGCACCTGGCCGATAGTGTTTTGACTTACAAGTATACTAGAAATAATTGAATAAATCACCTTCTGGACATTTAGAATTTCCCTTCCCCTGATTTTCCTTTTATTTCTAATTAAAAATGAAATTCTGGGTTATAAGGGCAAGAACATTTGTGAAACTTTACATTGTATACATGTCAGAAAATATCTATCAATATTTAATAATATTCTGGCTGAGTGCTGTGGTTCACTCCTGTAATCCCAGCACTTTGGGAGGACAAGGCGGGTGGATCACGAGGTCAGGAGTTCCATACCAGCCTGGCCAATATGGTGAAACCCTGTCTCTACTGAAAATACAAAAAATAGCTGGGTGTGGTGGTATGAGCCTGTAATCCCAGCTGCTCAGGAGGCTGAGGCAGGAGAATCGCTTGAACCCGGGAAATGGAGGTTGCAGTGAGCAGAGATCACGCCACTGCACTCCAGCCTGGGTGATAGAGTGAGATTTCATCTCAAAAAAAAAAAAAAAAGAATATTCATTTTCTTTTTCTTTCTTTTTGAGACACGCTGGAGTGCAGTGGCAGGATCTTGGCTCACGGCAACCTCCGCCTCCCCAGTTCAAGCAAGTCTCTGCCTCAGCCTCCTGAGTAGCTGGGATTACAGGTGCCCACTGCCACGCCTGGCTAATTTTTTTTGTATTTTTAGTAGAGGCGGAGTTTCACCAAGTTGGCCAGGCTGGTCTTGAACTCCTGACCTCAGGTGATATATCCGCCTTGGCCTCCCAAAGTGCTGGGGTTACAGGTGTGAGCCACTGTGCCCGGCCAGAATATTCATTTTCTTTTACCGTAATAGAGATTGACCTTTTTATTTCCATATTTGTAAAACTTTTTTTGGATAAAATAATACTGTTAATAATTATTTTGTATATATATTGGCCCTCATGTTTTGGTTTATTTTCATATATTTTAATTTTTAGTATTTTAAATTCCATTGTGGAGAAAATGTCAAGCATTGCTAGAGTACAGTTATCATACCTGTGATATTGTGAAATATATATTTAGTCTTCTTCCCCTTCTGTCATATAACTCCTAAAATCTTTGGAATATCCAAGGTCATATCTTTTTGTATACTAATGATTGATAGCTTCAGGGTGGGACTGGTCACTGGAAAGACAGAGACATGATTAGAGGTTGGAACTTTCAGCCCCACCCTCCAATATCTACGGAAAGGAGAGGGGCTAAAGGTCAAGTTGATCACTCATGGCCAATGGTTTAATCAATCATTTCTATGTAATGAAGCCTCCCTAAAACCTTGAAAGGACAGGGTTCAGAGAGCTTCTGGATAGCTGAACACATGGAGGTTCCTGGAGGTTGGGGCACCCAAGGAGAGCATGGCAGCTCCATGTCCCTTCTCCCATACCTCACCCTATGCATGTCTTCTTCTATATCCTTTGAATATCCTTCATAATAAACTGGTAAATGTGTTTTCTTGAGTTCTGTGAGCCACTTCTAGCAAATTAAACCCAAAGAAGGGGTCATGGGAACCCCTACTTAAAGCTGGTGGTCGTAGATCAGAAGATCCAGAGGCCCAACTGGTGTCTGAAGGGTGGTGTGGTTTTGAGGACTGGGCCCTCAACTTCCTGATCTGACGCTCTGCAGGTAGATAGTGTCAGAATTGAATTGGACGGCACCCAGCTATTTTCCACTGCAGAACTGCTTGCTTGCTTGCTTGCTTGCTGGTAGGGAGAAATCCCCTCATATCTGGGGGTAACAGCACTTCTGTCTTCTGTTGCTGTTGAGTGAGGGAATAAGAAAAATCACTTTGAGTTTGTGGGGTGTTTTCCTCACACAAACATATCATACAGGGCTAAATTTCTGGGTGTTTTTTTGTTTGTTTTTTTTTTTGAGACCAAGTCTCGCTCTGTCGCCCAGACTGGAGTGCCATGGGTCGATCTCTGCTCACTGCAACCTCCGCCTCTCAGGTTCCAGCAATTCTCCCGCCTCAGCCTCCCAAGTAGCTGGGACTACAGGCGCCCACCACCACGCCTGGCTAATTTTTTATATTTTTAGTAGAGACGGGGTTTCACCATGTTGGCAAGGCTGGTCTCGAACCCCTGACATCAAGTGATCCACTCACCTCGGCCTCCCAAAGTGCTGGGATTACAGGCATGAGCCACCACGCCCGGCAGAGCTAAATTTCTTACTATCAAATGTCAAATATCCAGTCTGGGTTCAGTTTTCCCCAGTTGTCTCCTAAGTACTTTTACAGTTTATTTGTTAAAATCTGGATCCAAATAAAGTCTATACACTGTAGTTGGTCAATAGGTCTCTTACTCTTCAGATTTCAGTGCTCCATCTGTTTCCCTCTTGCATATTTTTATTTGTTGAAGAGCTCAAGTCATTTGTCCTGCAAAGGTTCCCACAGTCCTGTGGGGTCTTCAGACATTGTCTTCTATCCCCTATATTGCCTTAACCTAACTCTGGAAAGGATGGATTGAATTCCAGTTCTATTTGTTTGGCAAGAATATCACATAGGTGATTTTGTCTACTTTGATCAGGAAGTATAATGTGCCAGGCAGCCATTGGTGATTGCTGCCCAGATTTTTTACTTCATTTCACCAGGGTTTCAGAAAGATGATACTGCAGTTTTTACATTCTTTCCTCATTAATTAGCTAGAATATATCTATAAAGAGAAACTTACACTCATCAAACACTGTGGTTACCCTTGGGAAAGGCAGGATGAATATTGGATCTCTTTATTTGCCAGTTTCCAAATAATGCCCTACCAAGCATCTTCCAAAGTTGAAAGCAAGACTTATAGTTGTTTTTCAATAATAATCAGGAATTCATGGGTTAAAACATTTAATGTGTTTCTGTGTATTACAAGTATTATCCTTTTACTCAAATTATCCCCTTTTTAACAGCTGGCTTCCTCTTCTCATTGAATAAAGCTAAGACGTAGGCCGGGCGCGGTGGCTCACACCTGTAATCCCAGCACTTTGGGAGGCCAAGGCAGGCAGATCACCTGAGGCCAGGAGTTCAAGACCATCTGGCCAACATGGTGAAACCCCGTCTCTACTAAAAATACAAAAATTAGCTGGGCGTGGTGGCGCACACCTATAGTCTCAGCTGCTCTGGAGGCTGCGGCAGAATCGCTTGAACCTGGGAGGCAGAGGTTACAGTGAGCCAAGATCACTGTACTCCAGCCTGCACTCCACTCCTGTACTCCACTGCACTCCAGCCTGAGCGACAGAGCGAGACTCTGTCTTTTTAAAAAAAAAAAAAAAAAAAAGTTAAGACATACTTTTTCTAAACTTAATCCTAGTTTTAACCCCCCTTGTTTCTTTCTCTTTTTCTGGAGATAGTTTCAGTCTGTCACCCAGGCTGGAGTGCAGTGGCACCATCACCACTTGCTGTAGCCTCGACCTCCCCAGGCTCAGGTGATCCTCCCACTTCAGCCTCCCAAGTAGCTGGGACTACAGGCACACACCACCATGCCCAGCTTGTGTGTGTGTGTGTGTGTGTGTGTGTGTGTGTGTGTGTGTGTGTGTGGACAGGGTCTTGCTCTTTGATCTGGTCTGGAACTCCTGGGCTCAAGCGATTCACCTGCCTTGCCCAGGCTGGTCTGGAACTCCTGGGCTCAAGTGAGTAACCCACCTTGGCCTCCCAAAGTGCTGGGATTACAGGCATGAGCCAAACCACCTGCACCCCCTTTTTTTTTTTTTTTTTTTAAGGAAGGAAGGAAAACTTAGTTTCAGAGCAATTCGGTTAGACACTGGAATAATAGGAGACCTAGTCAATAACCCACATCTGTTTTTGTTCACTCCAGATTCAATAAAATAAAATAAAAACTTCTTACTAAATGTAGGCATTAACATTTTAGTCTCCTCGAGACATGCTCCAAGTGAATGTTTTCGGAAGTTCCATTCAGAACCCTTGTCTCATTCTCTACCTTTGATTTGTTACAGACTCTTCATCAGTCTTTATCCCTGGCATCTTCCCCCAAAGGAACCATTGAGAACATTTTGGACAATGACCCAAGGGACCTTATAGGAGACTTCTCCAAGGTAATTGCAAGCAGAGCTGCTCTGGCAAGTGTAGGAGGGAGTGTGGGTATTTAGAATCCCACTCAGCCTGTCTCCCTCCCCAGGGTGGTTCCTGGCATACCTCCAAAAGGACACAGTTAAAAGAATGTTAAAGGTAGGGAAGCAAACTTAGTTTCTCATGATCAGGTATATGTTGGTTTCTGAGACTGTAGATATCACTATAGCTGATGGGCAGTTTTAGGTAGGGAGCTGTCCACCAACCACCTTGATTGTAACCCAAAGACTAGGCTCTCTGGGAACTGTGTTATTATAAAAATAGTAATTAGCAGGATAGTGTACAGCAGAAATAAATCTGTAGCCACACTACAAGTCTGCATGTTGAAAGGTTATCTTAGAAGGTCTGGGATTGAGACTGAATTTCTCCGTTCAGAGAAGCTTGGCCATTGAGGGAAAAGACCCTCCAGGAAGTCTAGAGGAAGATCTTCTAATAGCCTGATATACTACATGAAGGCTTGGCTGCAGTAAAATACAAGGCTAGGACAGGGAATGTGTCAATAGCAGCTTCTTTAATCACATTTTGACTTGAAGGTTACCAGATCAATGTTTTATTCATTAATTTAGTTAACATTTATTGAAGCACTTATGTGTTAGGCAGAGATTCCAAAATGAGATACAGTTCCTTCCCTCAAAGAATTTAGCATGTGGTTGGAGAGGTGAGACGTGAACTACATGTACCACATGGTAGACTGAAATAAATTTTAGTGAGGTGTAAACATAAACAGCATGCCGTGAGAAGTAAAAGGGTTTATCTTGGCTAGGGGGTTGGGGAACGTCTGGGGTTGGGCCGTTGATATTTCAGCCCAAATGGGTTTTGAAGGAACGGAGAATGAAGAGAACAAGCAAAGATCCAGCTGTATCCTCAGTTTTGGAACCTTCTCTTGTTTGGCAGGGAGAGATGTGGTCTTACTATGTTGCTCAGGCTGTAGTGCAGTGGCTATTCGCACATGCTATCATAGTACACTGTAGCCTCAAACTTATGGCCTCAAGTGCTCCCCCTGCCTCAGCCTCCCAAGTAGCTGGGACTACAGGCATGCACCACCACACTCAGTGGAATTTTCAACTTGAATTGAGGCCTGGTTATATTTGTCTTAATGGGCCTATGCATGGGGATAGATGAACTCTTGGCTCAGCCAGTCACCCTAATGAGTAATTGCTAATGTGTGCATCTTCCTCCTCAAGGCTGGGCTAGGTCTCTTTTTTTCCTATCCCCAGTGCCTGGCACCATGCTGGACATAGCAGGTGCTCAGTAAATGAGTGAAATCTGTATGTTTAAGTGCTATTCGCAGTCTAACTACTGACGTGTGGATTCTTGACAAAAGCAGGAGGAAAATGAGATTACCTGAGGTTTCTTTATTTAAATCTGCCTTACTAGCTAGGTAACCTTGGATAAGGTGCTCAAAATGGGGATAATATACCTCATTGGTTTGTGTGAAAATTAAATGTCAGGATGTTAATGAAGTAACTAGAAGAGTAACTAGTGTGTACTAACTAATGTTTGTTTGCTTGTTTGTTTGTTTGTTTTTTGAGAGGGAGTCTTGCTCTGTCACCCAGGCTGGAGTGCAGTGGTGCAATCTCAGCTCACTGCAACCTCCGCCTCCTGGATTCAAGCGATTTTCCCACTCCAGCCTTCCGAGTAGCTGGGACTATAGGTGCATGCTAACGCCCGGCTAATTTTTGTATTTTTAAAAGAGTTGGGGTTTCACCATGTTGGCCAGGCTTGTCTCGAACTCCTGACCTCAGGTGATCCACTAGCCTCGGCCTCCCAAAGTGCTGGGATTACAGGTGTGAGCCACCGTGCCTGGCCATTAATGTTTGTTTTTTAAAAGATGCCTCCTACCAGCCAGACAAAACAGTATAAGTGTGAATAATATATAGGCTTTCAGATTCTCTAAGTATCTTTTTTTCTTTTTAAGGGTTATCTCTTTCATACAGTTGCTGGGAAACATCAGGATTTAAAATACATCTCTCCAGAAATTGTAAGTCCATCCTTTTGAAACCCACCACACATCGGGTACTTGAATCTAGTTTTCCCTGACGGTCAAAGTTGATTCTCCCTAATTTTCTCTCAACAGATGGCATCTGTTTTGAATGGCAAGTTTGCCAACCTCATTAAAGAGTTTGTTATCATCGACTGTCGATACCCATATGAATACGAGGGAGGCCACATCAAGGTATGGATTCCTGAGACTTGCTGTAGAAGGAGCCCTAAACAGGATCTGTGGTTTTAAAGTGGGGAGGACAGTGACACCTGGCCACTTAGCTCATATGCTAGTTGTTAGAATTTTGAAACAATACAGTGAGTGTGGAAGGCATTTGATTCCGGGTGCTCTTAACGAATGTTCCCTTGTCTGCAATACTCTCTACCACCTTGTGCACAGTTATTCTTCATGTTTGTCCCTCACACCATCATTATCAAGGACACTTGTAGGAGGTACCCACTGATGTTTAAGTCATTCGGGGGACAAGAATGGGTTTCATAGCATTTAAGAGGCTTGGGTACCAATGTCTGAGCACCCCAGGGCTCCTGATGAGGAGAAGACCATCTCTGGCAACATGTCCTGGTGTCTGTGCCAGGCCTAGTGATGCCTCCAAAGTTGATTGTTCAGCAAGCTGCCTGGTGGAGGGGCGTGTTGGGACACACGTTCCCAAGAAGAAAGGAACTGATTTTGCCATTTTAATCTTTTTTTTTTTTTTTTTTTGAGACAGAGTCCGCTCTGTCGCCAGGCTGGAGTGCAGTGGCATGATCTCGGATCACCACAACCTCTGCCTCCTGGGTTCAAGCAATTCTCCTGCCTCAGCCTTCCAAGTAGCTGGGACTACAGGTGCACGCTGCCACGCCCGGCTAATTTTTTTTTTTTTTTAGTAGAGACGGGGTTTCACCATGTTGCCCGGGCTGGTCTCAAACTCCTGAGCTCAGGCAAACCGCCCGCCTCAGCCTCCCAAAGTGCTAGGATTACAGGCATGAGCCACGGCGCCTGGCCTGCCATTTTAATGTTTTACCCGATTAATAGTGTTTAAATATAGTAAGGAGGTACTTTAAATACGATGTTACTGTTTGCCATTGTCTTGTGGCTTTTGAAAATCCCCAAATTTATAAAACTACCTATAAAGTGTACCATTGTCATATTTGAATTGCCCATTTCCAGTCCCCATGTGCATTACTGTATGATGAACGTGTACGGACCCACAAAGCTCCATTGAGATACAGGTGCCAAATGGTCTACTGGGCTATTCAGCTAGAAGAACTGCAAAAATCACAAACTGGTCTTGTGGACTTAAAGATCACTCTTGATGAATCATTACATCTTGCTGAATCATTACTTCATGTGTGAAACGTGCAGGTTCCAAGGGTCTCTGTTGTCTTCACAGGGTGCAGTGAACTTGCACATGGAAGAAGAGGTTGAAGACTTCTTATTGAAGAAGCCCATTGTACCTACTGATGGCAAGCGTGTCATTGTTGTGTTTCACTGCGAGTTTTCTTCTGAGAGAGGTCCCCGCATGTGAGTGCTGCACGGAACTGGGTTCTGGGGCACAGGCTCCATGATGCTTTTGTGGGACATGGTGGTTTGTGGCTTGCACTTGGAGCATATTTTAGCATATCAAGCAACCTCTGGCACATAACAAGCCATTTTCATATGTAATTTTATCCTGAGGTGAACTTTGGCTCTTCCAGTCTCCCCGACTGTCCTTAGTCTGATCTGTGGGGCTACTGTTCTCATGTGACCTCCTTCAAGTACAAAGTGACCGTTCCTTATGCAAATGCCAGAAAAGTGTGAAGTTCTCATTCTGTAAAACCTCATATGATATGATGCTTTGAAACACTTGATATTATTACCAATTTCAGGGTGAAAAGAAAAAAGGGGGCCAAAGAGCTGCCCATCAGTCATCTGTGTCCATTCTAAAAGGATTGCAAGCCTGCTGTTTGTCAGGCACTGACAATAAAAATGTAACTACAGTAAAACACAGTACAGTAAAAATACCACAGCGAGCAGGACCAACAAGGACCCTACTGCAGCAGAGATCCAAGTGGGGATCCGTATAAATGCTAGGAGGACAGGCAGAGAGGTAGGACAGAGAGTGCAGCTTAACTAGGATGGTCCAAGGGAGACTTCTGCAGGACCACGTTCTTATGCCACCTTTTTATTTTGAACCAATTTATTTTAAAAAACATTTTTAAATTAAAAAATTTCAATTTTTTTTTTTTGACGGAGTTTTGCTCTTGTTGCCCAGGCTGGAGTGCAGTGGCACAATCTCTTCTCACTGCAACCTCTGCCTCCCAGGTTCAAGCAGTTCTCCTGCCTCAGCCTCCCAAGTAGCTGGGATTACAGGCATGCGCCATCACGCCCGGCTAATTTTGTATTTTTAGTAGAGGCAGGGTTTCTACATGTTGGTCAGGCTGGTCTTGAACTCCCGACCTTAGGTGATCCGCCTGCCTCAGCCTCCCAAAGTAGTGGGATTACAGGCGTGAGCCACTGCACCTGGCTTTTTCTTTCTTTCTTTCTTTCTTTTTTTTTTTTTTTTTTGAGGCGGAGGCACACTGTTTTCACCCAGACTGGAATGCAGTGGCATGATCTCGGCTCACTGCAACCTCCACCTCCTGGGTTCAAGCGATTCTCCTGCCTCAGCCTCCTGAGTAGCTGGGATAACAGGCGTGCACCACCACACCCGGCTAATTTTTGTATTTGTAGTAGAGATGGGGGTTTCACCATGTTGGCCGGGCTGGTCTTGAACTCCTGACCTCAGGTGATCCACCCGCCTTGACCTCCCAAAGTGCTGGGATTACAGGTGTGAGCCACCACGCCCAGCAGAAATTTCAAATTTTGAGATGGGGTCTTAATATATTGGCCAGGTTGGTCTCAAACTCCTGGCCTCAAGCAATCCTCTCTCCTTGGCCTCCAAAGTGCTAGGATTGCAGGCATGAGCCACTGTGCCCACCCCTTTGAACCTTTTTTTTTTTTTGAGACGGAGTCTCGCTCTGTCACCCAGGCTGGAGTGCAGTGGCACAATCTCGACTTACTGCAAGCTCCGCCTCCTGGGTTCATGCCATTCTCCTGCCTCAGCCTCCCGAGTAGCTGGGACTACAGGTGCCCACCATCACGCCTGGCTAATTTTTTTGTATTTTTAGTAGAGACAGGGTTTCACCATTTTAGCCAGGATGGTCTCCATCTCCTGACCTTGCGATCTGCCCGTCTCGGCCTCCCAAAGTGCTTGGATTACAGGCGTGAGCCACTGCGCCTGACCTGAACCATTTTAAAGCTCAAGAAGAGGTGAGGTTATGGCTGGGCACAGTGGCACCTGTAATCCCAACACTTTGGGAGGCCGAGGCAGGAGGATCACTTGCTCGGGAGTTTCAGACCAGACCAACCTGGGTAACACAGTGGGACCACACCTCTACAAAAAATAGGAGGTGGGAGGATCGTTTGAGCCCAGCAGGTCGAGGCTGTGGTGAGCCATGATCATGCCACTGTACTCCAGCCTAGGTGACAGAGTGAGATTCTGTCTCTCTCTCACACACACACACACACACACACACACACACAAAGGTTATACTTGCACACACTTCACCTGATTTTATTAATTTTTAACATTTTGTCACATTTGTATGTACATGCTCTACACACAGGCAACTACAGTACAACTTGACACTTTTGACTGTCATCTCATAAGTCCTTCAAACATCTGTCTCCAAAGGATGCTCATTCATGAATGGAATTATTCACTCAGCAGTTTTTTTGTTTGTTTGTTTGAGATGTAGTCTTGCTCTGCCACCCAGACTGGAGTGCAGTGGTGCGATCTCGGATCACTGCAACCTCCACCTCCCGGGTTCAAGCAATTCTCCTGCCTCAGGCTCCCAAGTAGCTGGGACTACGGGTGCATGCCACCATGCCAAGCTAATGTTTGTATTTTTAGTAGAGACGGGGTTTTGCTACATTGGCCAGGCTGGTCTCGAACTCCTGACCTCAAGTGATCTACCCGCCTCAGCCTCCCAAAGTGCTGGGATTATAGGCCTGAAACAAACTAATCTGGACACACATACACACACATGTAAATTGTTTTTAAACCCACAAAAGATGCTGCTCTCTTTTTTTTTTATTTTTGAGTCAGGGTCAGTCTCTGTTGTCCAGGCTGGAGTACAGTGGCAGGAGCACAGCTCACTGTAGCCTCTGCCTCCCAGGCTCAAGTGATTCTCCCACCTCAGCCTCCCAGGAAGCTAGGACCACAAACATGCATCACCATGCCTGGCTAATTTTTGTATTTTTTATAGAGACAGGGTCTCACTGTGTTGCCCAGGCTGGTCTCAAACTCCTGGGCTCAGGCAATCCTGGCCTCCCAAAGTGCTTGGATTACAGGTGTGAGCCGCCATGCCCAGCCCAAAAGATGCTATTCTCTTAATCTCTCATTTCCCCATCTTCCTCTTTAACACCTCTAATATAAAGGACATTATTATACCATATTGAAACTTCACCTAGATATACAGAAAACGCCCCATCTCTGTATTCTGTATTTGCAAGCTGCATGTTTATATCACCATCTACAGATACCCCTTACACTTCGTTCCCCACTTGAGTTTCGCCATCACTGGCTTTCTGTTGTTCCACTGGGGAAAGATTTGGGATTCACAGGTGAACTCTTTTTTTTTTTTTTTTTTTTTTTTGAGTTGGAATCTCGCCCTTTCGCCCAGGCTGGAATGCAGTGGCACAATCTCGGCTCACTGCAGCCTCCTCCTCCCGGGTTCAAGCATTTCTCTGCCTCAGCCTCCCAAGTAGCTGGGATTACAGGCACCTGCCACCACGCCCAGCTAATTTTTTGTAGTTTTAGTAGACACAGGGTTTCACTATCTTGGCCAGGCTGGTCTCGAACTCCTGACCTCGTGATCCACCGCCTCAGCCTCCCAAAGTGCTGGAATTACAGGTGTGAGCCACCGCGCCCAGCCAAACTCCTTTTAACCACAGGCAAATGGTTTAAGCTACGTGCTGCAGAGGAAGCTGCTGCCCATCCCTCATGAGCAGCTAACAAAGGCCCCAAACCACTGAGCTTCAAGAGAAAATCAGCAGATACTCTTGGCTCTTGTGTACCAGATACCTTTCTAGATACTGAGGGAGAAGAGCAGTGAACAAAACAGACCAAAAAATCTCTGCCTTCATGGAACTTACATTTCGGAGTGGACAGGAGATCGAGACCAGCCTGGCCAACATGGTGAAATCCCGTCTCTACTAAAAATACAAAAATTAGCCAGGCGTGGTGGCGGACACCTGTAATCCCAGCTACTTTGGAGGCTGAGGCAGGAGCATCCCTTGAACCCAGGAGGCAGAGGTTGCAGTGAGCCGAGATCGCGCCAGTGCACTCCAGCCTGGGCGACAGAGTGAGACTCCATCTCAAAAAAAAAAAAAAAAAGGTGACTGGGTGCGGTGGCTAACTCCTGTAATCCCAACACTTTGGGAGGCCAAGGCAGGTGGATCACAAGGTCAAGAGGTCGAGACCATCCTGGCCAACATGGTGAAGCCCCATCTCTACTAAACATACAAAAATCAGCTGGGCGGTGGCACGCGCCTGTAGTCCCAGCTATTTGGGAGGCTGAGGCAGGAGAATTGCTTGAACCCGGGAGACGGAGATTGCAGTGAGCCTGAGGTCACGCCCTTGCACTCCAGCCTGGTGACAGAGTGAGATTCTGTCTCAGAAAAAAGAAGGTGCTTCAGAGGAAAATAAGGCCAGTGGTGGAGCTCCCAGGCAGGCTGGAGGAACAGTAGTGGGGCTGCAGGGGCTGGCGTGGGGTGAACAAGGGGCAGAGCAGCAGTAGGGGCCTGTAGAGCTGTAGGCCTCTGAAGGACTTGGGGCCTCGGGCTTTTTCACCAAGGGCGAGGCAGTAAGCAGCCATTGGCTGGATATTGAAGACCATTCAGTCCAAGTAGAGGATAGAAACAGGGCCCCGAGGCAGGAGCAAGTTCAGCCTCTTTAAAAGCCACAGAAAGAAACAAGCCCACTTATGTAGAAGGAGGTGAGTGAGGGAGCCTGGCTGAAGAGAAGGCTGGGGTGGAGAAAGCAAGGGGAAGCTGGCTCATATAGTGAAAACTTGCCACAAACTGTGGTGGTGAAGGTGCTGGGCAGGACTCAGATGCTAGGATTGTTGGAGAAAGGAAAATTGGGGAAGAGACCATCTACTGGCACTGGCTGTGAGTGCTGCTCATGTGGCCAGGAACTTGCAACTCAGCACTGATTGTTTCTAAGAATAAATGTCAAGTTGGGAAGATGTGTATAAGGGGGACTTAGACCACAACTGCTGCTTTGACTGCGTTGCCTTGTTGCTGTGCTGGAAAAGCTAACCCTGCTTTGGCCTTCCTTCCCCTGACTAGGTGCCGGTATGTGAGAGAGAGAGATCGCCTGGGTAATGAATACCCCAAACTCCACTACCCTGAGCTGTATGTCCTGAAGGGGGGATACAAGGAGTTCTTTATGAAATGCCAGGTAAGACTGGGGTTGTGGAGAGCATCTCTCCTCCCCTGCCCCCAGTGGTAGACTAATGGATCTGTCTGGTGGTCATGACTTTCTTTCCAGGGGTCGGGGGACAAGGTGGGTATCTGCTGAACCCAAAGAAAGCCCCTGTAGAACTGGCTCCCTAGGTCTGCCTGGCCGCTTTCAGCCTTGTAGCCCTAGGCAGAGAGGAAACCAGGTTGTGGGTGTGAGGCAGGTGTACCCTAACCTTATTCTCTCCTGTCCCCTCAGTCTTACTGTGAGCCCCCTAGCTACCGGCCCATGCACCACGAGGACTTTAAAGAAGACCTGAAGAAGTTCCGCACCAAGAGCCGGACCTGGGCAGGGGAGAAGAGCAAGAGGGAGATGTACAGTCGTCTGAAGAAGCTCTGAGGGCGGCAGGACCAGCCAGCAGCAGCCCAAGCTTCCCTCCATCCCCCTTTACCCTCTTTGCTGCAGAGAAACTTAAGCAAAGGGGACAGCTGTGTGACATTTGGAGAGGGGGCCTGGGACTTCCATGCCTTAAACCTACCTCCCACACTCCCAAGGTTGGAGCCCAGGGCATCTTGCTGGCTACGCCTCTTCTGTCCCTGTTAGACGTCCTCCGTCCATATCAGAACTGTGCCACAATGCAGTTCTGAGCACCGTGTCAAGCTGCTCTGAGCCACAGTGGGATGAACCAGCCGGGGCCTTATCGGGCTCCAGCCATCTCATGAGGGGAGAGGAGACGGAGGGGAGTAGAGAAGTTACACAGAAATGCTGCTGGCCAAATAGCAAAGACAACCTGGGAAGGAAAGGTCTTTGTGGGATAATCCATATGTTTAATTTATTCAACTTCATCAATCACTTTATTTTATTTTTTTTTCTAACTCCTGGAGACTTATTTTACTGCTTCATTAGGTTGAAATACTGCCATTCTAGGTAGGGTTTTATTATCCCAGGGACTACCTCGGCTTTTAATTTAAAAAAAAAAAAGAAGTGGGTAAGAAAATGCAAACCTGTTATAAGTTATCGGACAGAAAGCTAGGTGCTCTGTCACCCCCAGGAGGCGCTGTGGTACTGGGGCTGCTGCTATTTAAGCCAAGAACTGAGGTCCTGGTGAGAGCGTTGGACCCAGGCTTGGCTGCCTGACATAAGCTAAATCTCCCAGACCCACCACTGGCTACCGATATCTATTTGGTGGGAGGTGTGGCCCTGTTCTTCCTCACCCCAGTTCCATGACATTGGCTGGTATAGGAGCCACAGTCAGGAAAGCACTTGAGGCAGCATCTGTTGGGCCACCCCCGGCTCAGTGCTGGAATGTTGCAGTGTAGGTTTCCCAGGGAAGGGGGGTGGGGGTAGGTGGGCTCCACAGGATGGGGGAGGAGCATGTCCACTGAGTATCTTCCTTATGTTGCTGTGATATTGATAGCTTTTATTTTCTAATTTTTAAAAAATGGTCATATTATGAGTCAAAGAGTATCAAATCAGTGTTGGATGGACCACCCAAGGGTGAGGAGAGGGGCTGGAAGCCCTGGGCATTAGGAGAAGGGAGTGGGTGCTGGCATGGACATGACTGGATAGAATTTTCTCAGGAGGGAGCTTGGTGGATTTTGAAGGTAAAACTTTCTGGGTTTATCATGTTTTAATTTTAGAGACAGGGAGTGATGAATCATCACCGGTTGTCCCCTTATCTAACTCCATAAAAGTGGGAATTTCAAAAGAACACCTCATCCAAGGAGCTGGGGCAGACTTCATTGATTCTAGAGAGACCTGTTTCAGTGCCTACTCATCCCTGCCCTCTGGTGCCAGCCTCCTTACCATCACGGCTTCACTGAGGTGTAGGTGGGTTTTTCTTAAACAGGAGACAGTCTCTCCCCTCTTACCTCAACTTCTTGGGGTGGGAATCAGTGATACTGGAGATGGCTAGTTGCTGTGTTACGGGTTTGAGTTACATTTGGCTATAAAACAATCTTGTTGGGAAAAATGTGGGGGAGAGGACTTCTTCCTACACGCGCATTGAGACAGATTCCAACTGGTTAATGATATTGTTTGTAAGAAAGAGATTCTGTTGGTTGACTGCCTAAAGAGAAAGGTGGGATGGCCTTCAGATTATACCAGCTTAGCTAGCATTACTAACCAACTGTTGGAAGCTCTGAAAATAAAAGATCTTGAACCCATGCTCTCTGCCTAGTTCTTGATGGATTTAAGGAGAATTACATTTCCCTTTAAGGTCCTGGGACCACATTAACTAAAATTAGTGTTTGGGATGGCCACATTTCCTCAAGAAGCTCTGACTCCAAAAACTTGTGGTTCAGATTGATTTGCAAGATGAAATGGGTGCATAAAAAGTGTGCCTGAGGCCAGCCGCAGTGGCTCATGCTTGTAATCCCCGCATTTTGGGAGGCCGAGGCAGGCAGATCACTTGAGGCCAGGAGGTCAAGGCTGCAGTGCCCACACATAATGTGATGCTGGGGGCTACTGGGGACAAAATATATTGGGCTGAAGCACAGAGGGACGCCCAGAATAGAAAACACATGGTCCTTTAGGTATGGGTTGGAAAACCAGGGGTTCAGGCATATTTGATTATATTATATATACATATATTTTTCTGAGACAGTCTCACTGTTGCCCAGGCTGGAGTTGCAGTGGTGTGATCTCGGCTTACTCCAGCTTCGACCTTCCAGGCTCAAGCAATCCTCCCACCTCAGCCTCCCAAAGTGCTGGGATTACAGATGTGAGCCACCATGCTTTTTAAAGTTTACTTTGAGCAAGTAATATTTCCCTGGATTGCTGCAAAGGTCAGCTGGCTTCCTGTCTGATCTATCCTTCCTAAAATTGCAAATTAAGTCAACCCATTATTGAGAATTTAATTTTTTTTTTTTTTTTGCCTGTAAAATGAAACGACCTCTTTAGCCCGTATGCTAAGATGCAACCTCATCCTTAGCCTCTGCTCATTTTATGCTTCACTGAGAGGTCAGGATTCTGTTTCTAGAATGCCCCTGCTCTCTGAAACTTGCTTGTTAGAGCTTGAAGCCTGCCATGCAGAAAGTTTGCATTTACTATAGAAAAATTTATGTGTGGACACCCACAAGGTCAAGAGTTGGTTAACTCAAAACCATGGGCAAAACTTAACTCACTTTAAATTTTGGGGAAAACTATTCCATCCAAGGTGTGATCTGATTCAGATTTTAAAAATTTAAAGTATGCAAAGATGTACAAAAAATCAACACTTATATTTCACACACCAGCTTAAGAATGAACAGCTTAGCTGAAGCCCCTTGCCTACCCTGACTTCATCATAAACTCTTCAGCTGCACCCAACCCCCATAAAGGTAACACTTATCCTTCCCTGGTATGACTATTTCCTAAGCAAGAAGATAGATTCAGATTTTTTTTCCTTTTTTTTTTTTTTTTTTTGACATGGAGTTTCACTCTTATTGCCCAGGCTAGAGTGCAATGGTGCAATCTCGGCTCACCACAATCTCCGCCTCCTGGGTTCAAGTGATTCTCCTGCCTCAGCCTCCCGAGTAGCTGGGATTACAGGCATGTGCCACCACACCCAGCTAATTTTATATTTTTAGTAGAGACGGGGTTTCTCCATGTTGGTCAGGCTGGTCTTGAACTCCTGACCTCAGGTGATCCCCCTGCCTTGGCCTCCCAAAGTGCTGGGATTACGGGCATGTGCCACCACACCCAGCTAATTTTATATTTTTAGTAGAGACGGGGTTTCTCCATGTTGGTCAGGCTGGTCTTGAACTCCTGACCTCAGGTGATCCCCCTGCCTTGGCCTCCCAAAGTGCTAGGATTACAGGTGTAAGCCACTGCGCCAGGCCTCATGTTTTCAAACTTTACAAATTGTGCACCTATAATCCCAGCTACTTGGGAGGCTAAGGCATGAGGATTGCTTGAGCCCAGGAGTTCAAAACCTGCCTGGGCAATATAGTGAGACCCCATCTCTAAAACAAAACAATCTCCATTATGTGCTCATTCATCCGTGACTCACTTTGATTTTTATTTCTCTGCTTATCACACTTAAGGGCACTTGGCTCCAAGAAGGGCAAAGCATGAATCAATAGTGACTCAGGCTACATCTCTCCAGCAGAGAAACCTGGAGTAAGTCACTTCTCCCTCTGGGGCCTTTCTTCACAAATAACAAATGCATTTGAACTAGATTTTCCGGCCAGGTGCAGTGGCTCATGGCTGTAATGCCTGCACTTTGGGAGGCTAAGGTGGGTGGATAGTTTGAGCCCAGCAGTTCTTGACCAGCCTGAGCAACATGCCAAAACCCTGTAACTACTAAAAATACGAAAAATTAGCCAGGTATGGTGGTGCATGCCTATTGTCCCAGATACTCAGGAGGCTGAGGTGGGAGGATTACCCAAGCCCAGGGAAGTCAAGGCTGCAGTGAGCCAAGATTGTTCCACTGCACCCCAGCCTGGGTGACAGGAGTGAGACCCTGTCTCAAAAAAAAAAAAAATTAAAAAAAAAAAGAATTAGATAAGTAGATGTTCTCTGTGACTGCCCCTGTCCCAACATACCGTGGCTCTGGCATTTGGATGGCCCCTTTGCATATGGCCCCTTTGCAATACCCACTTCAAATCTACTTGGAAGGGCCTCTATGGAGGAAAAGCTGTTTCTCTCATTCAATAAACGTTTGACTTGTGCTGAGCACTGAGGATAAGGAAGTGTGTAAGATGCAGGCTTTGTCTCAAGGCGTTCACTGGCTAGTGGGAGAAATAGTCACTAAAAATGACGAGGTCTTAGGTGTAACGTTTCCATGTAACAGAAGCTAGGATAGAGAGGGGTCCAGAGGACATGGGGCTCCAGAGCAAGCAGTGGACCCCATAGGAGGCGATGTTCAAATCTAACCTTCAGCAGGAGTCTCACGAGACAGGGTGTTCCAGGAAAAAGAAATTGTGTTCAAAGGGGAAATACCATGCATTCATACCTGTGAACAAGGTAGGAGAGGTTTGTGGTGGGCGGGGGGGGGGGGACCCTGAACGCCATTCTGAGGAGTCTGTAAGCCTAGGGATCTATGAGAGCAGGACTTCTCAAACACGTGGGAAACTTGTTAAAACGCAGATTCTGATTCCACAGCTCTGGGTCGCAGCCTGAGGTTCTGCATTTTTAACAGACTCTCAAAGCTGCTGATCCTTTTGCTACCCTTTGAGCAGCCAGCCTGTAGAGGGTTTAAGAAGGGAGCAGTGTGAAGCCGTGTAATTGCTGAGAGCAAGACAAAGGATGGATGATAGGTAAGGAATGATGATAATTATAGTCATAGCAGAAGCTGGGGCATGGGAGGGAAGGGCTTTAGGTGCTGGGATCTGGTGATGGATGGGTAGATGGGAGTGAGGGAGAGGGATGGATTCAGGATGGTCTCTTGGCTCCTGACCTGAGGGAGTGGCTGGACCACTGGTACTCAGAGCAAGAAATCAAGAAATACATGGCCAGGCACGGTGGCTCATGCCTGTAATCCCAACACTTTGGGAGGCCGAGGCAAGTGGATCACCTGAGGTCAGGAGTTCAAGACTAGCCTGACCAACATTGTGAAACCCCGTCTCTACTAAATACAAAAAATTAGCTGGGTGTGGTGGTGCATACCTGTAATCCCAGCTACTTGGGAGGCTGAGGCAGGAGAATTGCTTGAACCTGGGAGGCGGAGGTTGCAGTGAACTGAGAATGCGCCGTTGCACTCCAGCCTGGGCAACAAGAGTGAAACTCTGTCTCAAAAAAAAAGAAATACACAAGGAAAGGAAATATTGAAAAAGCCTAAGTTGAAATTTATAAAATTACTGGCCTGCATATTTTATAAATATCAGTGTCATACATGACCAAAGAGAGGCCCAGGAACCGTTCCAGATTAAAGGAGACTCAAGAGACATGACAACTAAATGAAATGTGTGATCTTGGATGGGATCCTGGACCAAACCGAAAAAGAGTACTATAAAGGACATTTTTGGAACATTTGACTACATTGAAATATGAACTTTAATTAGGTAAAATTATTATTATTATTATTATTTTGAGACACAGACTCGCTCTGTTGGCCAGGCTGGACTGCAGTGGCACGATCTTGGCTCACTGCAACCTCCGCCTCCTGTGCTCAAGCCATTCTCCTCCCTCAGCCCCCTGAGTAGCTGGGACTACAGGTACCCGCCACCACACCCAGCTAATTTTTAAATTTTTAGTAGAGATGGGGGTTTCACCATCTTGGTCAGGCTGGTCTCGAACTCCTGACCTCGTGATCCACCCACCTCGGCCTCCCAAAGTGCTGGGATTACAGGCATGAGCTACTGTGACCCACCAGGTAAAATTAGTAACTCAGTGTTAAGTTTCCTGAATTTGATAATTATACTGCAGTTATGTATGAGAACATCCTTGTTCTAAGGAAATAATACACTGAAATATTACAGGTTAAGTGTGTGTGTGTGTGTGTGTGTAAGAGAGAGAAGTAGACAGAGTCAAAGGGAAGAAAGCAAATGCAGCAAAATTTGAAAACGTTAAAATGTATGACTCTTGGCAAAGGGCATAAGGGAATTCTTTGTACTATTCTTGCAACTTTTCTGTAAGCTTTAAATTATTTCAAAAGAAAACATTTTAAAAGGGGGCTGGGCCGGGTGCAGTGGCTCATGCCTGTAATCCCAGCACTTTGGGAGGCCAGCGTGGGTGGATCACTTGAGGCCACGAGTTTGAGACCAGCCTGGGCAACATAGAAAGACGTCTTCTCTATAAAAATAAAAATTGAAATAAGTAAATTAAATAAAAAAGAGGGGCTGTCATGCTGAGCTCCTATGTGGACGGGGGGATCTGGGCAGTGACTGTCCCGATGCCTGAGTGGTCAAGTGTTGAATGTGAGGAGTGCTCCAGAGAAATATCCAGGCTGGTGACAGCAAGTTGTCACACGTATCCAAGTGGCAGTTCTACCAATGTAGAAGACAGGGAAGCAGAGAGAGAGGTTAGAGGCAGGATGCCAGGAAGCCAGGCAGGGAGGGGTAGGGAGCAGCCACAAGGAGGTCTCAGTGATAGGGTTAAGCTCGGCTGCCTGTGGTGGGACATATGTCACTGGTGACCTTGGGACACAAAGCCTGCCCACGCTAGGGTAGGGTAGGGGAAGGACAGGGAGGCGAGGCAGAAACAGCAGCAGGGGAAGACTGGGTGGCATTGGGCATGGCATTGGGCGTGCTCAGCCTCTGTGTGACTGTGACCTGGCAGCTGGGATGGGGGTGGATTACCTAGATGATTCTAAGACCTTAAGATCTTGGTCATTCTGATTTCTAAGCAATGACTCCTGGAAGTTGTGCAAAGCCCAGTCCAGAGTTCCTGCTTGCACGCTCCCAGAACAGAGGAGGCAGAGTCCCTTCCAGTGCTGGCCAGAGCAGGACAGCTCTTCCGCAGGCAAAGTCAAATCCGCACCTCCATACTGTGGCTACTTTGTATATGTTGATTCATTTTCCATTTATGTTTTCTGTTTAGTTTTTCAATATGGATGTCTTTCTTCAATATGAAGTATTTCAGACATACCCACTGTCTGGGAGTACCCACCGTCAAGGGTAAATAAAAACTTCCACCGATAGGCTTTCTTTGCCCTCTTGTTTCACTCTGCTGCCAGGCTGCCACGGGGCTTGGGGCTGTGACCACTGCAATGGCCATAGGAAGACATCAGGTGGCAGTGGTGCCCCAGGTTTGTCTCCTCAGGTATCTCGGCCTTCTAGCTCCTCTCCTCCAGAGCCAGTCAGTAACTGGGAGGAGCTGGGGGCTCTCCAGGAGCTTCCCACCCCTTCCCCTGCCCTGGCTTCCAGCTGCATTTAATGGCACTTTGCCTGCTCTGAGTACAGGAAAAGCTGTGGCTGTTCCTTGTCCAAGCCGCAGTTCCCAATGGCCTAGTTCAAGCATGTGTTTCATGCACCACAGTGCAAGGGCTCCCAAAGGGGAAAAAAGGGAAGAGGGCTGGTTTGGATTATTAGCATTTTGTATTTTTAATAAATGCATCAATGTGGTCATCATGGAAAAATGTCCGATCTTTGTGGGGTTTATTTACACTTCCTTCCTAGTTTACTTTGGGTGACGCAGGGTGGATCATAGGCCTTAACCTTCTAAAGCACAGCCTCTTTCCCCTGGCGGCTTCCTAGACTCTGATGAAGAAATAAGGCCTACTTTCTGATTCCGGTCTGCCCCTGACCAGTGGTGTGACACTGAGCAGAACACTTCACTTCTCTGGACCAGAGGTCTCAAGTATAAAGGATGAGCTTGGGCAACCTCCCCATCCTCCCCCAAGGACTCCTCACTATTCCTGTTCTTTGGGACCTCCTTACCTTTGCTGACACCTGCAGGGAATGCCTTTCTTTTTCCACAGAACTCTTTTTTCTTTTTTGGAGACAGAGTCTCACTCTTGTTGCCCAGGCTGGAGTGCAGTAGCAGGATCTCGGCTCACCACAACCTCCGCCTCCCAGGTTCAAGCGATGCTCCTGCCTCAGCCTCCTGAGTAGCTGGGATTATAGGCACCTGCCACCACTCCTGGCTAATTTTTGTATTTTTCGTAGAGACAGGGGTTTCACCATGTTGTCCAGGCTGGTCTCAAACTCCTGACCTCAGGTGATCCGCCTGCCTCAGCCTCCCAAAGTGCTGGGATTACAGGCATGAGCCACTGCTCCCAGCCTTCCACAGACTTATTCTTTTTAGGAGGGTTGGGGATGGGGAATAGGGTTTCGCTCTGAGTAGCTGGGACTATAGATGCACACCATCACACCCAGCTAATGTTTTTTTAAAATTTTTTTTGTAGAGACAAAGATCTCCCTATGTTGCCCAGACAGGTCTCAATCTCCTGGCCTCAAGTGATCCTCCCACCTCAGCCTCCCAAAGTGCCGAGATTATAGGAATGAGCCAATGCATCTGCCCTCTGATTCATTCTTGTAAACATAAATAATATAATTGTCCGGCTGGGTGCAGTGGCTCACACCTGTAATCCCGGCACTTTGGGAGGCCTAGGTGAATGGATCGCTTGAGCTCAGGAGTTCAAGACCAGCCTAGGCAACATGGCGAAAACCTGTCTCTACAAAAAAATACAAAAAATTAGCCAGGTGTGGTGGTGTGTGCCTGTAGTCCCAGTTACTCCAGAGGCTGAGGTGAGAGGATTGCTTGAGTCTGGGAGGTGGAGGTGGCAGAGAGCCGAGATTGTGCCACTGTACTACAACCTGGGTGACAGAGTGAGACCCAGTCTCGAAAATAAAAATAAAAATAAAAATAAATAAATAGGCCGGGTGCGGTGGCTCATGCCTATAATCCCAGCACTTGGGAGACCTGAGGTCAGGAGTTCGACACCAGCCTGGCCAACATAGCGAAACCCTGTCACCACTAAAAATACAAAAATTTAGCAGGGCATGCTGGCAGGTGCCTATAATCCCAGCTACTTGGGAGGCTGAGAAGGAGAATCACTTGACCCAGGAGGCGGAGGTTGCAGTGAGCGGAGTTCGCACCACGGCACTCCAGCCTAGGCAACAGAGCAAGACTCCATCTCAAAAATAAAAATAAAAATAGACCGGACGTGGTGGCTCATGCCTGTAATCCTAGCACTTTAGGAGGCCGAGGTGGGCGGATCGCCTGAGGTCAGGAGTTCGAGACCAGCCTCGCCAACATGGCAAAACCCTGTCTCCACTAAAAATACAAAAATTTAGCCAGGCGTGATGGCAGGCGCCTGTAATCCCAGCTACTCGGGAGGCTGAGGTAGGAGAATTGCTTGAACCTGGGAGGGGCAGGTTGCAGTGAGCTGAGATTGCGCCATTGCACTCCAGCCTGGGCGACAAGAGCAACACTTTGTCTCAAAAAACAAAACAAAACAAAAAAAGCCTGGCCAACACAACGAAACCCTTTCTCTACTAAAAATACAAAAACTAGCCAGGCGTGGTGGCAGGGGCCTGTAATCCCAGCTACTTGGAAGGCTGAGGCAGGAGAATCACTTGAACCTGGGAAGCAGAGGTTGCAGTGAGCTGAGATCGCGCCACTGCACTCCAGCTTGGGCGACAGAGTGAGATTCCGTATGGAAAAAAGGAATGTAAAACTCGATGGGATAAACTACAGTTTAGAATTAGATCCAACTGGGCCAGGCACGGTGGCTCACACCTGTAATCCTAGCACTTTGGGAGGCCGAGACGGGCGGATCACCTGAGGTCGGGAGTTTGAGACCAACCTGACCAACATGGAGAATCCCTGTCTCTACTAAAAATACAAAAATTAGCCGGGTTTGGTGGCACGTGCCTGTAATCCCAGCTACTCAGGAGGCTGAGGCAGGAGAATTGCTTGAACCTGGGAGGCAGAGGTTGTGGTGAGCCAAGATCACACCACTGCACTCCAGCCTGGGCAACAGGAGTGAAACTCCATCTCAAAAAAAAAAAAAAAAAAAAAAAGAATTATTAAATCCAACTGGAGAGAGAGCTAATATGCTGGAGAAATGTGGTGTTAGAAGATTATTTGGAATGGAATGAGATACATACTTATGACACTTAGGAAACCATGAAATAGGTGGAAAGAGACAGAACATCCTGAGAAAATCTAACTATATCAAATTTGAGTCCCAGAAGGAAAGAAAAGAAAGAATAGGAGAAAGGCAATTTTTGTTTTTGTTTTTGTTTTTCTGAGACGGAGTCTCACTCTATTGCCCAGGCTGGAGTGCAGTGGCACGGTCTTGGCTCACTACAACCTCCACCTCCAGGGTTCAAGCCATTCTCCTGCCTCAGCCTCCCAAGTAGCTGGGATTACAGGCACGTGCCACCAAACCCGGCTAATTTTTGTATTTTTAGTAGAGACAGGGTTTTACCTTGTTGGCCAGGCTGGTCTTGAACTCCTGACTTCGGGTGATCCGCCTTCCTCAGCCTCCCAAAGTGCTGGGATTACAGGTGTGAGCTACCATGCCCGGCCAAGAAAGGCATTTTTTTCTTTCTTTCTTTTTTTTTTTTAGATGGAGTCTCACTCCGTCACCCAGCTCCATGGAGTGCAGTGGCACTATCTCAGCTCAACCTCTTCCTCCCGGATTCAAGCTATTCTCCTGCCTCAGCCTTCCGAGTAGCTGGGATTACAGGCATGCGCCACCATGCCCAGCTAATTTTTGTATTTTTAGTAAAGACGGGGTTTCACTATGTTGGCTAGGATGGTCTCAATCTCTTGACTGCATGATCTGCCTGCCTCAGCCTCCCAAAGTACTGGGATTACAGGCGTGAGCCACCGCACCTGGCAAGAAAGGAACTTTTTAAAGAAAGAATACCTGATGAACACCTTAAATCCCCAAAATCAAGAAATCCCATGAATCCCAAGCAGAGTAAATAAGAAATCCACATTTGGGTATGTAACGAGGACAGAATACCAAAGACACAGGATACCAAAGTGCATGCTGAATAGAAAGCCAGAGGACCAACACAGAGACAACACGTAGCTGCTGCTCAGCAGCAACAGTGGAAGACTACGGCAACATGGAAATACTGCAAGCCTCGCTGTACTCTCACCCTTCCTAATCCCATGTCCTCTGAAAAGATAGCCCCTATTAAGTTAGGGGTGTACCTTCTAGACCTTTTCTATGCATGTATAAATATACATAATGTATATGGATATGGATGTGTGCATCTATATTTATGTTTATTATTATTATTATTTTTTTTTGAGACAGAGTCTGACTCTGTCGCCCAGGCTGGAGTGCAGTGGCGTGATCTTGGCTCGCTGCAAGCTCAGCCTCCCGGGTTCACGCCATTCTCCTGCCTCAGCCTCTCCAAGTAGCTGGGACTACAGGCACCCGCCACCACGCCTGGCTAATTTTTTGTATTTTTAGTAGAGATGGGGTTTCATCGTGATCTCAATCTCCTGACCTCGTGATCCGCCCGCCTCGGCCTCTCAAAGTGCTGGGATTACAAGCGTGAGCCACAGTGCCCGGTCTATTATTTTTTTTTTTTTTTAGAGATGGAGTCTCACTATGTTGCCCAGGCTGGTCTCAAATTCCCAGACTTAAGACACCCCTCTGCCTTAGCCTCCCTAATAGCTGGGACTACAGGCACACCCTAGGGTGTCCTGGCCTTTATCTATATTTAGGTATTGGTATGGTTTGAATTCTTGTCCCCTCTGAAACTCATGAGATTTAATTGACATGAAGCCTTTAGGAGGTGATTAGGTCATGATGACTCTGCCTTCATGAATGGATTAATGCTCTTATCATGGGAGTGGGTTAGTTATCTCGAGACTGGGTTTGTTCTCAAAGCGAGTTTAGCTGATTTCTTCTGTCTTCTGCACTTGCTTCCATCTTCTGCCATTCTCCCATGAGATGACCATCTCCAAGGTGCTGGCGCCATGCTCTTAACCTTCCCAGCCTCAGGAGGTGTAAGAAATAAATTTCTTTTCTTTCTTTCTTTCTTTCTTTCTTTTTTTTTTTTTTTTGAGACATAGTCTCGCTCTGTCACCCAGGCTGGAGTGCAGTGGCGCGATCTCAGCTCACCGCAACCTCTGCCTCCCGGGTTCACGCCATTCTCCTGCCTCGGCCTCCTGAGGAGCTGAGGCTGCCACCACACCCGGCTAATCTGTTGTATTTTTAGTAGAGATGGGGTTTCACCATGTTAGCCAGGATGGCCTCGATCTCCTGACCTCATGATCTGCCCGCCTCAGCCTCTCAAAGTGCTGGGAACAGGCATGAGCCACCGCGCCTGGCCAATAAATTTCTTTTCTTTATAGTCTTGGCTGGGCACAGTGGCTCACGCCTGTAATCCCAGCACTTTGGGAGGTCGAGGTGAGTGGATCACCTGAGGTCAGGAGTTCGAGACCAGCCTGGCCAATATGGCAAAACCCCCATCTCTACTGAAAAAAAAAAAAAAAAAAAAAGGCCAGGTGGCGGCTCACACCTGTAATCCCAGCACTTTGGGAGGCCGAGGCTGGCGGATCACCTGAGGTCAGGAGTTCAAGACCAGCTTGGCCAGCATGGTGAAACCCCATCTCTACTAAAAATACAACAATTAGCCGGACGTGGTGGCGGGCACCTGTAATCCCAGCTACTGGGGAGGCTGAGACAGGAGAATCCCTTGAACCTGGGAGGCGGAGGTTGCAGTGAGCCGAGATCGTGCCATTGCACTCCAGCCTGAGCAACAAAAAGCGAAATCCCATCTAAAAAAAAAATGGCAAAACCCCATCTCTAGTAAAAATACAAAAATTAGCCAGGTATGGTGGCAGGCGCCTGTAATCCCAGCTACTTGGGAAGCTAAGGCAGGAGAATCACTTGAACCCGGAGGGGGTGGGTGGAGTGAGCCAAGATCACACCATTGCACTCCAGCCTGGGCGACAGAGTGAGACTCCATCTCAAAAAAAAAAAAAATTACAGTCTCATGCTTGAGGGGATGGGCACTCTATTCCCCATGATGCACTTATTTCACATTGCATGCCTGTATCAAAACACTTCATGTACCTTGTAAATATATACACCTACTATGTACCCACAAAAAAATTGAAAATTTAAATAAATAAATAAATAAATTATAGTCTCAGCTGGGTGTGGTGGCTCACACCTGTAATCCCAGTGCTTTGGGAGGCTGAGGCAGGACGATTGCTTGAGCCCAGGATTTCAAGAGCAGCCTGAGCAACATAGTGAGACCCCTGTCTCTATTTTAAATAAATGTAAATAAATTACAGTCTCATGTATTCTGTTATAGCAGCATAAAACATATGTTAGAGGCCGGGCGCGGTGGCCTACGCCTGTAATCCCAGCACTTTGGGAGGCCAAAGCAGGTGGATCACGAGGTCAGGAGATTGAGACCATGCTGGCTAACACAGTGAAATCCCATCTCTCCTAAAAGTACAAAAAATTAGCTGGGCGTGGTGGCGGGCACCTGTAGTCCCAGCTACTCAGAGGCTGAGGCAGGAGAATGGCATGAACCCGGGAGGCAGAGCTTGCAGTGACCTTAGATCACTCCACTGCACTCCAGCCTGGGCTACAGAGCGAGACTCCATCTCAAAGAAAAAAGAAAAAAAAAAAACATATGTTAGAATAACTTAGATATATTTGAATAATACAGTTGTCCCTTGGTATCTGTGGGGAGTTGGTTCCAGGACCCCCACTGATATCAAAATCCAAAGACGCTCAAATCGCTTATATAAATGGCATGATATGGCCAGGCACGGTGGCTCACACCTGTAATCCTAGCTCTTTGGGAGGCCAAGGCAGGAGAATCACTTGAGGCCAAGAGTTCAAGACCAGTCTGGGCAATATGGCGAAACCCTGTCTCTGCTAAAAATACAAAAAATTAGCTGGGTGTGGTGGTACACACCTGTAGTTAAACAATTTTCACCTGTTCTCTTTATTGCAGGGTTTCTCAGAGCGCTTGGCCTGCCAGCATGCATCATGAATTTCAAGAGACGACAGAGCATTTTCCAAACCTATTTGCCCATGGAGACTTTTCTCCATGGAGTATCTCATTGGACTTAAGTTCCTGAGGACTAACTTTGGGGATGCTGTTTTCTCTTCTATGTGGCCATTTTCATTTGATTCTCACAGGATGGAATTCACCCTCATTTTATGGATGCAAACACTCATACTCATGGAGGTGGGTGAGTTGCTTCCGGTACTCAGTTAACAAACAGCAGAGACGGAAGTAGATGTTTGGGCTTCAGGTTCTAAGGCCAGACTCTTTGTTTTTCTTTTCTTTCTTTCTTTCTTTCTTTCTTTTTTTTTTTTTTTTTTGAGACTCACTCTGTCACCCAGGCTGGAGTGCAGTGGTGCAATCTCGGCTCACTGCAACCTCCACCTCCCAGGTTCAAGCGATTTTCCTGCCTCAGCCTCCTGCGTAGCTAGGATTACAGGGATGCGCCACCATGCCCGGCTAATTTTGTATTTTTAGTAGAGATGGGGTTTCTCCATGTTGGTCAGGCTGGTCTCGAACTCCTGACCTCAGGTGATTTGACCTCCTCGGCCTCCCAAAGTGCTGGGATTACAGGCGTGAGCCACCGCGTCTGGTGGCCTAGACTCTTTCTTGACTTTCTCCCACTTTCAAGTCACCTTCTCAAGAGATGGGCTGCTGAGCTTGCTTCTCAGGGAGGTGGAGAGTAGGCTGACTGGTGGGAAGTTGGAAGGGGAAATTTCAGGAAGCCACCGAGCGCGAGCTTCAGAGTTAGTGATAGGGACAGAGCTCTGTGTTGGACTTTCCAGGCCTTAGCCTGGTAACTCCTGCTGCCACCAAACATGAAGCCTCTGCTCTGGCCCCACCTACCTCACTGACAAGCCCTGCCTCTGGCTGCAGAATGGTGAGTGAGACAGGGAAATTGTGGGATAGGTGGAGTTTCCAGGAATACTGGGGTGAGGAAACACCCCCAGGCCTGAGCCCCGATGGAAAGAGCCCCACAGGAGTGGGTCTGGAGGGAAGAAAATCCTTGAAGGCCTGAGCCATTGTCTCCTTTCTGCAGGACACTGGGTCCACCCCACCAAGGAACTCAGTGGTCCCTGAACAAATGGGAGATTATTTTCAGGGTCCTTTATAGCATTCTTTGGCTATTTTTGTCTTCTCTTTTTGTTAAAAGTACATTCACACAGGACATTTCCTTCCTCTAACACAAAGCAGCACAGAATGGTGGGAAGGGTGCTGGCTTGGCATCGGCCGCCTTGCAGAGCACTGGGACAGGTTGCTCACCTCTGGCCTTCAGTTCCAAATTTGGGCTTCAATTTACTGAGTCCAGAAGCAATCTCTTGGTGACACCAACATTAAATTTCTTCTTCTTTCTTTCTTTTTTTTTTTTTGAGACGGAGTTTTGCTCTTGTCACCCAGGCTGGAGTGCAGTGGTGCGGTCTCAGTTCACTGTAACCTCTGCCTCCCAGATTCAAGCGATTCTTCTTGCCTCAGCCTCCCGAGTAGCTGGAATTACAGCCATGGGCCACCACGCCCAGCTAATTTTTGTATTTTTAGTAGAGACTAAAGGTGATCCACCCTCCTCGTCCTCCCAAAATGCTGGGATTACAGGCATGAGCCACCGCGCCGGCCCAACATTGAATTTCTATGAGACTTAATTTCTGGCTGGGCGCAGTGGCTTACACTTGTAATCCCAGCACTTTGGGAGGCCGAGGCAGGTGGATCACTTGAGGCCAGGAGCTCGAGACCAGTCTGGCCAACATGGCGAAACCCTGTCTCTACTAAAAAATACAAAAATTAGCTAGGCGTGGTGCTGGGCGCCTGAAATCCCAGCTACTCAGGAGGCTGAGGCAGGAGAATCGCTTAAACGCCGGAGGTGGAGGTTGCAGTGAGTCGAGATGGTGCCACTGCACTCCAGCCTGGGCGATGGAGTGAGACTGTCAAAAAAAAGAAAGAAAGAAAGAAAGACTTAATGTACTAATTTATGGCAGGAAGACCCTGCTTTCCCTCTCCTTCCTGACCTCATGATGGGTCCTGAACCAATAGTTGAGAATAAAGGAAGAGATTGGGGCCACTTGATCTAAGTTTGATGAGTGAGAGAAATTGTTCCCACATCTGGGCAGAGGGCACCTCCTGGGTACTCAGGTTCTTGGGCATCATGTCTCTCCCTCGATCCAGCTGGCCATGCACAGGCATTTTTGTTCTCCTGAGCCCTGGTTCTAGATGGGTTAATGCTGTGATTCAGCTGCAGTCTAGTCTCAGCGCTCCTGAGCTTGGGAGACACCCTGTCTCTCCCCTGCTCCCCACCCCACGCCTATGCTGCACCTCGAGGGCAAGGGTAGCAGGGCCGATGGAAGCTGAGGCACCTCACCTGCCTGGCATTTGCCAGTGCCCAAACAGCTGGGTGTGCAGGAGGAAGAATGAGGAGCCTTGGCAGCTGCCAAGCTACCCAGCGGGGGAGGGAAGGTGGCCAGGTGCGGCTGAAACAGGGTGCGGTGACTGGTCTGGGAGCTCCGAGGCCTGCCCAGACATCTGGCTGGGTCAGGAGGGCCAGGTGTGCTAAGAAGTGTGGGCTGCCCCAAAGCACAGGCTACTGAGCACCTCATGAGTGTAAGATTTGGTGAGCGCCTGAGCGGAGGAGGGGATGGGTGGATGGAAACTTCAGATTCATTATCTGTAAAGTGTGGATAAATAGCAGGGTGGTTTGAAAATTAAATGACTTAGACCAGCCTGTCCAATATGGTGAAACCCCATCTCTACTAAACATATAAAAATAAGCTGGGCGTGGTGGCATATTCCTGTAATCCCAGCTACTTGGGAGGCTGAGGCAGAAGAATCGGTTGAACCCGGGAGGCGGAGGTTGCAGTGAGCTGAGATCGTGCCACTGCACTCCAGCCTGGGCGACAAAGCGAGACTCTGTCTGGAAGGAAGGAAGGAAGGAAGGAAGGAAGGAAGGAAGGAAGGAAAGGAAATTAAATGACTTAATACATATAGGGTACGTAGCACAGTTCCAGTAAGTTCTCAAAAGTCCCAGGTATGATTATGATGAGTCCAGCACATAGGGTTGGGCAGGTTCAGTGTCTGATTCATCTGTTATCCTCTGTGTAACTACAAAAACAACAGACAAAATCAAGACAGCAGCAAAAGTCATCTCCCTCGAGTCCTCGTGAAACCCTATGAGGCAGATACCATTATTGAGCCCATTTTCCAGATGGACAGACAGGCATGGTGAGGCCACCATAATCAGCTAAGGCTAAGCCATGAAGCAGCTGTCCCCACAGAGGGCCTGCCCCATACTCTGGCTGAGGCGAAGGTCGTTCCTCCACCCTCTCCCACTGCCCACCACCCGGTCAGAGAAGCCTGCTGAGGCAGATGAGGAAACAAGGAACCAAGAGGTGACAGGCAGAGCCAGGAGCAGGTATTCTTCCCTCTGAGTGGCCTCTCCAAGCAGCCTCCACCAGACCCTGCCCTCATTCCTGAGCTCATCTCCCACTCTACCCCTCCACTTCTCCCTCTCTTCCTAGTTGGGTCATCTAGGCCTCTTGCCCTCCAGGAAGTCTTCCCTCAGCAGCCTGCCTGTCGGGGGAGTGCTCTATGGAGCACTCTCACCCTGGGTATCACTATGGAAGTGAGTGAATGGAGCCCCTTCCTTTTCCACATGATTTTGGTGAACCACAGACAGCCTGGGAGATACTCCCCAAAGGTGCTGGCCAAAGCCAAGAGACAACTAAAATAACTATTAATATTTACAGAAAACTTCATCCAACAGTTTTTTTGTTTTTTTCATATGGGGTGTCACACTGTTGCCCAGGCTGGCGTGCAGTGGCATGATCTCACTGCAGCCTCAACTTCCCCAAACTCAGGCAATCCTCCCACCTCAGCCTCCCACAGTGCTGGCCAGGAGATCACTTGAGCTCAGGAATTTGAGACCAGTCTGGGCAACATAGTGCAAACCCATCTCTACAAAAAATACAAAAAATTAACCAGGCATTGTGGCTCATGCCTGTAGTCCCAGCTACCAGGGAGGCTGAGGTGGGAGGATCACCCAAGCCTGGGAGGTGGAGGCTGCAGTGAGCCAAGATCACGCCACTGCACTACAGCATGGGTGACAGAGTGAGAGCCTGTCTCAATAGTAATAATAAATAAATAACTAAATAACTAATTAAATAAATATATAAATAAAATAAAGCTCCAACTTGCTTCTTCCCAAGTGAGGGTGTCCTCACCCTCAAAGGAGCTGGTAGGGCTGTGCTGGGGTCGTGTTCCCTGCTCGCAGAGAGCTTGCACTGCAGAAAGACCATAGCTCTGTGTCCCTGTCTGTGAAATACACACTTTATTGTGATGTAGAGCAAATGCTTGTAAAGCTCTGGACACAGAGTTGTCGCTCCATGCACGGCTTTATTTCTCAGCACAAATGCTAATTTCCCTTCCAAATGCAAAGCTTCTCAACCTCTCAAGCAGTTTAGATTGTCTGAAGGTCACAGCAAGGTCTCATGTTCCGTTTTGCCCACTGGCCTTTCCTGCCTCACTTCCTGCCTCCCTGTTCGTCCTCGGGTCCAGGCAAACTTCTCAGCGTTCCTCAACAATTTGCCTGTTCACAGCTGTGTGTCCCTGAACATGCTGCTCCCTCCGGTGAAACACCTGTCCCTCCCCTTCTTTGCACAACAAACTCCTGCCAATCTTTTTCTCTCAGTTCAATCCTCCTCCAAAGCTTCTTCCGACTCCCCTGGGCAGTGTTAATTATTCCTTCCTCTGCTCTCTAGGGGTTTGTCCATATGATTATTTTTTTTTAATTTTTAAATTTTAATTAAAAGAAAAAAAGATGAGCCAGACGTGGTGTCTAATACCTGTAATCCCAGCACTTTGGGAGGCTGAGGTGGGCGGATCACGAGGTCAGGAGATCGAGACCATCCTGGCTAACACGGTGAAACCCTGGCTTTACTAAAAATACAAAAAATTAGCCGGGCGTGGTGGCAGCCACCTGTAGTCCCAGCTACTCAGGAGGCTGAGGCAGGAGAATGGCGTGAACCCGGGAGGCGGAGCTTGCAGTGAGCCGAGACCACACCACTGTGCTCCAGCCTGGGTGACAGAGCGAGACTCCGTCTCAAAAAAAAAAAAAAAAGGAGACAGTGGGTCTCAACCACGGATGACCTCCACCTCCTTGGTTCAAGTGATTCTCCTGCCTCAGTCTCCCAAGTAGCTGGGATTACTGGCACGCGCCACCATGCCCAGCTAATTTTTGTATTTTTAGTAGAGATGGGGGTTTCACCATGTTGGTCAGGCTGGTCTTGAACTCCTGACCTCGTGATCCGTCCGCCTCAGCCTCCCAAAGTGCTGGGATTACAGGCGTGAGCCACCGCGCCTGGCCAGAGATGTAGTCTTGCTGTGCTGCCCAGGCTGATCTTGAACTTCTGGCCTCAAGCAATCCTCCTACCTCTGCCTCCCAGTGAGTTGAGATTATAGGTGTGAACCACCAAGCCCGGCCTATATATTTTTTTATTATTATTATTTTTGAGATGGAGTCTTGCGCTATTGACTGGGCTGGAGTGCAATGGTGTGATCTCGGCTCACTCCTGCCTCCACCTCCCGGGTTCAAGCGATTCTCCTGCCTCAGCCTCCTGAGTAGCTGGAATTACGGACACCTGCCACCACACCCAGCTAATTTTTTTGTGTTTTTAGTACAGACGGGGTTTCACTATATTGGCCAGGCTGGTCTCGAACTCCTGGCCTCGTGATCCGCCCTCTTTGGCCTCCCGAAGTGCTGGATTACAGGCATGAGCCACCGCGCCCAGCCATGATTATTTTAGATTATATTTTAATCCATAATTTCTCTCATTTTTTTCCCGACATCTCTGGCTCTTTCTGTTCTCTGTAGAGTTGACCTTAGAAAAACTGAGGTTGGCAGAGGAGTTGAGCATTTGTCAGGGTATCAGAGTGTCACAGTTCAGCTGGGCCCTGTTTGTTGGAAGGCTCAACATCATGTTTGATGACCCCTCCTCAAGTTGGTGGCCAAGAAGGAGCCACATTTTGCTCCTAAGTATTGTGATTCCCAGTGAATCCTGCCCACACACCTAGGCGTGGCATGGCCCAGAGGCTGCGTGTCTCCATGCCTGTGCAGATCAAGGCTATCTGGCCAGGTCCAGCTCAAAGGCCTTCTTGGCCAATAATCTCTCGGAGCAGCTTTGGCCAATGGAAGTCTCCCTCTGACAGAGTCTCCCTCTGTCGCCTAGGCTGGAGTGCAGTGGCACCATCTTGGCTCACGGCAAGCTCCGCCTCCTGGGTTCACGCCTCTCCTGCCTCAGCCTCCTGAGTAGCTGGGACTACAGGTGTCCACGATCACACCCGGCTAATTTTTTGTATTTCTGGTAGAGACAGCGTTTGATCTTGTTCGCCAGGATGGTCTCAATCTCCTGACCTCGTGATCCACCCGCCTCGGCCTCCCAAAGTGCTGGTATTACAGGCGTGAGCCACCATGCCCGGTCTGGCCATCGGAAGTCTTGAACCTGGCTCTAAGCCTCCACAGGGGTGTTGAGACCCTGCTGGGAAGATTCCTTAATGTAGCTTTTTGTTTGTTTGTTTGTTTGTTTGTTTTTCTCTCTTTTTTTTTTGAGACGGAGTCTCCTTCTGTTCCCCAGGCTGGAGTGCAGTGGCACAATCTCGGCTCACCACAACCTCTGCTTCCCGGGTTCAAGTGATTCTCCTGCCTCAGCCTCCCAAGTAGCTGGGACTACAGGCGTGCTCCACCATGCCCGGCTAATTTTTGTATTTTTAGTAGAGATGGGGTTTCACTATATTGGCCAGGCTGGTCTTGAACTCCTGACCATGTGATCCGCCCTCACAAAGTGCTGGGATGACAGGCATGAGCTACCGCGCCCGGCCTCCTTAATCAAGCTTTCAATTAGAGCTAAATGTGTATAGATCTCCTCACCCACCCAGATTCAGGCCAGGACACAGCCTGGTATTCTCTTTGGCCTTGCAGAGCCTTTGAACACTCTTTTTAGCTGGAGACTCTCCCACTCTGAGTCCTGCCTCCCCTAAACAGAAGCCAGACCTCCACTTTCCCAGCCTCTGTATAGCTGGGGTAGCAGCTGTGCCCTAAGCCCTGCGCCATTGTTGGAGCTAAGAACCCAGACGGACATTGGCGTCATTCAGTTGCTATACCTTGTTCTGGGCAGGCTCCTAGAACATGGAGCTGTCAGAACTGCCTCTGCCTCCCAGAATCCCAGAAAGAAAGATGGCAGCCACAAAAACAAGTACTTCTTATAGGGCATCAAGGAAAAGGCTACAATGAGGGGAGGTGTCCAGTGTTCGGGAAACATCAGTTGTGGAGACTTGCAGGGAGGGGCCCCGTCTTACTCATTTATTAATTATCCCGTCCGTCTGGCAATGAGGTGTCCCATTAAATGAACTGAATTTAACATCAGGAGACTTGAATTTGAGTCTGGTTGTGCAACTTTTTAGTTGGTACCTTGGGTGAATCACCACATCCCAAAGTCTCTGTTTTGTATTATATATATAACACCTGTAGCCTTTCCTATGCTGAGGACTACAGGTACACACCAGCATGCTCAGCTACCTAAAAAAATTATATATCTGGGGCTGGGCACGGTCCCTCATGCCTGTAATCCCAGCACTTTGGGAGGCCAAGGCAGGTGGATCACGCGGTCAGGAGATTGAGACGATCCTGGTCAACATGGTGAAACCCTGTCTCTACCAAAAATACAAAAATTAAGCGGGCGTGGTGGCAGGCGTCTGTAGTCCCAACTACTCGGGAGGCTGAGGCAGGAGAATGGCCTGAACCTGGGAGATGGAGGTTGCAGTGAGCCAAGATCACGCCACAGCACTCCAGCCTGGCAACGGAGCGAGACTCTGTCTCAAAAAAAAAAAAAATATGTATATATATATATATATATGAGATAGATATATAACTATATGATAGATATATAAATATATATATGATAGACATATAAATATATATAAATATAGATACCTATTATAGATATCTATTTTTTTTTTGAGAGGAAGTTTCACTCTTGTCTCCCAGGCTGGAGTGTGGTGGCACAATCTTGGCCCACTGCAGCCTCTACCTCCCAGGTTCAAGCAGTTCTCCTGCCTCAGCCTCCCAAGTAGCTGGGATTACAGGTGCCCGCCACCATGCCTGGCTAATTTTTGTATTTTTAGTAGAGACGGTGTTTCTCTATTTCACCATTTTGGCCAGGCTGGTCTCTAACTCCTGGCCTCATGTGATCCACCTGCCTCAGCCTCCCAAAGTGTTGGTATTATGGGCATGAGCCACTGTTCCCGGCCATAAATTTTTACTTTTATTTTTTTCTAGTGCATTTCACAGTTTGTGGCACACTGTTGGCACTTTAAGTTTCTGTTGAATGGATGAATGAACAAACCAATGAATGAAAGAATGAATAGTAGACACTCAGGAAATGTTTTATGAAAAATAAAACGTGTACCAGGTGTGGTGGCTCATGCCTGTAATCCCAGCACTTTGGGAGGCCAAGGCAGGCAGATCACCTGAGGTCAGGAGTTTGAGACCAGCCTGGTCAACATAGTGAAACCTCGTCTCTACTAAAAATACAAAAATTAGCAGGATGTGGTGGTGCATGCCTGTAATCTCAGCTACTCAGGAAGCCGAGGCAGGAGAATCGCTTGAATCCAGGAGACAGAGGTTGCAGTGAGTCAAGATCACACCACTGCATTCCAGCCTGGGGTACAGAGCAAGACTCCATCTGAAAAAAAAAAGAAAAGAAAAGAAAATAGAAAAAAAAAAAAAAGAGCCTGAGGTCCCTGCTGCCCCAGGAACACAACCAGATATTTGGATTCTGAAGCCAGAACCTCCTCCACCAAATGGCATGGGCTATGATTTAAGCCCAGAAACTGCCTGGACATGGGAGAGGGTCATTGAAGCTGGAGAGAGAAACTGGCTCCTGGCTTGGAGCAAAGGGTTATGGATAGGCAGCCTTTGCTCTATGGACTCTTTCAGGCCCTTGCAAATGACTGTGTATTTAGAGAGAATACAGCTTTGACTGCCTTGCCATGTGGCAGATGAAAGGGCTCAGAAGGGGAACAAGAACAATACTTTCCCAGACAGCAGCTAGGATGTGCCTGAGATATGAGAAGCAGAGTCTAGGCGTTTTAGACACGAAGTCTGCCAAGCCAGGGGAGCAAAAGAGCAGCAAAGAATCGGGTGGTTTGTGGTAGAAGGCTAGTGCTGGGTCCTGAGTTTGCTACGGACTAGCTGTACACACAGAGAGGACACTAGTTTTGGACCAGACAGTGCCTCCTCCATGAGAACATCCCAGGCCTAGTGATGCTCAGGATTGATGAAAAGCCCCAGGATTTTCAAGAGATCTGGGTCAATCCTGTTTTCATTCTCTTCCCTACTGGCTGCTTTGAGAAGTTTAATTTAACTGAGGGCAAAATCCTCTAATCGCCTGCTCTAAATCAAGGCATAACATTTGGGGTAATGTAGGGGAGGGAAATGACAATGGGTGAGGTGAGGCTATGGGATGGCAGGGCCTGTGAGAGGTCTGAGTTTGATCTCAACTGGTGAGCTGCTGGTGGGAGGCTGGGGGCTCCTGTTAGTCTTTTGGAATTATCTCTTGTCTCATACCTCCAACAGAGTGGGCTGCACTCACTGCAGAGTGGGAAGGGGTGGGTTGGTAAATTAGGATTTACTCTTTTTTTTTATTTGAGACAGTCTCACTCTGTCACCCAGGCTAGAGTGTAGCGGCAGGATCTCGGCTCACTGCAACCTCTGCCTCCCAGATTCAAGCAATTATCTGCCTCAGCCTCCCAAGTAGCTGGGACTACAGGGGCCGCCACCACACCTGGCTAATTTTTGTATTTTTAGTAGAGACGGAGTTTCACCATCTTGGCCAGGCTGGTCTTGAACTCCTGACCTTATGATCCACCGGCCTTGGCCTCCCAAAGTGCTGGGATTACAGGCATGAGCCACCATGCCTGGCCAGGATTTACTCTTAAAAATAGCACTTAAAGAGGCTGGGCACAGTGGCTCATGCCTGTAATCCCAGCACTTTGGGAGGCCGAGGCGGGTGGATCACCTGAGGTCAGTAGTTTGAGACCAGCCTGCCCAACATGGAGAAACACTGTCTCTACTAAAACTACAAAATTAGCTGGGCATGGTGGCACATGCCTGTAATCCCAGCTACTCAGGAGGCTGAGGCAGGAGAGTTGCTTGAACCCCAGAGGCGGAGGTTGTAGTGAGCCAAGATTGCACCATTCCACTCCAGCCTGGGCAACAAGAGCAAAACTCCTTCTCAAAAAACAAAACAAAACAAAAAAACATTTAAAGGCTGGGTGCAGTGGCTCACGCCTGTAATACCAGCACTTTGGGAGGCCAAGGTGGGCGCATCACTTGAGGTCAGGAGTCCGAGACCAGCCTGGCCAATATGGTGAAACCCTGCCTCTACTAAAAATGCAAAGAATTAGCCAGCCGTAGTGGTGTGCACCTGTGGTCCCAGCTACTTGGGAGGCTGAGGCAGGAGAATTGCTTGAACCTGGAGGTGGAGGTTGCAGTGAGCTGAGATCACACCACTGCACTCCAACCTGGGCAACAAGAGCAAAACTATGTCTCAAAATAATAATAATAGTAATAATAATAATAGGCCGGGCACGGTGGCTCATGCCTGTAATCCTAGCACTTTGGGAGGCCGAGGCAGGCGGATTGCTTGAGCTCAGGAGTTCAAGACCAGCCAGGGCAACACAGTGAAACCCTCCCTCTACTAAAATGCAAAACATCAGCTGGGCATGGTGGTGTGTGCCTGTAGTCCCAGCTACTCCAGAGGCTGAGGCAGGAGAATCACTTGAACCCGAGAGGCAGAGGTTGCAGTGAGCTGAGATTATGCCATTGCACTCCAGCCTGGGCAACAGAGCAAGACTCCATCTCAAAAATAAAAAATAGGCCAGGCACAGTGGCTCACGCCTGTAATCCCAGCACTTTGGGAGGCTGAGGCAGGCAGATCACCTGAGGGAGTTTGAGACCAGCCTGACCAACATGGAGAAACCTCGTCTCTATTAAAAATACAAAATTAGGCCGGGTGCGGTGGCTCACGCCTGTAATCCCAGCTACTTGGGAGGCTGAGGCAGGAGAATTGCTTGAACCCGGGAGGCAGAGGTTGCAGTGAGCCAAGATCTCGCCATTGCACTCCAGCCTGAGCAACAAGAGCGAAACTCCGTCTCAAGGAAAAAAAAAAATACAAAATTAGCCAGGCATGTTGGTGCATGCCTGTAATCCCAGCTACTCAGGAGGCTGAGGCAGGAGAATCCCTTGAACCCAGGGGGCAGAAGTTGCGGTTATCCGAGATCATGCCATTGCACTCCAGCCTGGGTAACAAGAGTGAAACTCCATCTCAAAAAAATAAAATAAAATAAAAAAGCACAATGCTCCCACAAAAGCTTGTACATGAATGGTCGTAGCAGCTTTACTCATAAAACTAGAAACAGGCCGGGTACGGTGGCTCACACCTGTAATCCCAGTACTTTGGGAGGCTGAGGTGGGCAGATCGCTTGAGCCCAGGAGTTTAAGACAAGCCTGGGCAACATGAGGAAACCCTGTCTTTACTAAAAATACAAAAATTAGCTGGGCATGTGGCATGTGCTATAGTCCCAGCTACGTGGGAGGCTGAGGCAGGAGGGTCACTTGAGCCTGGGAGACAGAGGCTACAGTGAGCTGAGATCATGCCACTGCCCTCCAGCCTGAGTGACAAAGAGAGTCTCTGCCTCAAAATAAAATAAAATAAAAAGGCCAGGCGTGGTGGCTCATGCCTGTAATCCCAGCACTTTGGGAGGCCGAGGTGGGCAGATCACGAGGTCAGGAGTTAATAGTGAAACCCCATCTCCACTAAAAACAAAATACAAAAATTAGCCAGGCGTGGTGGCGCGTGCTTGTAACCCCAGCTACTATGGAGGCTGAGGCAGGAGAATTGCTTGAACCCAGGAGGCGGAGGTTGCTGTGAGCCGAGATTGCACCACTGCACTCCAGCCTGGGCGACACAGCGAGACTCCGTCTCAAAAAAAAAAAAAAACTGGGGAAAAATACCCTGGAAACAGCTCAAATGTCACTGGTGAGTGAATAAACTGTGGTACATCCATGCAATGGGAAGTTACTCAGCAGTAGAAAGGAGTGAGCTACTGATGACATACTGATACTGATGCATGGATGAACCTCTCTGAAAAATGCCAGACACAACAGCCCACACCTTGTATGAGTCCATATATGTGACATTCCTAGAAATGGTGAAACATAGAGCCAGAATGCAGAATAGGGGTTGCCTGCAGTTTGGAGTGGACATGAGAGTTGACTGCAAATGGGCCAGAGGGAAGTTTTTAGGATAATGGGAATGTTCTAAAACTGGATTTTGGTGATGGTTATACAACCCTCTACATTTACTAAAACTCATTAAACTGTACATTGAAAATGGGTGAATTTTATGGTACGTAAATTATATATCAATAAAGCTATTAAGAAAAACTACCGACCGGGGGCAGTGGCTCATGCTTGTAATCCCAACACTTTGGGAGGCCAAGCCAGGTGGATCACAAGGTCAAGAGATCGAGACCATCCTGGCCAACATGGTAAAACCCCATCTCTACTAAAAATACAAAAATTAGCTGGGCGTGGTGGCACATGCCTGTAGTCCCAGCTACTCGGGAGGCTGAGGCAGGAGAATCGCTTGAACCAGGGAGGAAGAGGTTGTAGTGAGCCGAGATCATGCCATTGCACTCTAGCCTGGCGACAGAGCAAGACTGTTTTAAAACAAAAAACAAAACAAAAAAAAAACAAAGACAAACACAAAAAACAACACCTGCACTTTGGGAGGCTGAGGAGAGCGGATTGCCTGAGGTCAGGAGTTCTAGACCAGTCTGAACAACATAGTGAAACCCTGCCTGTACTAAAAATACAAAATTAGCTGGGTGTGGTGGCACACGTCTGTAATTCCAGCTACTCGGGAGGCTGAGACAGGAGAATTACTTGAAACCAGGAGGCAGAGGTTGCAGTGAGCCAAGATCGTGCCATTGCACTCCAGCCTGGGCAACAAGAGTGAAACTCCTTCTCAAAAAAACAAAAAACTGGCTGGGCGCAGTGGCTCATGCCTGTAATCCCAGCACTTTGGGAGGCCGAGGCAGGTGGATCACCTGAGGTCAGGTGTTCGAGACCAGCCTCAACGTGGAGAAACCCCGTCTCTACTACAAATACAAAATTAGCCGGGCGTGGTGGTGCATGCCTGTAATCCCAGCTACTTGGGAGGCTGAGGCAGGAGAAGTGCTTGAACCTGGGAGGCAGAGGTTGCGGTGAGCCAAGATCATGCCATTGCACTCCAGCCTAGGCAACAAGAGTGAAACTCCGTCTCAAAAAAAAAAAACAAAAAACTACCTGGGGCCGGCGCAATGCCTCACACCTGTAATCCCTACACTTTGGGAGGCCAAGGCAGAGGGATCACTTGAGGTCAGGAGTTTCTAAGGCAATGGTTCTCAAAGTGTGGCTCCTGGAGCAGCCGCAGCAGCAGGCCCGGGAGCCTGTTAGAAATGCAAACCTCAGGATCTGAATCGGAGGCTTTGGTGGTGGTGAGGCCCCGCGATCTGCGCTTTAATAACCCTCCAGTGGTTCTGAAGTCTGAGAATCCTGGTGTAATGGAAAGGTGAAGGAGAGCGGAAGGTCATCTCAGGTGCACCTACTGTGCATAGCCACCTGACATGCCCCAAGTCGAATCACCTTCACAGCAACCCAATGAGTCCATATTATAGGCCCCATTCTATAGACAAGGAAACTAAGGCTCCAGGAGACTGGGAGACTTGCCAGTTACTAAGGAGGCAGAGCTGGAATCAAACCGCCACGTTTCTGATTCAAAACCTGTCCCCTCTACTATCCCAGAGGGTCTTGTGAACGTGAGCAAGTGAAACTCAAAGTGCCTGGAAGTCCAGGGAGGGGACAGGAGAATGAGAATAAATACAGCTCCTTCAGGTTCTATCTTGGAACAAAGTGTGGGTATAAAGAAATAAACACTCACCGTGGCCCAGTGTTTTCCTCAAGGCTGAGCAGTGGCCCTTGTTTAAGGCTATATTGTTTATTCCTGGGGGATGAGGGGGTGGGGTAATTAGAACTAGCTGCTTGGACAGAAGCCCAGAAGGTCCCAGCTCAGTTCCTTGGGAGCCTGGAATGTGAAGGGTTGGGGACACAGCAAGGAACTCAGAGATCCTGGCCAGAGAGCATAAGGGCTGCTGGAGCCCTGGGAGGGTGGGCCTGTGGTTTATACATGCACGGATGACATAATGTCTGCCTGGCCTGCCCCTCCCACTCCAAGTGGCCCTGCCCTGGCTTTGCCCTGGCGTTCAGGGGTGGGCTTCATCCCAGAGCTACTCAGGAAACTGAGGCCAATCAGCTGGGGCCTCCCTGCGTAAGCCCAGGGCTGCCAGAATCTTGGACCGCCCACGGCCACGCACATGGGGTCACTTCCTTTCATCATTCAGCACTAGCTGCTGCTGTCTGTTGGCCTTGTGTGGACTTTCCAGCAGTTCCCATCGCCTGCTTTTCCCACCACGATCATCTCATTGTTCACTGTCAGACTTGGCCAAACACAGAGACTCTTTTAACCCAACTATTCAGAATGTGCAGAGAAGGGAAGGGATTTACCCTAGGAGAAGGGCAGGGGCAAAACCAGAATCTAGAAGCCCCAGCCAAGTTGCTATTTAATAATAATTTTCCCTATCATTCACGTAGTTTCATCCTTGTTATCTTCCTTGACCCTCTCAGTAACTTTGTGGACGGAGGGTTTATGACTGTTTTATTTATAGATGAGCAACTTGGGGTTTATAGAGCTTAACCAACTTGCTCAAGATCACCCATTAGTAAGTGACAAAGCCAGTGCTTACAACCAGATGCCCTGGCCTCAAATTACTTGCTCAGGCTTCATTCCTGATGATATGAACAACAGCCACAGTGGCCAGGAGTCCAGGAGGAGCCTTAGAGGAATCATGTTAGGTGCAGCCCCCTTGGATTCTATCTTGGAAGAAAGTGTGGGCATTTCTCTTGTTCATTGGCTGAACAAGGTCCTCTCCAATGACTTTCCCATCTAAATTGGGCAAGCTAGTCCCCAGCTTGAGCAAGTGACCTGAGCGAGAATGGATTCTTCCTGCTGAGAACAGGGCTAGGTGATTGTGTGTGACCTGCCTCCAAGGGCCATGCTCCGCCTCTCAGCAATCTGTTCTGTCCACTATTTTCTTTTCCATGTTTCTTTGCGTATTGTAGGTGACAAAACCCACAGTCTGTCATGGCCAACTTATGTCCCCCTCCAATAGAACTAAAATATGATGATGATGATCGATCCTGATTCCACTTATCAAGGGCACATTGGGTTCTGGTACCATCATACATCACCTGAAGGCCTTGCAGCTCATCAGTGAAGGAACCATGACTGGAACCCAGTACAGCATGACTTTGGGTAATACTTTTTTTTTTTTTGAGAAGGAGTCTCATTTTGTCATCCAGGTTGGAGTGCAGTGGCACGATCTCAGCTCACTGCAACCTCTGCCTCCGGGGTTCAAGCCATTCTCCTGCCTCAGCCTCCCAAGTAGCTCAGATTACAGGCATCTGCCACCACGCCTGGCTAATTTTTGTATTTTTAGTAGAGTCGGGGTTTCACCATGTTGGCCGGCCTGGTCTCGAACTCCTGACCTCAGGTGATCTGCCTGCCTTGGCCTCCCAAAGTGCTAGGATTACAGGCATGAGCCACTGCGCCCAGCCTTCTGTCTCCTATTTCTAAGGAAGGTCGCTGAGCACAAATATGGGTCTTGGGTATGGGCAGGTATATAACCTGGCTGCTGCATGGTGCCTTGTGGCTTCTCAGCCAAGTTCTCTGAGCCAGGAACTTCCATATATAAACCAGTTAAACATACCCCTGGGCAGGGTTTTTCTCACCTGGGTGCCCCAGAGAGAGAAATCAGGCTGCACACCCCTCTGCTGATTGCTTGGGATTCCCCACTGACATCAGTGCTGATCTCTGGGCAGGTTCTGGGGTGGTGATGCATGCCAGGAGAAATGCTTGGAGGTGGCTTTCACCCAGATTGTTTGGACAGGGAGGGGAGTAGCCTGTTGTAATGCAGAAGGTAGATGTGTGCTCCTAGCTATGGTCTCATGTGCCCTGAGTTCGTCTCTTCTTTTTTTCTTTTTTTCTTTTTTTTGAGACAGAGTCACACAGGCTAGAGTGCAGTGGCGGGATCTCGGCTCACTGCAACCTCCACCTCCCAGGTTCAAGTCATTCTCCTGCCTCAGCCTCCCAAGTAGCTGGGATTACAGGCATGCGCCACCAAGCCCAGGTAAGTTTTGTATTTTCAGTAGACACTGGGTTTCACTACACTGGCCAGGCTGTTCTCAAACTCCTGGCCTCAGGTGATCTGCCTGCCTCAGCCTCCCAAAGTGGTGAGAGTACAGGCACGAGCCACCGCACCCAGCCCTGAGCTCATCTCTTCTGACCCACTTGCCCCTTGTGCTGGACGTTCCAGGCCAAGAAAGGGTGCTGACCAAAGGCCATAGGCCTTCTCTCTCCCTTTTTTTTTTTTTGAGATGAGGTCTTGCTATGATTTTTTGTTTGTTTGTTTTTTTGTTTTTTTGAGATGGAGTTTCACTCTTGTTGCCCACGCTGGAGTGCAATGGCGCAATCTTGGCTCACTGCAACCTCCACCTCCCAGGTTCAAGCGATTCTCCTGCCTCAGCCTCCTGAGCAGCTGGGATTACAGGTGCCCACCACCAAGTCTGGCTAATTTTTGTATTTTTAGTAGAGATGGGGTTTCACATGTTGGCCAGGCTGGTCTTGAATTCTTGAGCTCAGGTGATCCGCCCACCTCAGTCTCCCAAAGTATTAGGATTATAGGCGTGAGCCACCATGCCCGGCCAAGGGGTCTTGCTATGTTGCCCAGGCTGGTCCTGAACTCCTGGATTCATGGAATTGGCCTGCCTCAGCCCCCCAAAGTGCTGGGATTACAGGTGTGAGCCACTGTTCCAGGCCTACTTATCTTTTTTTTTTTTTTGAGACAGGGTCTTGCTCTATCACCCAGTCTGGAGTGCAGTGGTACAATCATGGCTCCCTGTAGCCTCGAACTCCTGGTCTCAAGTGATCCTCCTGCCTCAGCCTCCCCAGTAGCTGGGGCTACATGTGCATGCCACCAATCCTGGCTAATTAAAAAAAAAATTTTTGTTTCCTTAAAGATGGGACCTCGTTTGGTCTCAAACTCCTGGCCTTCAGTGATCTTCCCATCTGTGCCTCCCATAGCGCTGGGATTACAGGTGTGAGCCACCATGCCCAGCCTACCAAAATTTTAGAGAAGTGAACAAAAAGTATTGAGAGGGCTTAATGCTTGCATTTAAACGCTAACACTGAGGGACTCCAGAAAGACAAGCTGGCACTTCAAAAAGTGCCACTCTTTACTTCTTTGAAACCCTACCCCCTACTGAGTCTTAGACAGGATGAGGTCTGTTGGGTAATGTGATTTGATTCATTTACTTAGCACACGTGTGGGTCTCTCTTATGATGAGCATCAGGTACAGGGTTACTAATATTATTTGCTTTGCTTAATAAAGGAATAATTTATATACAGTGAAAGGTAATATGTATACAACTCAATTAATTTTAACTACATATATATTAATTTTTTTTTTTTTGAGATGGAGTCTCACTGTATCACCCAGGCTGGAGTGCAGTGGTGCGATCTCAGCTCACTGCAACCTCCACCTCCCAGGTTTAAGCGGTTTTCCTGCCTCAGCCTCCCAAGTAGGTGGGATTACAGGCATGCACTACCAATCCTGGCTAATTTTTGTATTTTTAGTAGAGACGGGGTTTCACCATGTTGGCCAGCCTGGTCTCAAACTCCTGACCTCAGGTGATCCTCCCACCTCAGCCCCCCAAAGTGCTAGGATTATAGGCGTGAGCCACCTTGCCCAGCCTTAACTACATATACATTAATTTTAACCACTACACTCTGTAGGTGTTTACACCGTAGACATTAGTGCCAATTGCCTGGGATTTCCCACTGACATCATTGCTGTTCTCTGGTTCTGGGGAGATGTGTAGTACCTAGATAAAGAAAGTTCAATGGCCAGGTGCATGGTGGCAAACACCTGTAATCCCAGCTACTTGGGAGGCTGAGGCAGAAGAATCGCTTGAACCAAGGACGCGGAGGTTGCAGTGAGCCAAGATCGCACCATTGCACTCCCACCTGGGCAACAAGAGTGAAAGTCCATTTAAAAAAAAAAAAAAGGGTCGGGCGCAGTGGCTCACACCTGTAATGCCAGCACTTTGGGAGGCCAAGGCAGGCGGATCACCTGAGGTCGGGAGTTTGAGACCAACCTGACCAACATGGAGAAATCCTGTTTTTACTAAAATACAAAAAATCAGCTGGGCGTGGTGGTGTGCACCTGTAATCCCAGCTACTCAGGAGGCTGAGGCAGGACAATTGCTTGAACCTGGGAGGCTGAGGTTGTGGTGAGCCGAATCGCACCATTGCACTCCAGCCTGGGCAACGAGAGCGAAACTCCATCTCAAAAAAAAAAAAAAAAGAAGAAGCAGAGAGGTAAACAGGCCCATATAGGGTAAGCACATTCAGAGAAGTAGGGGCAGAAAGTGGGAGAAGACCCCAACAATGTTGAAGGACATTTGAATGGGGAAATGAGCAAACAAAGTTTACATGTACAATCTCCAGCGCACTTTAGCCGCCCCACAGAGCTCACAGAGTTCTTGTGGGACAGTCCACACCCATCTGAAAAGCTGTATGCCAACACCAAGTGGCATTAGAAAGGTCTCACCATCTGCAGGGCAGAGACAGTATCTGCTGCTATGGTCAGTGGGGGGTCTCCCCAGGCCTCAGCTCTCCTGCGTGGCTTCTGATGCCTGCTGAGCACCATACCAGGCGCATTTAACCTTCTGTGTATACACCCAGCCCCACACTATGGGCCTAATAAAAGCTCTGAAATAATGCAGCTCAGATGCCACCCCCAGGAGGCCTTCCCTGACTCTCTTGGGGGAAAAGGGCTCATGTCCTCTTGCTATGTGCTTGCCAGACAGTGAGCACCCCCTGCCCTGGTCTGAGCCACTTCAGATTTCTCAACAGCAGGCAGCACTGGGTCTTGCCTTGGTTCTTGGTTTTGCTGCCAGAAGCCCACAGTCCCTTGGATACATGGCACTAGGGCAGGACTGCTGGATCCCCACAGAAAGCTGGATCCCTTGGAGTCCCACTCAGCTGAAGAGCCCCTGAGTTCTGAGCAGATAAACCTTCTTGCCCTCATGGTCTGTGGTGATTTAAAATATGCCTGCAAATTCTCTGCTATTTCCCCTTTCCAAGGTGGAGGCTGATTCCCTTTCCCTTGAAAGTGGGTCAGACTTAAATGACTCGCTTCTAGTGCACAGAATGTAGCAGAAGTGATGCTATAGAAGTGACTTCAAAGGCTTGGCTGTGAAGAGGTTACAGCTCCCTCCTACATCCTGACTCTTGGATCACTCACTACATGCTTCAGCCTCCCATGTAGCTGGGACCGCAGGTGCATGCCTCCATGCCCACCACTCACTCTAGAGGAAGTCAATCTCCACATCATAAGGACCCTGAAGCAGCCCTGTGGAGGAGCCCACCTGGTGAAGAAGCGGGATCTCCTGCCAAAGCCAGCATCAACTTGCCAGCCCTGTGAGTAAGCGACCTTGAAAGGGAATCCCCTGGCCTCAGCCAAGCCCTCAGATGATGCAGCCCTATCCAAATGCGATTGAAATTCTTGAGATTTCAAGCCAGAACCGCCCAGCCAAGCCATTCCCAAATTCCTGATCTGCAGAAACTGTGAGAGATAATCAATGTTTATTGTTGTAGTAAGCCGCGAAGATTTGAGGTAATTTGTTGTGAGGCAATGAATAACTAAGATTTTCCTTCTGCCCATTGTCCCTCTCCAAGCTCCCTACACTCCAGCCAAACTGAACCACTGACCAAAGCAACAAATTTTAGGCCCGGTGCGGTGGCTCATGCCTGTAATCCCAGCACTTTGGGAGGCTGAGGTGGGCAGATTACCTGACGTCAGGGGTTCAAGACCAGTTGGCTAACATGGAGAAACCCCATTTCTACTAAAAATACAAAAAAATAGCTGGGCGTGGTGGCGCATGCCTGTAATCCCAGCTACTCAGGAGGCTGAGGCAGGAGAATCGCTTGAACCCGGGAGGCAGAGGTTGCAGTGAGCCGAGATCATGCCATTGCACCCCAGCTTGGGCAACAAGAGTAAAACTCTGTCTCAGAAAAAAAAAAAAAAAAAAGCAACACATTTTTACTGAGTGCCTTGTGTATGCCAGGCCAGGCCAGGCCAGGCCAGATGCTGGGGAGGTAGTAGTGAGCCAGCTATACCAACATGGCCTCACAAGTTTAAAGAGTCACATAATCAGGCTGGGCACGGTGGCTCACGCCTGTAATCCCAGCACTTTGGGAGGCCGAGGCGGGTGGATCACGAGGTCAGGAGATCGAGACCATCCTGGCTAACACGGTGAAACCCCGTCTCTACTAAAAATATAAAAAATTAGCTGGGCGTAGTGGCAGGCGCCTGTAGTCCCAGCTACTCGGGAGGCTGAGGCAGGAGAATGGTGTGAACCCCGGAGGCGGAGCTTGCAGTGAGCCGAGATTGCGCCACTGCATTCCAGCCTGGGTGACAGAGCCAGACTCCGTCTAAAAAAAAAAAAAAAAAAAAAAAAAAAAGAGTCACATAATCCAAACGTTTGCAGAGCCTACTTTGGCTCACACTGTGCCCTCTAACCAGAAAGCCCATCTCAGCTTGTCCATTAACTTTTTTTTTTTTTTTTGAGACAGAGTCTCACTCTGTTGCCCAGGTTGGAGTATAGTGGTGCTATCTCAGCTCACTGCAACCTCTGTCTCCCAGGTTCAAGTGATTCTTATGCCTCAGCCTCCCAAATAGCTGGGATTACAAGCGTGCACCACCACATCTGGCTAATTTTTGTATTTTTAGTAAAGATGGGGTTTCACCATGTTGGCCAGGTTGGTCTCGAACTCCTGACCTCAGGTGATCTACCCACCTTGGCCTCCCAAAGTGCTGGGATTACAGGCGTGAGCCACTGCACACAGCTATTCCTTACATTTAAAAATTGTCCTTTCTCCTTCAATAGTGAACACAGATGTTGCCTCCTCCATGAAATCTTTTCCGACTGCCCTTTGTAAATTATTTTTCTCATCTCTGAACTTTTATAATGCTTTATCTTAATCTTAGTTGGACCACTTAACATCTTCTTCCTTGTATTATGATTATTTATATATGTAGCTCCCTCTTAGTGGCCATCGGGGGTTAGGATGCCTTATTCATATCTGTGTGCCTCACACAACTAGCATACAGAGTGTCGTGTGCATAGTTAGCATTCAAGAAATGTATGCCAGGTGCGGTGGCTCACGCCTGTAATTTCAACAGGATTGCTCAAGCTCAGGAGTTTGAAACCAGCGTGAGCAACATGGGGAAACCTTGTCTCTACAAAAAATTTTTAAAATTAGCTTGGGATGGTGGTGTGTGCCTGTAGTCCCAGCTACTTGGGAAGCTAAGGCAGGAGGACTGCTTGAGTTCGGGAGGTCAAGGCTGCAGTAAAGCTGTGATCATGCCACTGCACTCTAGCCTGGGAGACTGGAGTGAGGAGTGAGGCCCTGTCTCAAAAAAAAAAAAAAAAAAAGAAAGAAAGAAAGAAAAGAAATGTACATTCTGCAAATGAACATATGAATGACATGACCGTAATATTAACAGAGAAGCTAAATGCTGAAAGATAAAAATGAGGCAGGGTGCAGTGGCTCACGCCTGTAATCCCAGCACTTTGGAAGGCCGAGGCAGGCAGATCACTTGAGATCAGGAGTTCCAGACCAGCCTGTCCAACATGGTGAAACCCCATCTCTACTAAAAAAATACAAAAAAATTAGCCAGGCATGGTGGCACGCACCTGTAATCCTAGCTACTCAGGAGGCTGAGGCATGAGAGTTGCTTGAACTGGGAGGTGGAGGTTGCAGTGAGCCGAGATCACTGCACTCCAGCCTGGGTGACAAAGTGAGATTCAGTCTCCAAAAAAAAAAAAAAAAAAAAAATCACACACACACACACAAAAACAAGAGGAAAATGAATGCAATGCTGTGCAGGCTGGAGGGGGAGGAGAGTGCGTTCCCCCGGGAGAACAGGAAAGATATATGCCTCAGCTTCTTGACTCCATGTTTTTGAGGGAGCCTGGAAGGCCCTCCTCTGCCTTGTCCCGCCACCAGCAACAATTCGCCCCCAGGTGAAATATCAGGATGTTCTCAGTGAATGAGGGAGTCTGGGAACTCCTACTGTTCCCTAAGAAGCAGCAAATGCCACCTCTTTCTCTCTTGCTGTCCCAGGCTGCTGAGCACAACCCACCCCATTGCCCTCGCCTCCCCATCTGTGCACCAGCACCCCCTGGACAGGCTCCCCCCAGTAGCAGTGTGTTTTACTCTGCTCTATCAGCTCTTCAGGGCCTGTGTGGAGTCTAGCAGTGGGGATCATGGTGTATATTTATATATTATTTTATTTTATTATTTTATTTTTTGAGACAGTCTTGTTCTGTCACCCAGACTGAGTGCAGTGGTACGATCACAGCTCACTGCAGCCTCAAACTTCTGGTCTCAGGCGATCCTCTTGCTTTAGCCTCCCATGTAGCTGGGACCACAGGTGCATGTCACCATGCCCAGTAAATTTTTGTATTTTTTGTAGAGACAGGGTTTCATCATATTGCCCAGGCTTGTCTCAAACTCCTGCGATCAAGCGGTCCTCCCACCTCGTTCTCTCAAAGTACTGGGATTACAGGTGTGAGCCACTGAGCATTTTGTTTTGTTTTGTTTTGTTTTTTTGAGACGGAGTTTCGCTCTTGTTGCCCAGGCTGGAGTGCAATGGCACAATCTCTGGCTCACCGCAACCTCTGCCTCCTGGGTTCAAGCGATTCTCCCGCCTCAGCCTCCTGAGTAGCTGGGATTACAGGCACCACACCCAGCTAATTTTGTATTTTTAGTAGAGACGAGTTTTCTCCATGTTGGTCAGGGTGGTCTCGAACTCCCGACCTCAGGTGATCCGCCTGCCTCGGCCTCCCAAAGTGCTGGGATTACAGGCGTGAGCCACCGCGCCTGGTGCCACTGAGCATTTTTAAAAGTCAGTGCTGGGGCTGGCCGCGGTGGCTCACACCTGTAATTCCAGTACTTTGGGAGGCCAAGGAAGGCGGATCACCTGAGGTCAGGAGTTCGAGACCAGCCTGGCCAACATGGTGAAACCCCATCTCTGCTAAAAATACAAAAATTAGCTGGGCGTGTTGACACGCGCCTATAATCCCAGCTATTTGGGAGGCTGAGGCAGAAGAATTGCTTGAACTCGGGAGGTGGAGGTTGCAGTGAGCCCAGATCGTGCCATTGCACTGTGGCCTGGGTAACAGAGCGAGACTATGTCTCAACAAAAAATAATAATAATAAAAAAAGTCAGTGCTGGGTGCATAGGATACTGAGTAACTATTCCTTTTCATGGCTTGGTTGTGAATTTCTTGGATCTCCCTCTGTGACCTTGGGCAAGTTGTGTAGCTCCTCTGAGCCTTCAGTTCCTTATCTGTCAAAGGAGAACAAATTCCAACCTCATTGTGAGAACTCAAGGGGGTGATGTGTGTAAAACTTTCAATACGAAGTTCTCATGAGTTCTCCCAGAAGCCATTGCTCTTCCTCTTTCCCTAAGCAGCCTGAGGTAATCTGTGAAAATGGTTCACTATTCACTTGACCCAGAGAACCCCGCAAAATCATGCAAATCAAGAGGTTCCAATCTTCGTGTTCACTTTAAGAACACTCGTGAAACTGCCCAGGCCATCATGGATATGCATGTACGAAAAGCCACGAAGTATCTGAAAGATGTCACTTTACAGAAACAGTGCGTACCATTCCGACATTACAACGGTAGAGTTGGCAGGTGTACCCAGGCCAAGCAGTGGGGCTGGACACAAAATTGGTGTCCCAAAAAGAGTGCTGAATTTTTGCTGCACATGCTTAAAAATGCAGAGAGTAATGCTGAATTTAAAGGTTTCGATGTAGATTCTCTGGTCATTTGAGGATATCCAAGTGAACAAAGCATCTAAGATGCGCTGCCGGACCTACAGAGCTCATGGTCGGATTAACCTATACATGAGCTCTCCCTGCCACATCAAGATGGTCCTTACTGAAAAGGAACAGATTGTTCCTAAACCAGAAGAGGAGGTTGCCCAGAAGAAAAAGATATCCCAGAAGAAACTGAAGAAACAAAAACTTATGGCATGGAAGTAAATTCAGCATTAAAATACATGCAATTAAAAGGGGAAAAAAAACCTTTGAATTTTCCCTAGAACTCAATAAGGCTCAGAGAAAGGGAAGGTGTAGAGGTGAGCTGAGTGCCTGGTGCTCAGACCCCAGGCTGGGTGATTCCACAAGGCAGTCTGTTGTTCTTTATCACAACCCAGGGAAGTGGGAACTGTCACTTCTTTCACAAGCTCACCCCCTAAGGCTCAGAGGCCTTTACCTGTCAGCAGGGCTCTTTCATGTCCCAGCCAGGAGCTGGATCTAGACACTGCAGTGACACTCTTGACAGGGGAGGAAGGAGGTAAGACAGGCAGATGGATAGAACAGAGGAGGGTCTCCAAGATCACAAAGACACTGCAAGTCAAGGGGTAAATGAACATTTGAGAGAGGACCTAGAAGGCCGGTTGCAAGAAGACCAGATTAAAGAAGTCTTGAGACCAGAAGCAGTGGCTCACGCCTATAATTCCAGCATTTTGGGAGGCCGAAGAGGGAGGATCACTTGAGCCCAGAAGTTTAAGACCAGCCAGGGCAACACAGAGAGACTCCATCTCTACAAAAGTAAAAAAATAAAATAAAATAAATTAGCCATTTGTGGTGGTGCACGGCTATGGTCCCAGCTACTTGGGAGGCTGAGGTGGGAGGATTGCTTTAGCTCAGGAGGTCAAGGCTGCAGTGAGCTGTGATTGTGCCACTGCATTCCAGCCTAGGTGACAGAGTGAGACCCTGTCTCAAAAAAAAAAACAAAACTTTGAAACTGGAAGGAAGCCTGGAAAACAATCATAACAACACAACCAATTTACAAATGAGGAGCCTGGGGCACAGATAGGGAAAGTGGCAAAAGCAGGGCTAGAAACCAAGTTTCCTGACTCCTAGTGTGTTCATTCTGGAGTTGCATCCTTTGGGTGGTGGCTGAGGGCCAGAAGGAAGGTCCACGGACAGCCTAGAGCTTCAAACAGAAACAGAAAGTCTTTAGGGAGGTCAGAGTTCCCAGAAAACTGGGAATTGGGACAAACTGAAAACTGAATTATCTTGCTGCCCTGCCTCTGGGAAGGTCATGTCATAACCATTTTTCTTTTTCTTTTTCTTTTGGCAGGGGGATGGAGTCTCACTCTTGTTGCCCAGGCTGGAGTGCAATGGCATGATCTTGGCTCACTGCAACCTCTGCCTCCCGGGTTCAAGGGATTCTCCTGCCTCAGCCTCCTCAGTATCTGGGATTACAAGCGTGTACCACCATGCCCAGCAAATTTTTGTATTTTTAGTAGAGACGGGGTTTCACCATGTTGGCGAGGCTGGTCATGAACTCCTGACCTCAGGTGATTTTCCCGCCTCGGCCACCCAAATTGCTGGGATTACAGGCACAAGCCACTGCACCAGGCCGTCGTAACCATTTTTCTGTCACAAAAGTTGCACTGATTGTCATTTTGCTAATGAAAACAATAGAAAACCTTGACGAACAGCCTTGCTGTTCCTCCCTACAACTGGCTCTCTCCCCGTCTCCTCTGCTCTGTCAGATGAGCCCTTCCAGAGCAAGCCTCCACCCATCTCACACACACACCCTGCTTGGCGGCTCCCTATTGTTGTTTCTTTCCTTTTCTTTCTTTCTGTCTTTTAAAAAAAAAAAAAGAAAGAAAGAAATAAAGACAGGGTCTTGCTATGTTGCCCAGGCTGGTCTCTAATTCCTGGGCTCAAGCAATCCTCCCACCTCAGCCTCCTAACGTGCTGGGATTACAGGCGTGAGCCATTGTATTTGGTCCCTATTGGCTTTTTTTTTTTTCTTCTTTTTTTTTTTTTTTTTGAGACAGAGTTTTACTCTGTTGCCCAGGCTGCAGTGCAGTGGTGCGATCTCGGCTCACTGCAACCTCTGCCTCCCAGGTTCAAGGGATTCTTGTGCCTCACCCGCCCAAGCAGCTGGGACTACAGGCACACAACACCATGCCTGGCTAATTTTTGTATTTTTAGTAGAGATGAGGTTTTGCCAGATTGGCCAGGCCAGTCTCAAACTCCTGGCTTCAAGTGATCCACCCGCCTCGGCCTCCCAAAGTGTTGAGATTACAGGCGTGAGCCACTGCACCTGGTCCCCATTGTTGACTGAGTCAAAACTAGATGCTCCTGTCTGTCTTTCACGCCGTCCCGGCCTGGACGCAGTTCAGCTTGTCAGCTTCCTCCCCTGCTGCTCTGCCCCCCAGAGTCTCTGCTGATTTGCAGCTTCCCAAATGGGCCTTGCATTCTCATGTTGCCCTGGTTTTTATCTAATGAAATGCCCTTTTTCCACTTTCTTTCTTCCTCTGCCTTTAAAAGCTTGTCTTTCAGGCCCAGTTCCTTGGACTCCTCTGCTATAAGATTCTCTTTAACCCTCACTGCCACCTGTCCCAGCAGAAATGATCATGTTCTCTTCTGTGCTCCCTCAGCAGACTTGTTATTTCTCTCTCTTTTTTTTTTGAGACAGAGTCTCGCTCTGTCGCCTAGGCTGGAGTGCAGTGGCGCGATCTCGACTCACTACAACCTCTGCCTGCCAGGTTCAAGTGATTTTCCTGCCTTAGCCTCCCGAGTAGCTGGGATTACACGTGCGTGCCATGCCCAGCTAATTTTTGTATTTTTAGTAGGGATGGGGTTTGCCATGTTGGCCAGGCTGGTCTCAAACTCCTGACCTCAAGTGATCCACCTGCCTTGGCCTCTCAAAGTGCTGAGATTATAGGTGTGAGCCACCGCACCCAGCCGAACTGGTTATTTCTCTATGTACCACACATCAAAGTCCAATTTGAACTATACAGCATTGTGCGTGAATGTCTTCTCAACATTTTATAAAGAAACATTTCAAATACACAGCAAAGTTGAAGGAATTTTAAAGTTAACACCCATATCTCTGGCACTTTGTTTTTACTATCGACCCTTTTTTTTTGTTTTTTTGAGACGGAGTCTCGCTCCATCGCCCAGGCTGGAGTGTAGTGCCATGATCTCAGCTCACTGCAAGCTCCGTCTCCCGAGTTCACGCCATTCTCTTGCCTCAGCCTCCCAAGTAGCTGGGACTACAGGCGCCCGCCACCACGCCCCGCTAATTTTTTTTGTATTTTTTTTAGTAGAGACAGGGTTTCACTGTGTTAGCTAGGATGGTCTCCATCTCCCGACCTCGTGATCCACCCGCCTCAGCCTCCCAAAGTGCTGGGATTACAGGCATGAGCCACTGTGCCCGGCCTATTAACACTTTATCATACTTGCTTATTGTTATTTATGTGTTTATTGTTTGAGACAGAGTCTCACTCTGTTGCCCAGGTTAGAGTGCAGTGGTGTGATTTCGGCTCACTGCAACCTCCGCCTCTAGGGTTCAAGAGATTTTCATGCCTCAGCCTCCTGAGTAGCTGGGATTACCAGCGTGCACCACCCCCGCCAGCTAATCTTTGTATTTTTAGTAGAGATGGGGTTTCACCATGTTGGCCAGGATGGCCTCAACTCCCGGCCGTGGGTCATCTGCCTACCTCGGCTTCACAAAGTGTTGGGATTACAGGCGTGAGCCACTGCACCTGGCCTATTTACTTATTTATTTGAGACAGGGTCTGGCTCTGTCACCCAGGCTGGAGTGCAGTGGCACGATTTTGGCTCACTGCAGCCTCAACCTCCTGGGCTCAAGCAGTTCTCTCATCTCAGCCTCCCAAGTAGCTAGGACTAACAGGGGCATGCCTGTCTAATTTTTTAATTTTTTGTGGAGACGAGATCTCACTATGTTACCCAGGCTGGTTTCAAACTCATAGACTCAAGGGGTCCTCCTGTCTTAGCCTCCTAAAGTGCTGGGATTACATAATGTACATATCAAAAATGCATTGCTTCCCAGAACAGGGGTTAATCAGAAGACAACATGGCCAGTTAGTCTCTACACAATGAAATAATCAAATCTTGGCCGGGCGCAGTGGCTCATGCCTGTAATCCCAGCATTTTTGGAGATCAAGGCCAGTGGATCACCTGAGGTCAGGAGTTTGAGACCAGCCTGGCCAACGTGGTGAAACCCCCGTCTCTACTAAAAAAAGTTAAAAATAAAAAAATTAGCTGGGCACGGTGGCATGCCTGTAATTCCAGCTACTCAGGAGGCTGAGGCAGAAGAATCGCTTGAACCGGGGAGGCGGAGGTTGTAGTGAGCCAAGATCTTGACACTGCACTCTGGCTTGGGCAACAGGGTGAAACTCTGTCTCAAAAATAAATAAACAAATAAAAAATAGGCCAGGCGCAGTGGCTCGTGCCTGTAACCCCAGCACTTTGGGAGGCCGAGGCAGGTGCGTTAGGAATAACGCTCAAAATCCTAAGGAAATTGAACACTTGAACAAAGGATCCTTAGCAAAGCAATTTTGTTTCTGTGCAGAGGGGTGCCTCCTTGGCCAGTTGCCATGAGAGCACACCTGAACAAAGGAGCATGAGAGCCTTTATTCCTGACACAAGTTCTGCCCCTGTACCCTTTCCCCATTGGCCGGGGCCGGGTCATACAATTTAAACTAATCCCGGTTGGCTAAACATTTGATTTTTTTTAGATAGGGTGGGCACGTAAAAGAAAGTGGAGAGGAAGGGTAAGGGGTGTCTGTAATGAGCTACAAAGTTAGTCCTCTTTCCAAATAAGGAAAGGAATGTGAGCTGGTACTGATAACGCCTGGTACTGTGGCGGCGTGCCTGGGCATCTAACAAAGGCAAAAAGGAAAAAAGGAGAAAAAGGAGAAAAAAAAGGGTGGGGGGTACTATGAATTAAAGAATAAATGATTGATCAGGTTATCTGAAGAGAAACCTCATCATATCCCACAGGTGGATCACTTGAGGCCAGGAGTTTGAGACCAGCCAGACCAACATGGTGAAACCTCATCTCTACTAAAAATACAAAACTAGCCAGATGTGGTGGCGCATGCCTGTAATCTCAGCTACTATGGAGGCTGAGGCAGGAGAATCGCTTGAACCTAGGAGGCAGAGGTTGCAATGAGCTGAGATCGCACCATTGCATTCCAGCCTGGGCAACAAGAGCAAAACTCCATCTTGAAAAAAAAAAAAAAAAAAAAAAAAAAAAAAAAAAAAAAAAGGCCACGCGCGGTGGCTCATGCCTGTAATCCCAGCACTTTGGGAGGCCGAGGTGGGTGGATCACCCGAGGTCAGGATTTCGAGACCAGCCTGGCCAACATGGTGAAATCCCATCTCTACTAAAAATACAAAAATTTGCTGGGCATGGTGGTGTGTGCCTGTGTTCCCAGCTACTTGGGAGGCTGAGGCAGGAGACTTGCTTGAACCCGGGAGGTGGAGGTTGCAGTGAGCCGAGATCGCACCACTGCACTCCAACCTGGACGACAAGAGTGATACTCCATCTCAAAAAAGAAAAAAAAGAAAAAGAAAAAGAAATAAACAAATCTTAAGGGTACTGTCAAAGAAAAGAGTCAAACTCAGTAAAATATTTGAAGAGATTTATTCAGAGCCAAATATGAGTGACCATGGGCCATGACAGAGCCCCAGGAGATCCTGAGAACATGTGCCCAAGGTGGCATTTGAAATGCTTGTTTCCCAGTGCCGTAAAGAAATAGCACTTGAACATAAATATAATTTCCTTAGTAAGGCCATTTTTACTTCCTGCAGAAAGGGTACACTCACCAGCAGTTTTGCCACGAGAGTACACTGAACAAAGGAGACAGGGTCATTTATAACCTGACACATCCACCCTACTGCTGTGTCTGGTTTCCACTGGCTGGAACGGGACCTCACATTCTGTATTTGTCCTGATTGGCTAGCAACTTAGAACTTTTTAAAAGAGGCAAAGGTAGAGGAGAACAAAGGAAGGAGAAAGTAACTTGTGGAATGCTAAGAAAGGTAAAAACACCTTGGAAGCTAAAAACATAAAGTACATTGATTTCTTTATCATGGCTAGCAGATATTTAAGAATGTTAGCACAGGTCTTTGAATAAATTTTGCTTCTAAGAGAAGTTACTATTTATTCCTAATTAAATGGGGAGGAAAGTCTTTGAAGAGGAACCTTTAGTTTTTACAGTGGTCAGGCCACAGACTGGTTTTTTTGTTTGTTTGTTTGTTTGTTTGTTTGTTTGGAGATGGAGTCTCGCTCTGTCGCCCAGGCTAGAGTGCAGTGGCTCAATCTCAGCTCACTGCAAGCTCTGCCTCCTGGGTTCATGCCATTCTCCTTCCTCAGCCTCCCGAGTAGCTGGGACTACAGGCGCCCACCACAATGCCCGGCTAATTTTTTGTATTTTTTTAGTAGAGACAGGGTTTCACCGTGTTAACCAGGGTGATCTCGATCTCCTGACCTCGTGATCCGCCCACCTCGGCCTCCCAAAGTGCTGGGATTACAGGCGTGAGCCACCGCGTCCGGCCTACAGACTGGTTTTATACATTTTAGGGAGACAGAAGACATCAATCAATACATGTAAGATGTACATTGGTTTGGTCTGGAAAGGCAGGACATCTTCAAGTGGCGGGTGTTTCCAAGTCTAGGTCATAAATGGACTTCAAAGAGTCTCTGATTTGCCATTGGTTAAAAGAGTTTGAGAGTTTATCTAAAGACCAGAAATCAATAGAAGGGAGTCTCCATGTTAAGCTAAGGAGTTGTGGGGCTGGGTGTGGTGGCTCACGCCTGTAATCCCGGCACTTTGGGAGGCCGAAGTGGGTGGATCACGAGGTCAGGAGTTCAAGACCAGCCTAGCCAACATGGTGAAACCCTGTCTTTACTAAAAATACAAAAAATTAGCTGGGCATGGTGGCACGTGCCTGTAGCCCCAGCTACTCAGGAGGCTGAGGCACGAGAATAGCTTGAATTTGGGAGGAAGGGGTTCCAGTGAGCTGAGATCGCGCCACTGCACTCCAGCCTGGGCAACAGAGCGAGGCTCTGTCTAAAAAAAAAAAAAAACAAAAAACACACACAGAGGGAACTTCATCATCATGTTACATAAAACTGGCCTGTTTTGGAATTTGGCTATTATCTCTCATTCTTCTGATTTCTCAGAAGGTCAGGTAAACAGCTTGGTTTCTTAACATATAATTTTAGCATGAGTAATTCTATTTTAGTTTTTTCCTTTTTTTTTTTTTTGAGACAGAGTCTCACTTTTGTTGCCCAGGATGGAGTGCAGTGGCGCAGTGTCGGCTCACTGCAACCTCCACCTCCCGGGTTCAAGCAATTCTCCTGTCTCAGCTTCCCGAGTAGCTGGGACTACAGGTGTCCGCCACCATGCCCGGCTAACCTCAGGTGATCCGCCAGCCTCAGCCTCCCAAAGTGATGGGATTACAGACGTTAGCCACCTTGCCCGGCCCATTTTAGTTTTTAGTCTGGTCTTTTGGGGCCTAGTGCAGGAGCTTTGTCCGAAACAATGGCTAACGTAGTGTTTTTATTAGCATCTGAAAGACTCGTGAGGGGAATCTGAGACAGTACATTTGATAAGGCTTCCCGAATTGTCTTTCCCTTTTGCAGCAATATAGTTATTTTAGGGGGCTGGGGTTCCCATTAAAGGGTTCTTGGCAATATTAAGTGAGTGAATATGTCATTTATCCTAAAGCCAGTCCCATATGGCTTGCATATGAAGTATATCAGCTGCTTCATCTGAGTGTTCTATTTGGCATTTGTAGGTGGAGCCAGGCAGTCCCCCTTTGCAGGGTAAACAGACCTTACCATGGCTTTTATCCAGTCCATCAGGCTGGCTGTTCCCTTGGGAATAACCTCCTATGTGTCTGTGTGTCGTAGAGCTATCTGTGATTGTTCCATAGTGAGCTGTGGGTCCTGTATCAACCCAAACATGCTCTTTCACTCTGCAGCACTTCAAACCAAAGATACTGCTCCTAAATTTGTTGCTCTCAAAATCCATTTTAGTAAAGCCTCCTCAGGAGCCTGATGATACCAATCTGCAAAATGAAACGCTTCCTTCATACTATCCCTCTAGTTTTCACAGTATCTTGGTTTTGCTGCTTCCCCGCATTGACTGCCTTTTTGGTAACCACAGGTCTTAGAGGTACTTTCTGTTGTCTCTCTATAATTTTTCCCTTCTGGGGGAGGCTTTGTGGCTTGTGGCCAAAGCTCAGACTAACTGAAAGCTAAACTTAGTCTAGCATCAAGATTGACCCAGAACTCCCTTTTACTTTCATTTTTAGCTATTATATATAACAGTAAACAAGGAATTGAAATTTTGTGTTTTTTTCTTATTAGTTTGCATTTCTTTTTTGTTGTTTTGAGACATGGTCTCATTCTGTCACCCAGGCTGGAGTGCAGTGGTGCAATCTAGGCTCACTTCAATCTCCACCTCCCAGGCTTAAGTGATCCTCCCACCTTAGCCTCCCAAGTAGCTGGGACTACAGGCCCGCACCACCATGCCCAGCTAATTTTTGTATTTTTGTTGTTGTTGTTGTCATTGTTTTGAGACAGAGTTTTGCTCTTGTTGCCCAGGCTGGAGTGCAATGGTGCAATCTCGGCTCACCGCAACCTCCACCTCCTGGGTTCAAGCGATTCTCCTGCCTCAGCCTCCTGAGTACCTGGGATTACAGGCGCATGCCACTACGCCTGGCTAACTTTGTATTTTTAGTAGGGTTGGGGTTTCTCCATGTTGGTCAGGCTAGTCTCAAACTCCTGGCCTCAGGTGATCTGCCTGCTGAAGCCTCCCAAAGTGCTGGGATTACAGGCATGAGCCATCGTGCCCGACCTAATTTTTGTATTTTTATTAGAGACAGGGTTTCACCATGTCACCCAGGCTGGTGTTGAGGAAATCCTGACCTCAAGTGATTCTCCCGCCTCGGCCTCCCAAAGTGCTGGGATTACAGGCGTGAGTCACTGCACCCAGCCTAGTTTGCATTTCTTTATCCATTTGGTAAACCTACTCCCTGGGAGTTGGATCCATCTCTAAATTTTATTGGTAACTTTTACCTTTTGTAACTGATTGTAGCACAGCTGATACTTCGTACCATGGGGGACCACACGGCCACCCAGGAATCAAAAGTTCCTCACCTCCCACCCTTTATCCTTTTTCTTCCCAAACTACATGTTTCCATGAGCAGGGCTGGTGTAGTAAATCCCACTTCTGACACCAAACATGACATTATAGGTGGAGGAACAAAAAAAAACAACCAAGTGATTTTTCCTATTCTCTTACTCAGCAGTCAACAATACTTCTGTGACCAGTGTACGGGAGTTTTTCCCCCCACACCAAGCAAGTAGTCCTTCAGCTGTGGACACCAGCTATATGTCCTCCAATTCAGTTTAATTCTGGCACTATCTACCCAGAGATAGAGTCAGATCCCATATGTTGAAGGTTTAGTATCCTGAATAGCTGGGATTATAGGCATGCACCACCACGCCTGGCTATTTTTCATATTTTCAGTAGAGATGGGGTTTCACCATGTTGACCAGGCTGGTCTCGAACTCCTGACCTCAGGTGATCTACCCTCCTTGGCCTCCCAAAGTGTTGGGATTACAGGCGTGAGCCACTGCACCCAGCCTAATTTTTTTTGTATTTATTTTTTTTGTAGAGAGATGGTCTCGTCATGTTGCCCAGGCTGGTCTTGAATGTCTGGGCTCTAGTGATCTGCCCATCTCTGCCTCTCAAAGCGCTAGGATTACAGGTGTGAGCCACTGTGCCTGGCCTCATTTGGATTTTTAATGGAGACTTCATTACATAGGCATGGTTGATTAAATAATTAACCATTGGTGATCGACTTAACTGTCAGCCTCTCTCCTCTCCCAGGAGGTTGGGGAGTGGTGCTGAAAAGTTACAACCCTCTAATCTGCCTTGGTCTTCGCTGTTACTAGCCCCCATCCTGAAGCTACCTAGGGGCTGCCAGCCACCAGGCAACTTAATAGTGTACAAAAGATACCACTCTGAATTCCAATAATTTTAGGAGTTGTATGCCAGAAAAGTGGGATAAAGACCAAATACAGTTTTACTTAGCTTAACAAGAGGGATGTGTTCTAAGAAATGCATCACTAAGTGATTTCATCATTGTGCGAACACCATAGAGTGTACTTACACATACCTAGATGATACAGCCTACTAAATACCTAGAATACCCAGGGTACAGGATGTAGCCTGTTGCTCCTACACCACAAACCTGTACAGCGTGTTACTGCACTGAATACTATAGGCAATTGTAACACCTGGTAAATATTTATGTATCTAAACATATCTAAACATAGAAAAGGTACAGTAAAAATATAGTATTATAATCTTTTTTTTTTTTTGAGACTGAGTCTCGCTCTATTCCAGGCTGGAGTGCAGTGGCACAATCTCAGCTCACTGCAACCTCCACCTCCTGGGTTCAAGTAATTCTCGTGCCTCAGTTTTCCAAGTAGCTGGGATTATAGGCAGCTGCAGTCATGCCCAGCTAATTTTTGTATTTTTAGTAGAGACAGGGTTTCACCATCTTGGCCAGACTGGTCTCGAACTCCTGACCTCAAGCGATTCACCTGCCTTGGCCTCCCAAAGTGCTGGGATTATAGGCTTAAGCCACCGTGCCTGGCCAAAAATGCAGTATTATAATCTTATAGGGTAGGGCTAAGTGGCTCACACCTTGTAATCCCAGCACTTTAGGAGGTAGAGGTGGGAGAAGCACTTGAACCAGGGGTTCAAGACCAGCCTGGGCAACATAATGAGACACCCTCTCTAGGAAAAAAACCAATTATCTATCTATCTATTAATCTATCTGTATATCTTATGGGACCACTGTCATATATGCAGCTTGTTGACCAAAACGTTGCATGACTGTGTATATTTCACAGTATCATGTTTCCAGTTTGTGGCTATTAAGAATAAAGTTGTGGATGGGCGCAGTGGCTCACGCCTGGCTAATATGGTGAAACCCCGTCTGTACAAAAATACAAAAATTAGCATGGTGGCATGCTACTGTAATCCCAGCTACTCAGGAGGCTGAGGCAGGTGAATCGCTTAAACCGGGGAGGCAGAGGTTGCAGTCAGCCAAGATTGTGTACTTTAGCCTGGGTGACAGAGTGAGACTCCATCTCAAAAAAAAAAAAGAATAAAGTTGCTATAAGCATTGTTTTTCAAAATTTTATTTATTTTTTATTTATTTATTTTTTTTTTGAGACAGTCTTGCTCCGTCGCCCAGGCTGGAGTGCAGTGGCGCCATCTTGGCTCACTGCAACCTCTGCCTCTGCGTTCAAGTGATTCTCCTGCATTCAAGCAATTCTCCTGCCTCAACCTCCCGAGTAGCTGGGACTACAGGTGGCTGCCACCACACCTGGCTAATACTTTTGTATTTTTAGTAGAGATGGGTTTCACCACATTGGCCAGGCTGGTCTCAAACTCCTGATCTTGTGATCCACTCACCTCGGCCTCCCAAAGTGCTGGGATTACAGGCGTGAGCCACCGTGCCTGGCCTAAATTTTATTTTTTTTGAAACAGGGTCTTGCTCTGTCATCACCCAGGCTGGAGTGTAGTGGTGTGATCATAGCTTACTGCAGCCTCAAACTCCAGGACTCAAGTGATCCTCTTGATTCAATCTCTCGAGTAGCTGGGACTACAGGTGCCCAACTCTGTGCCAACTAATTTATTTACTATAAATTATTTATTTATTTGAGATGGAGTCTCACTATGTTGCCTAGTCTGGAGTGCAGGTGTGCCATCTTGGCTCACTGCAACCTCCACCTCCTGGGTTCAAGTGATTCTCCGGCTTTAGCCTCCTGAGTATCTGGGATTAAAGGCGCACACCACCATGCCAGGCTAATTTTTGTATTTTTAGTAGAGACGGGGTTTTCCCATGTTGGCCAGGCTGGTCTCGACTTCCTGACCTCAAGTGATCCACCCGCTTCAGCCTCCCAAAGTGCTGGGATTACAGGCATGAGCCACCGCGCCTGGCACTACTTATTTATTTATTTACTGAGATGGAGTCTTGCTGTGTCGCTAGCCTGGAGCGCAGTGGCGAGATCTCGGCCCACGTCAATCTCCACCTCCTGGGTTCAAGCGATTCTTGTGCCTCAGCCTCTGGATAGCTGGGATTATAGGCATGCGCCATTACGCCCAGCTAATTTTTTTATTTTTTGTAGAGATGGGGTTTCACCATGTTGGCCAGGATGGTCTCGAACTCCTGACCTCAAGTGATCCGCCCACCTCGGCCTGGGTGCTGAGATTACAGAGGTGAGCCACCGTGCCTGGCCACATGTGATGTTTTGATGTGTTCAAATAATGTGTAATAATCAAGTCAGGGTAATTGGTAAATTCATCACCTTAAACATTTATCTTTTCTTTATGCTGGGAACATTCCAATTATTCTGTACTTGGTATTTAAAAATATACAACAGGCCGGGCACGGTGGCTTATACCTGTAATCCCAGCACTTTGGGAGGCTAAGGTGGGCAGATCACCTGAGGTCCAGAGTTCGAGACCAGCCTGGCCAACACGGTGAAACCCTGTTTCTACTAAAAATACAAAATTAGCCGGGTGTGGTGGCATGCACCTGCAGTCCCAAGCTACTCGGGAGGCTGAAGCAGGAGAATCGCTTGAACCTGGGAGGCGGAGGTTGCGGTGAGCCGAGATCGTGCCATTGCACTCCATGCTGGTCAAGAAGAGTGAAACTCTGTCTCAACAACAACAACAACAACAAAAAATAAAATAAAAAATAAAAAATATACAATATACAATAGATTATTGTTTAATCACTACTGATACTACTATTTATTGAACACTAGGTCTTATTTCTTCTATCTACCTGTACTTTTGTACCCATCAATCATCCTGTCTTCATCTCCCCCTCTTGCCTACGCTTCCTAGCTTCTGGTAATTGCCAAACTACTATCTTAGTGAGATCCACTACTATGATCATTCTTAACAAATCTTTATGTGGATATATGTTTCTATTTCTCTTGGGTAAATACCTAGGAGTGGAATTAAATTTGTATTTTCCTTCCTCTGGATTGTGAACTTTTAGGGGCTGATTTATTTTGTCTCCAGCTCCAAGCACAATGGCTTACTGTATGATCGGTTCTGAGTAAACATTTGTTGAAATGAAACAAAATTAAAGCACAAAATAATTTCCCCATATTCTATATAATATGCATCTGTCATTAAGCACACTGTGGGCCTAGCAAAATATGAGAATTGTTTCCATCGATCTTCCCAATGAGCCTCTAAGGTAAGAATTATCCCATATTACTACTTAGGAAACAGAGGCCAAGAGAAGCTAGGTGAGCTGATGAGCTGAGGAAGATCACACAGCAGGTAACAGGAAGAGACAATGTGAAACTGAGCCTGTTTGTGAAGCCTCTGCATATTCCTCTCTGCTTCTTTGTTTTTCTGAAAGTCTCGGCTCCTTTAGCTGGAGTCCTTGGAGTAACTGGCCCAGGTCACTCTTTCTCTGCTTTCAAGGACTGGGCAAGGCAGGCTATCTCCTTCTCTTGCCTTACACAAGAATGTCTGCTTTCTAGTGGAACTCCAGATCTCACTTACCTCGAAAGATGTCAAAACTGTACCCCTTGAGAAGGGAGGAATGTAGTTTATATCAAAATGTTGAGTATCAAACAGGCAAATGTGGAGGGAAAGGTGGAATGGAAAGTCATCATCACTGTGCAACCATTACAGCAAAGACTGATTTAGAAAAGAATTATTGGGCTGGGCATGATGGCTCACCCCTGTCATCCCAGCACTTTGGGAAGCTGAGGCAGACGGATTGCTTGAGCTCACCAGTTTGAGACCAGTCTGGGCAACACGGCAAAACCCCATCTCTACAAAAAATACAAAAATTAGCCAGGTGTGGTGGTGCACACCTGTAGTCCCAACTACTCAGGAGGCAGAGGTGGGAGGATGGCTTGAGCCTGGGAAGCAGAGGATGCAGTGGGCTGAGATTGTGCCACTGCTCTACAGCCTAGGCGACAAAGTGAGAGCTTGTATCAAAAAAAAAAAAAAAAAAAAAAAGAATCATCAATGGGTGCTATCTGTATCTTGGAGATATTTTGATGAGGATCAGGATATAAGCCCGTCTTAGAGCGTCTCTCCAGTCTCTCCACAGATTGCTTGTTAGTTGCAAGGGAAAAAATGGTAGCAATACAGAGAAGTCAGAAAACGACTTGATAACCAAAATGAACATCCACCAGTGAGGGTCAGATGGACACACCACATGCCTCCCAAAATGAGAAGCCCTGAAAAGAACACAGCATCAATTGTGCAGTATTCTGGACTCGCACGCATAATTGAAACATAACTATGAGAAAAAAATCAGACACTCCAAATGAGACACATTCTCATTTTATTGATTGATTGATTGATTGAGGTGGAGTCTCGCTCTGTCACCTAGGCTGGAATGCAGTAGCGCAATCTCGGCTCACTGTAACCTCCACCTCCCAGGTTCAAGCAATTCTCCTGCCTCAGCCTCCCAAGTAGCTGGTATTACAGGCGCCCGCCACCAGGCCCAGCTAATTTTTTTTGTATTTTTAGTAGAGACAGGGTTTCACCACATTGGCCAGGCTGGTCTTGAACTCCTGACCTCAGGTGATCCACCTGCCTCGGCTTCCCAAAGTGCTAGGATTACAGGCATGAGGCACCCGCCTGGCTACCTTCTCATTTTTAAAAGGTGTAGCTATATTCTTTTTTTTTTTAATTATTTTTTTTTAGATGGAGTCTCGCTCTGTTGCCAGGCTGGAGTGCAGTGGCGTGATCTTGGCTCACTGCAACCACCGCCTCCCGGGTTCAAGCAGTTCTCCTGCCTCAGCCTCCCAAGTAGCTGGGACTACAGGCGTGTGCCACCATGCCCGGCTAATTTTTTGTATTTTTAGTAGAGACAGGGTTTCATTATATTAGCCAGGATGGTCTCCATCTCCTGACCTCATGATCCGCCTGCCTCGGCCTCCCAAAGTGCTGGGATTACAAGCGTGAGCCACCGCGCCCGGCCTAGGGGTAGCTATATTCTTAAAAAATATCAATGTCATAAAAGACACACACACACACACAGAGGCTGTGAAAACGGTCCATATTAACGGAAACTAAAGAGACATGACAACTGAATGTGGTATTTGGCTACTGCTCCGGAAGAGAAAAACAATGCTATAAGGGATATTACTGGGTCAGCTGACAAAATTGGAACATGGATGGGAGATTAAATAGAATTCTTGAATCAATGTTAAATTTACTGAGATTGAAATCTGTATTGTATAAGAAATATCCTTATTATTAGAAATACACACTGAAGTATTTAGGGGTAAAAAGTTATAATGCGTATGACCCACATTCAAATGGCTCAAAAAATATTATTTGTGTGTGGTATATGTATATAGCACATAATTAAGCAAATGGGCAAAGTGTTAAAAATAGGTGAATTGGCCGGGCACGGTGGCATATGCCTGTAATTCCAGCAATTTGGGAGGCTGAAGCGGGCAGATCACCTGACATCAGGAGTTCAAGACCAGCCTGGCCAACATGGTGAAACCCTGTTTCTAGTAAAATATAAAAATTAGCTGGGTGTGGTGACGTGCACCTGTAATCCCAGCTACTCTGGAGGCTGAGGCAAGAGAATTGCTTGAACACGGGAGGCAGAGGTTGCAGTGGGTGGAGATCGCGCCATTGCACTCCAGTTTGGGTGACAAGAGCAAAACTCCATCTCAAAAAAAAGGTGAATCCACACCATATTCAGTAAATGGCGCTGAGAAAATTGGCTAACCATATGCAGAAGAATGAAACTGGACCCCGATCTCTCACCATGTGGTGTTATACATTGGTTTTCCTCCACAGTTCCTAGTTCATAACTCCCATAGTCCTTGTTACAGCTTTTTTAAATAATATTAGGTGTGTTAAGCCTCAGGAAACAGAATCTCTCCCCTGTTCTTTCACCTGCTCCAAAGCAGGACTCTAATCTATTTCTACCTTTCTGACTGTGGGTCTTCAGATCCTCCCAGGAAAACTGGGCAAAGACATAAATAGACAGTTCTCAAAAGAAGACATACAAGCAGCCAAGAAACATATGAAAAAATGCTCCACATTACTATACCCTGGGGGAAGGAATGCTCATGCCATGAAGCCTCCATAAAACCCCGAGGGAGGCTGGGCACGGTGGTTCACGCCTGTAATCCCAGCACTTTGGGAGGCAGAGACGGGTGGATCACTTGAGGTGAGGAGTTCGAGACCAGCCTGGCCAACATGGTGAAACCCTATCTCTACTAAAAATACAAAAAAATTAGATGGGTGTGGTATCAGGCACCTGTAATCCCAGCTACTTGTGAGACTGAAGCAAGAGAATTGCTTGAACCTGGGAGGTGGAGGTTGCAATGAGCTGAGGTCGTGCCATTGCACTCCAGCCTGGGTGACAGAGTGAGACTGTCTTAAAACAAAAACAAAAACAAAAACAAACAAACAAAAAACCAAGAGGATAGGGTTTAGAGAGTGCTTCAGGATAGCTGAACACATGGAGGTTCCTAGAGGCTGGCACGCCCCGGGAGGGCATGGAAGCCCCACGTCCATTCCCCCACACCTCGCCCTATGCATCTCTTCATCTGCATCCTTTGTAATATCCTTTATAATCAACCAGTAAACCTAAGTAAGTGTTTCCGTGAGTTCTGTGAGACATTCCAGCAAATTAATTAAACGCAAAGGGGGTCATGGGGACCCCAACTTAAAGCTGGTCAGTCAGAAGTTCTGGAGGCTGGAACTTGTAGCTGGTGTGTGTTGGGGATAGTTTTGGGGACTGAGCCTTCCACCTGTGGGATCTGACACTATCTCCATGTAGATATAGTGTAAATAATCAACAGAGTAAACAGCCAAAGAAATAATCAACAGAGTAAACAGACAACCTGACAACCTATAGAATGGGATAAAATATTTGTAAATTAGGGCAGGCACGGTGGCTCACGCCTATAATCCCAGCACTTTGGTAGGCCAAGGAGGGCGGATCACGAGGTCAGGAGATCGAGACCATCCTGGCTAACATGGTGAAACCCTGTCTCTACTAAAACCACAAAAAATTAGCCAGGCGCGCTGGTGGGCGCCTGTGGTCCCAGTTACTCAGAAGACTGAGGCAGAAGAATGGCGTCAACCCAGGAGGCAGAGCTTGCAGCGAGCTGAGATCGCGCCACTGCACTCCAGCCTGGGCAACAGAGCGAGACTCCGTCTAAAAAAAAAAAAAAAACGCTGAGCGCAGTGGCTTGCGCCTGTAATCCCAGCACTTTGGGAGGCTGAGGCGGGCGGATCATGAGTCAGGAGATCGAGACCATCCTGGCTAATACAGTGAAACCCTGTCTCTACTAAAAATACAAAAAATCAGCCGGGTGTGGTGGTGGGCGCCTGCAGTCCCAGCTACTCAGGAGGCTGAGGCAGGAGAATGGCGTGAATCTGGGAGGCAGACCTTGCAGTGAGCCGAGATCCTGCCACTGTATTCCAGCCTGGGTGACAGAGCAAGACTCCGTCTCAAAAAAAAAAAATTATAAATTATGTCTCTGACAAAAGACTAACGTACAAAATCTACAAATAAATAACACAACAAGAAAAAAAAAACAAACAACTCCATGGCTGGGCACAGTGGCTCATGCCTGTAATCCCAGCACTTTGAGAGGCCAAGGTGGGAGGATTGCTTGAGCCCAGGAGTTCAAGACCAGCCTGGGCAACATAATGAGACCCCCCTCTCAATAAAAATAAAGCAAAAATAAATAAATAAAACCCACCAAACAACTCCATTAAAAACTGGGCAAAGACATGAACAGACACTTCTCAAAAGAAGACATACAAGCGGCCACAAACATAGGAAAAAATGTTCCACATCACTAATCATCATAGAAGTGCAAATTAAAACCACAATGAGATATTTTATACCAGTCAGAATGGCCATTATTAAAAAGTCAAAAAACAGACGTTGGTGTGGATGCAGAGAAAAGGGAACACTTGGCCTAGTGTGGTGGCTCACACCTATAATCCCAACACTTTGGGAGGCCAAGGTGGATAGATCGTCTGGGCCTAGCAGTTTGTGACCAGCCTGGGCAACATGGTGAAACCCCATCTCTACTAAAAATACAAAAAATTAGCTGGGCCGGTTGGCACATGCCTGTAGTCCCAGTTACTTGGGAGGCTTAGGTGGGAGGATCACCTGAGCTTGGGAAGTCGAGGCTGCAGTAAGCTTAGATTGCACCACTGCACTCCAGCCTAGGCAATGGGAGTGAGATCCTGTCTAAAAAACAAACAAACAAAGAAATAAACAAACAAAAAAAAAACCAAATGCCTTCTCATCTATAAGTGGAAACTAAACAAAGGGTACACATGGACGTAAAGATGAAAATAATAGACACTGGGGACTCTAAAACAGGGTAGGCTGAGAGGGGGGCAAGGGTTGAAAAATTACCTGTCAGGTACAACCTTCACTATTTGGGTAATGAGTACACTAGAAATCCAATCCCCACCATTATGCAATATACTCATGAAACCATCAAGCACATGTGCCCACTAATCTAATATAAAATAGGCTTGGGACAGTGGTTCATGCCTGTAATCCCAGCATTTTGGGAGTCTGAGGTGGGAGGATCGCTAGAGACCAGGAGTTAGAGACCAGGCTGGGCAACACGTCAAGACCTTGTCTTTACAAAAAATAAAAAAATTAGCCAGGTGTGGTGGCACATACCTGTGATCCTAGCTACTCAGGAGGATGAGGTGGGCGGATTGCTGGAGCCCAGGAGTTCGAGGCTATAGTCCACTAAGATTGTACTACTGCACTCCAGCTTGGATGACAGAGTGAAACTATCTCAAAATAAAATAAAATAAAATAGGTGACTCTTGGTAAAGTGTATGTGAGAGTCCTACATACTATTTTTATTTTTGCAAATTTTCAGTAAGTTTGAAAATTTTTTTTGTTTTTAATGGTGTTAATTTGTATTTTCTTCTTCTTTTTTTTTTTTTTTTTTTTTGAGACAGGATCTCACTCTGTCACTCAGGCTGGAGTGTAGTGGTACGGACGCGGCTCACTGCAGCCTTGACCTACTGGGCTCAAGGGATCCTCCTGCCTCAACCTCCTCTGTAGCTGGGACCACAGGCACATGCCACCATGCCTGGCTAATTTTTCTTTTTTTGGAGACAGGGTCTTGCTCTGTCACCCAGAGTGCAGTGGTGCAGCGGTAGGATCTTAGCTCACTGCAACCTCTGCCTCCTGGGTTCAAGCAATTCTCCTGCCTCAGCCTCCCAAGTAGCTGAGATCACAGGCACCTGACACTATGGCTGGCTAATTTTTGTATTTTTAGTATGGACAGGGTTTCACCATGTTGCCAGGCTGGTGTGAAACTCCTGACCTCAGGTGATCCACCTGCCTCAGCCTCTAAAAGTGCTGGTATAACAGACATGAGCCACCGCTCCTGGCCCTGGCTAATTTTAAAATTTTTATTGTAGAAATGAGGTCTCACTTTGCTGCCCAGGCTAGTCTCAAACTTTTGAGCTCAAGCCATCCTCCCATCTCAACCTCCCAAAGTGCTGGGATTACAAGCGTGACCCACTGTGCCTGGCAAAATTATGCCTAAGTGTTTAAAAAATGCTTCCCTGCAAAGTCCTCTGTCCACACTAATTGAGTCAGTGTGGACTGTGCCCACAGGAATTCCATGATTATGTGCAGCTCTTTCTTAAATACAAGTTAGTTTATCCAATCTGCCCATTGTTTCATTCCAAGCTAAGTGAGGAAGGGCCAAAGAGCTAAGGCAAGCATCTTTTAAAATAATCCTTTTATGTTCATCTCCTCTCAGAAAACCTTTTCTGAAGCAGGCTCTCACCAAAGGCTTACTGAATTGGCCATAGTTGGCTAATTCTGAGTGATCTATGGTGAGCTCTGAACAGAGAGAGCAATTATGATTATAGCCAGGAAGCAGATCCTGGAGAGAAAAGGGAAAGAGAAAAAACAAACAAAAAAATCAGTCAGGCACAGTGCTGGCTCATATCTGTAATCCTATCACTCTGGGAGGCAAAGGTGAATCACTTGAGCCCTTGAGCTCCCCAGGAGTTTAGACCAGTCTGGGCAACATGGTGAGAACCCTGTTCCTAAAAAATAAATAAATAAAGTTTAGCCAGGCGTAGTGGCACACGTCTATAGTCCCAACTACTCAGGAGGCTGAGGTGGGAGGATTGCTGGAGCCTGGGCCATCAAGGCTGCAGTGAGCCATGAACACACCACTGCACTTCAGCGTGGGCAACAGAGTGAGAACTTGTCTCAAAAAAAAAGGCCAGGCACGGTGGCTCACGCCTATCATCCCAGCACTTTGGGAGGCCGAGGCAGGCAGATCACGAGGTCAGGAGATCGAGACCATCCTGGCTAACATGGTGAAACTCTGTCTCTACTAAAAATACAAAAAAATTAGCCAGGCGTGGTGGCGGCCGCCTGTAGTCCTAGCCACTCGGGAGGCTGAGGCAGGAGAATGGTGTGAACCCGGGAGGCGGAGCTTGCAGTGAGCCAAGATGGTGCCACTGCACTCCAGCCTGGTTGACAGAGCGAGACTCCGCTTCAAAAAAAAAAAAAATTCAAGATGAGGTGGAAAGTGCACTGAGCAAGGAGTCAAAGGATGTGATCTCTAGTTCCAGATCTACCACTTACTGGTTGGGTAACTAGGTGTGTACTAGGAGAGGGGAAAATGTCTCCCCTCTATCTTTCTAGGTTCTTTGGCCAGGCTATGAATTAAATTCAAATAAGACAGATTAACAAGAGAAAAAGTATATTTAATTATGTATATACACACAGGAGTCCCACAAAACATAAGACCCTTAGAAGGGTCAGACTATTGAAGCTTATATAGCATCCTGAGCTACAGAAAGGAATACAGACCTGCCTGAGGGAGGGGTAGGTGGCAACAAGCCACAGGAGGGCAAGGGGAGGAAACATATATGAACCAAGGGCATTCTGCTATGCAGATAAAAAGTCTCTCAGGTAATAAAGGTTATCTCAGGGCTGGGGGTGGTGGCTTGTGCCTGTAATCCCAGCACTTTTGGAGGCTGAGGTGGGCAGATTACTTGAGGTCAGGAGTTCAAGACCAGCCTGGCCAACATGGTGAAACCCCATCTCTACTAAAAATACAAAAAATTAGCTGGGTGTGGTGGCACGAGCCTGTAATCTCAACTATTCGGAAGGCTGAGGCATGAGAATCGCTTGAACCTGGGAGGTGAAGGTTGCAGTGAGCTGAGATTGTGCAACTGCCCTCCAGCCTGGGAAACTGAGTGAGACTCTGTCTCAAAATAAAATAAAATAAAATAAAATAAAATAAAAGATAAGATAAAATGTTATCTCAGAGCAGTTATCTTCCTAATACAGATAATCTACTAATGTAGATTTCCTTTATAGATGTGAAGTTCTTTTATAAAAGGACAAATTTTCAGAGCTACTCCTGTGTCTGCAGTTTCTCAGAATAATCAGCTCAAATATGCCAAAGAGGTACATTTTGGGGTGGCATGCTGTGATCTCCTATAGTCATATTTTGGGGTGGGGTGCCCTGAGCCCCATCAGTGATCTTGGGTACACAACTTCACATCCCTAAATCTGTTTCCTCAACTTCAAAATGTGGATAGTAATACTAACTCAGATTATCTCAGAGTCATAGAAAGCCTAACCTCTCACACCAGAGAGCAAAGCGCTTCACAACAAGCAAAGTGCTATCACAGTGAAAGAAGAAAATTAGAAGCTATAATTCAGTCTTAGAATGCCAGGGCTTGAAGGGCCCTTTGACAGTCTGCCACCCTCTTATTTCATAAATGATGCATTTGAAGCCCCAAAAGGGGAAATCACATAGCATGTTTAGGGGTTAGGGGCAGAGGTGGGCATGTTACTCCAGTATTTTTAGAGTAGAAACAACCCCTTCCCTCCTTTGTGCTCCGCCTAGGTGTAGGTATATAAAATTAACTAAAGGAAGAGGGCCCAGGCATGGTGGCTCATGCCTGTAATCCCAGCACTTTGGGAGGCCGAGGCAGGTGGATCACCTGAGGTCAGGAGTTTGAGACCAGCCTGGTCAACATGGTGAAACCCCATCTCTCAGAAAAAGAAAAAAAAAATTAACCAAAGGAAGAGAAAATAAGGATCTAGCTAGAGGGACTTTGTGTTCAGGGAATGCCCCAAAGGTGTTACATTCACTCAAAGGAGACGGGCCCTTGTAATTAGTCCTGAGGTCACAGGAACAAGGGAACACTGGGTGAACCTTGAAAGAAGTAGTCATAGAGGAAAGAAGTGCCATATTACACACTATACAGCATGAACGATGAATGAGACCAAAGAAAGTAAGAGGTGAAAGAGACCATCACCATCTTGTTCTACTTCCCCTGGTAGAGATGAGGAACCTGAGGTCCAGAGATGGGAAATGGCTTGCCCAAGGCCACATAGCTTGTTCCTGGCAGAGCTGGGACTGTAATGGGGTTTCTCAACTCGTAGTCCAGGACTTTTACTCCATATATCAGTTGGGATTGCATTTAGCTGCAAATGACAGATACTAATGGTGGCTTACATCAATAGGGGTTTATTGGCCAACGATGGCTTTAAGAGATAGGAGTTTTGGCCAGGCGTGGTGGCTCACGTCTGTAATCCCAGCACTTTGGGAGGCTGAGGCAGGCAGATCATCTGAGGTCAGGAGTTAGAGACCAGCCTGACCAACATGGAGAAACGTCGTCTCTCCTAAAAATACAAAATTAGCTGGGTGTGGTGGTGCATGCCTGTAATCCCAGCTACTCGGGAGGCTGAGGCAGGAGAATGGCTTGAACCTGGGAGGCAGAGGTTTCAGTGAGCTGCGTCTCAAAAAAAAAAAAAGATAGGGGTTCATTTTGATCACTTTACAGGAAATCAAAGATTAAGGTAGCTAGCCAGGTGTGGGGTATGGTGGCTCACACCTGTATACCAGCTACTCAAGAGGCTGAGGTAGGAGGATCTCTGAGCCCAGGAGTTTGAGACCATCTTGGGCAACATAGCGAGACCCCATTTCTTTTGTTTTTTTTTTGTTTTTTGTTTTTATGAGATGGAGTCTCGCTCTGCCGCCCAGGCTGGAGTGCAGTGGCGTGATCTTGGGTCAATGCAAACTCCGCCTCCTGGGTTCAAGTGATTCTCCTGCCTCAGCCTCCTGAGTAGCTGGGATTACAGGCACCTGCCACTGTGCTCAGCTAATTTTTGTATTTTTAGTAGAGATGGGGTTTCACCATCTTGGCCAGGCTGGGCGAGACCCCATTTCTTTTTTCTTTTGGAGATGGAGTTTCACTCTTGCTGCCCAGGATGGAGTGCAGTGGCACCATCTTGGCTCATCGCAACCGCTGTCTCCCAGGTTCAAGCGATTCTCCTGCCTCAGCCTCCTGAGTAGCTGGGATTACAGGCACCTGCCACCATGTCCGGCTAATTTTTCTATTTTTAGTAGAGATGGGGTTTCACCATGTTGGCCAGGCTGGTCTCAAACTCCTGACCTCAGGTGATCCACCCACCTCGGCCTCCCAAAGTGCTGGGATTACAGGCGTGAGCCACGGCACCTGGCCCTATTTTTTTTTTTAAATGAAGTTTCACTCTGTTGCCAGGCTGGAGTGCAGTTGCGCGATCTTGGCTCACTGCAGCCTCCTGGGTTGAAGCGATTCTCCTGCCTCAGCCTCCAGAATAGCTGGGACTGCAGGCCCACACCACCACATCCAGCTAATTTTTGTGTTTTTAGTAGAGACGGGGTTTCACCATGTTGGCCAGGCTGGTCTCAAACTCCTGACCTCAGGTGATCCACCCGCCTCGGCCTCCCAAAGTGCTTAGATTATAGGCATGAGCCACTGCGTCCAGTGCCAGCCTACATTAATTTAAAGATGAAAGAAGGGGTAAGTGCAACAAGCACCCAGATGAGAGTAAGAAAATGAGTTCAAGCCTGGATTCTGCCATTTTTCTGTGGGTCCTCAACATATCTCAATTACTACACTTGAAAAAGGATTGGGCTAAAATAATCCAAAAGAACCTCTGAAAGACCCTTCTGGTTCTTAAAATGCTATGACTCTATTCTATTCAAATTCTAATCCATGTAATTGTACTTCCCTCTTCCCATGGAATCCTAACATAAACATCATAAATTATGATAAAATTGGTATGCAAAATTGTGTTTATCTGACAAGCTTTGGTACCAAGAAATTGCAATAAGATTCCCACCCTGAGAGCATCAAGATATTGCTCAATATTTTCTTTTCTCTCTTTTTTTTAAATAGGTTTATTTATTTATTTATTTATTTGAGACAGAGTCTCACTCTGTCACCCAGGCTGGAGTGCAGTGGCACAATCTTGGCTCACTGCAACCTCCGCCTCCATGGGTTCAAGCGATCCTTCCCTCTCAGCCTCCCGAGTAGCTGGGACTACAGGTGTGCACTACCAGGCCCAGCTAATTTTGTATTTTTTGTAGAGATGAGGTTTTACCATGTCACCCAAGCTGGTCTCGAACTCCTGAGGTCAAGCGATCCACCCACCTCGGCCTCCCAAAGTTTTGGGATTACAAGTGTGAGCCACAGCATCCCGACCCTATATTTTCTTCTAAAAGTTGTAAAGTTTTATAATATTTTTCTATAGAAAGTCTTACAACCTATTGTTAGTTTTATTACTCAGTACCACATCAGTTTTTATTGTTTCGCTCTGTGAAGATTTTTGTTGTTGCTGTTGCTTGCCTTACCTTAAAATGTATTTATTTCCTTTCTGTAAGAGATAAAATAAAAATAAGAATAAAAATTTTAAAAAAGTATTTATTGATGCTGGGCATGGTGACTCACACTTGTAATCCCAGCACTTTGGGAGGCTGAAGCAGGAGAATCATTTGAGGCCAGGAGTTCAAGACCAGCCTGGATAACACAGGGAGACCCCGTCTCTCCAAAAGTATAAAGTAAAACATTAGCCAGGCACAATGGCATGTGCCTGTAGTCCCAGCCTACTCTCTCAGGCTGAGGTGGGAGAACTGCTTGACCCCAGGAGGTTGAGGTTGCTGTGAGGTAAGATTGTTCCACTGCAGGCCAGGTGTGGTGGCTCGCGCCTGTAATCCCAGCACTTCGGGAGGCCGAGGCAAGTGGATCACCTGAGGTCAGGAGTTTGAGACCAGCCTGACCAACATGGAGAAACACTGTCTCCACCAAAAATAAAAAATTAGCCGGGCGTGGTGGTACATGCCTGTAATCCCGGCTACTCGGGAGGCTGTGGCAAGAGAATCACTTGAACCAGGGAGGTGGAGGTTGCAGTGAGCTGAGATCACACCATCGTACTCCAGCCTGGGCAAGAAGAGCGAAAATCTGTCTCAAAAAAAAAATTGTTCCACTGCAGTACTGTCTGGGCAACAGAGTGAGACCCTGTCTCAAAAAAAAAACAAAGTGTGGCCAGGCGTGGTTGCTCACGCCTGTAATCCCAGCACTTTGGGAGGCTGAGATGGGCAGATCACAAGGTCAAAAGATCAAGACCATCCTGTCAACATGGCGAAACCCTGTCTCTACTAAAAATACAAAAATTAGCTGGGCCTGGTGGCGCATGCCTGTAGTCCCAGCTACTCGGGAGGCTGAGGCAGGAGAATCACCTGGACCCGGGAAGCAGAGGTTGCAGTGAGCTGAGATCGCACCACTGCACTCCAGCCTGGCGACAGAACAAGACTCCATCTCAAAAATAAAAAAAATAAAAAATAAATAAAGTGCTAGGTGGGGTGGTGCGCACGCCTGTAGTACCAGCTACTTGGGAGGCTGTGGCAGGAAGATCACTTAAGTCCAGGAGTTCTGGGATGTAGTGCACTACGTGGATTAGGTGTCCATCCACACTAGGTTCAGCATCAATATGGTTAATTCCTGGGAGCAGGGGTCCACCAGGTTGCCTAAGGAGGGGTGAACCAGCCCAGGTCAGAAATGGAGCAGGTCAAAACTCCCGTGCTGATCAGTAGTGGGGTCGCACCTGTGAATAGCCACTGCACTCCAGCCTGGGCAACATAGCGAGAACCTGTCTCTAAAAAAAAAAAAAAAAATTTCATTGATCTTTTTCTGACTATAAAAAGAAATAAATGATTTATAGTATAAAATTTGGAAAAGCATAAAGGAGTAAATGATAACTATGTAATCTTACCACCCAAGGCTAGCCATTTTTTTTTTTTTTTGGTGCATTCTTCCAATCCCAGTTTATTTATCCATTCACTTATTAAAGGAGATCTCAGTTGCTTCTAGGTTTTGGCAATTATGAGTAAAGCTACTATAAACATTCGTGAGGCTGGGTGCAGTGGCTCACACCTGTAATCCCAGCAGTTTGGGAAGCCGAGGGGGGCGGATCACCTGAGGTCAGGAGTTCAAGACCAGCCTGGCCAACATGGTGAAACCCCGTCTCTACTAAAAATATAAAAATCAGCCCGGTGTGGTTGCGCATGCCTATAATCCCAGCCACTTGGGAGGCTGAGGCAGGAGAATCGCTTGAACCTGGGAGGCGGAGTCTGTAGTGGGCCAAGATGGCACCACTGCACTCCAGCCTGGACAAAAAGAGCGAGACTCTGTCTCAAAAAAAAAAAAAAAAAATTGTGTGCAGGTTTTTGTGTAGACATAATTTTCTTTCTTTCTTTTTTTAGACTGAGTTTCGCTCTTGTTGCCCAGGCTGGAGTACAATGGCATGATCTTGGCTCACTGCAACCTCTGCCTCCTGGGTTCAAGCGATTCTCCTGCCTCAGCCTCCTGAGCCACTGGGATTACAGGTACCCGCCACCATGCCCAGCTAATTTTTGTTATTTTTAGCAGAGACAGGGTTTTGCCATGTTGGCCAGGCTGCTCTTGAACTCCTGACCTCAGGTGATCCACCTGCCTCGGCCTCCCAAAATGCTGGGACTACAAGCGTGAGCCACCGTGCCCTGCCTGTGTAGACATAAATTTTTGGCTCCTCTGAGTAAATACCAAGGAGGGCAATTGCTGGGTCATATGAGAGTACGTTTAGTTTTGTAAGAAGCTGCTGAACTGTCTTCCAAAGTTCTGTACCTTTCACATTCCCAGCAGCAATGCATGCGAGCTTCTATTGTTTCACATTCTTACTAGCACTTGGTGTTGTCAGTGTTCTGGCTTTTTTTTGTGAGATGGAGTCTTGCTCTGTCGCCCAGGCTGGAGTGCAGTGGCGCGATCTCGGCTCACTGTAAGCTCCGCCTCCTGGGTTCACACTATTCTCCTGCCTCAGCCTCCTGAGTAGCTGGGACTACAGGCGCCCGCCACCATGCCCGGCTAATTTTTTGTAATTTTAGTAGAGACGGGGTTTCACTGTGTTAGCCAAGATGGTCTCGATCTCCTGACCTCGTGATCCGCCTGCCTTGGCCCCCCAAAGTGCTGGGATTACAGGCGTAAGCCACCGCACCTGGCCAGTGTTCTGGCTTTTGCCCATTCTATTTAGTAGGTGTGTTGTGGTATCTCATTTTTGTAGGGTTTTTCTTTTCTATCTCATTTTCTTACTGATTATTGGTATATATGCTGTTATGCCTTTTTGTATATTAACTTTGTATCCAGTAACCTTGCTGAACTCTTTTTATTTTTGAGACGGAGTTTCAATCTTGTCGCCCAGCCTGTAGCGTAATGGCACGATGTTGGCTCACTGCAACCTCCGCCTCCCAGGTTCAAGTGATTTTCCTGCCTCAGCCTCCTGAGTAGCTGGGATTACAGGCTTAAGCCACCACACCTGGCTAATTTTTGTATTTTTAGTAGAGATGGGGTTTTACCATGTTGGTCAGGCTGGTCTCGAACCCCTGACCTCGACCTCCCAAAGTGCTGGGATTACAGGTATGAGCCACCATGCCTGGCCATGAACTCTTTTATTAGTCTTTCAAATTTTCGATGTGGAAAATCACATCTTTTTTTTTCTTTTTTTTGAGATGGGGTCTCACTCCATCACCCAGGCTGGAGTGCAGTGGTATGACCATGGTTCACTGTAGTCTCAACCTCCCCAGGCTCAGGTGATCCTCCCACCACAGCCTCCCACGTAGCTGGCACTATAGGTGCCCACCACCATCCCAGCTAATTTTTTTTTTTTTTTTGTATTTTTTGTAGAGACAGGGTTTCACTATGTTGCCCAGGCTGGTCTCAAACTTCTGAACTCAAGCAATCCTCCCACCTTGGCCTCCCAAAGTGCTGGGATTACAGGCGTGTGCCACTATGCCTGGTAGAAAATCATATTAATCATACATTAGGATAGGCAGAGGAAACAATATGAGGAGGGCCTTGACAAGAGAAAGTTCAAGAAACAGAGAAGGCAGATGATACTGGGCATAGTGAGAAAAAAGGCAGATGATGAGGCAAGACAGAGGCAGCATCATTGCACGAGGTCTTGAAATACATGTTTAGGATTCTGATGCAATGAAAAGCCATTGAAGGGGTTTAGGTTAAAACTGGAGGAAAGCCTCTAAGATAAGCTATTGGATTCTGCCAATGTTTGTGTCCTGGCCTACATTTTCATCAAAATTTGGATGAATAGACATAAAGCATGCTTTTAAAGGATAACTCAAATATAATCCTGAGATGGCTTATTGTGAACTTGTAAAGTCTCAAGAATACATCCTTAGACATGAGACTGAGTGCTTGCTAAGATCCTTTCCAACTTTGAGATGTTGAGGTTCTATGCTTTTCTTGTTTTTCTTTCTTTTTTATTACTGCTGCTTGTGGAGCAGGGCAATCCCATAGGCAGTATGCCCAGAATAGGTGGTTCTATGCTTTTCATCCTGGGCACCCTGGAACTGGAGGGAATGTTCTTTTCCACTGCAAGTGGGGAAATAGAATGAACCTGTACTTTGAGATGCAATCTGTTAGGGCAGATATATATATATATATATATTAGTTTTTAGTAGAGACGGGGTTTTACCTTGTTAGCCAGGATGGTCTTGATCTCCTGACCTCGTGATCTGCCCACCTTGGCCTCCCAAAGTGCTGGGATTACAGGCATGAGCCACCTCGCCTGGCCAGGCAGATCCATATTTATACAAATAACTATCACATATATGGTAAGTGTTGTAATAGGCATACAAGGGATGCAGGAGGATATTATGAATGGAAGGGGATGGTACAGAAGGTTGTGATATTTGGACTGAAGCAGGAGCAAGGGGAAGGCTTGAAAGAAACTATGGCAGGATACAGGAAAAAGAAAAAGGACTGAACCAGAACAGCATGTGTCAGTGGAGCTGTTTCTGAGGCAGGAGGAAAATCTGGTAGGTATGAGGGGAAAAGGAAGGGAATAACTGAGAATCACTCCTGGGTCTCTAGCTCTACACATAACATGGTGACTGTCTTAACTTAAAGAAGGCTGGGGTCCGGGTGCGGTGGCTCATGCCTGTAATCCCAGCACTTTGGGAGGCAGAGGTAGGAGGATAACTTGAGGGAATGAGTTCGAGACCAGCCTGGGCAACACAGTGAGAACCCATCTCTACAAAAAATTTAAAAAATTAGCCGAGTGTGGTGGCAGAAGCCTAAGGTCCCAGCTACTTGGGAGGCTGAGGTGGGAGGATCACTTGAGCCTGGGAGGTAGAGGCTGCAGCAAGCCATGACCGTACCACTGCACTCCAGTCTGGGCAACAGAGTGAGACCCTCCCACTGGGCTTAAGCGATCCTCCCACCTTGGCCTCCAAAATGCTGGGATTACAGCTGTGAGCCACTGCCTGGCCCTGGGGAAAAATAAATATTAAAGAAATTTCGGACCCTTCAGCCAGGCACGGTGGCTCATCCCTGTAATCCCAGCACTTTGGGAGGCTGAGGCGGGTGAATCACGAAGTCAGGAGTTCAAGACCAGCCTGGCCAAGATGGTGAAACCCTGTCTCTACTAAAAAAACAAAAATTAGCCAGGCACGGTGGCAGGCGCCTGCAATCCCAGCTACTTCGGAGGCTGAGGCAGAGAACTGCTCGAACCTGGGAGGCAGAGGTTGCAGTGAACTTAGATCGTGCCACTGCACTCCAGCCTGGGCGACAAAGGGAGACTCCGTCTCAAAAAAAAAAAACAAACAAAAAACAAAACACTTAGGGGCAGGCATGGTAGCTCACGCCTGTAAATCCTAGCACTTTGGGAAGCCGAGGCGGGCGGATTGCCTGAGTTCAGGAATTCGAGAACAGCCTGGGCAACACGGTGACACGTCTCTACTAAAATACAAAAAAAATTAGCTGGGCGTGGAAGCGTGCGCCTGTAGTCCCAGCTACTCGGGAAGCTGAGGCAGGAGAATTGCTTGAACCGGGGAGGCAGAGGTTGCAGTGAGCTGAGATTGTTCCACTGCACTCCACTCTGGGCGACAGAGCAAGACTCCATCTCAAAAAAACAAAAAACAAAAAACAAAAACACTTCGGACCCCAATTCACTATTCCAAAAGGAAAAAATTAAGTTGAAAGCTGAGTCATGCACAAACTGCCTTTCATTCCTAAGCAGACATACTTGACATAATACACAATTGACTATTCCCCTACCTGCTCCTTTTCTCTTGTTCCCTCCCTATTTTCCCTCCAGCCCACTTTTCCCCTTTAAATACTGAATTCCTCAAATTCATCTTTGGAGAAAGGCAGAGACCACAGACTGTTTCTGTGATTCTGTGTTTTTTCCTTTCAGGAATGTCCTTCACCTTGGCAAAATAAATTTCTAAATCAATTGAGACCTGTCTCAGATACTTCTTGGTTTACAGAAGGGATGGAAGATTCCAATACTTTTGAGTTTTCCTAGCCATCTAACTACAAAGGAGCTCAAAGCCAATTCTATTCCTGAAGTCTGGGACAGGAATATGCTGGCTACTCCAGGCAGCAGGAAGAATGATCAAAGTAACTTTAAAGCTCCCACCTGTGTGTTTTCCTACAACAGTAAGTTAAGGATTCTACAAAATCTGGGGCTTTGGAATGAAGTAATGTTAATTTCAACAGAAAAGGAAACCTATTTTTTTTATTTGAGACAGGGTCTCACTCTGTTGCCCAGGCTGGAGTGCAGTGGTGCGATCTCAGCTCACTGCAACCTCCGCCTCCCGGGTTCAAGCAATTCTCCTGCCTCACGTTCCGAAGTAACTGGGATTACAGGCACTTGCCACCACGCCCGGCTAATTTTTGTATTTTTAGTAGAGACGAAGTTTCACCATGTTGGTCAGGGTGGTCTCCAACTCCGGACCTCAAGTGCCTTCCAGAGTGCTGGGATTACAGGCGTGAGCCACCGCGCCCGGCCTCAATATTTCTTAGTTAACCAAATATACCCCAACTGTCATCAATTTTGTTATAATTAATTATCCCACTTGTAACCATTTAAAAATTATAGATGAGTTTTTTTTTTTTTTTCGGTACTAAGTCTTGGAAATTTGGTGTGTATTGTACACTTACAGCACATCTCAACTTGGGCCAGCCACGTTTCAGAGCTCACCAGCCACATGCGGCTCACGGGAGCGGAGCCCCGCCGAGGACCTGTGGCGTCCTCCCGCTCCTCTAAGGGTTCCTTCCAGAGCCCAGATGGCCCGCGACCTAGGCCCCGCCCCGCGCCCCTCCCAAGTTACATCACAGAGCCCACAGGCCCCACCCGCTGGTGGCCCGGTCCGCGTGTGCGCCGACTCTCGCACTCTCCTCGCTCCGGGCGCCCAGACTCTGAGAGAGAGCGACGGCCATCATAGAACAGCGAAGGCAGTCGATCGGCCTGCGGTCCGCTTCGGCATTCGCAGGCCGCAGGCGGGAGGCTAGAGCCCCCAGGCGCACCTCGCCCCAACCGCCCGCGGCTCGGGCAGCTCTGCAGAGACGTCGTGGCGGCAGGGCCAGCACCCATTGGTCCGCCACAGCCCTCCGCCCTCCCCCTCGCCACGCTTATTGGCCGGAGCGGCGGCGCTCGCCGGGTAGGCGGTGGCGGCGTCCCTCCCTTGCGCCGGCCCTCAAGAGGCGACGAGGAAGCGGCCGCCTCCCTGCGCCCCGCCCCTCCGGCTAGCTCGCTGGCTCCCGGCTCCTCCCGACGTCTCCTACCTCCTCACGGCTCTTCCCGGCGCTCTCCTGGCTCCCTTCTGCCCCAGCTCCGTCTCGGCGGCGGCGGGTAGGTGCAGCCGCAGGCGGGGTCCGATTGGAGGGGCGGCCTCCTCACTGTCCCGGGGCTGCCCGAGCCTTGCCCTGCGGCAGCTGGGTACCCCACGGGGCCCGCCCGAGGCGTGGAAGGGCGGTGGCCGCCGGCCTGCGAGACGCGGGGGCGTCCGAGGGAGGGGGCCAGGCGGGGGGCTGGCGGCTTTGACCTTCGGAGTCTTTGAGGCGCGATCTAGGGGGGTCTTTGGAGTGAGGGGGGCTGAGAGGTCCAGCTTTTGAGGGTCGGGGCGGTGGGGCCGAGCGACATGCCTTGGGCTCTGGATGGGGCTGAGCCGCGGAGCGAGGGTCGGCCGCAGTCTGGGGCCCTGGGTGGGGTTCGGAGGTGTAGGAGAACTCAGGGGTCGTTTTCTGAGGCTTTGTGGGGGTCAGTTGATGTGAGGCTGAGGTGAGCCTTAGTATGTCCAGTCAGGGATTATGGGTGGGGCTGAGGGGTGGTCTGGAGAACCGGGCCCTAGGCGGGGCTCTTCCCCCTTGCAAAGGCCCCGACACTGTGTGGGGACTAAAGCGTGTGTCTGGCAGTGGGAGTGCGAAAGGGTCACATTAGGGTGGGGGTGGGGAGGGTACAGGGACTAGGAGAGGCAGTTGGAAACATTACCCAGAACAGAGATTGTGATTTAGCACATGGAACAAGTTCTCCGCCGGTGTGAGTTAGATCCCTTTGGTGAAATTGTCCTGTGGAGGAGTTGTGAGGGTTTTGCTCACTTCCAGGAACGGGTAAATTAAATGCATTTGCTGCTTTGGGGAAGAGGCAGTGATTGATTACCTTTAGGTTTGTGCTTTAGGACCCAAGCTCGGATGAAATACGTGTTCCTCGCGAAGGTTAGTGTTACCCAGCTTTCTACTGGAAACCCCCTTTTCTCCTTTGCCTTCTCTGGTCCTGTTACAGTATTGCTCCCCAGGGCCTCTCGATTCTCTCTCCCTGGTTGCATAGCATTGCAGTGTTTCTTGCAGTGTGTGTGTGTGTGTGTGTGTGTGTGTGTGTGCGCGTGCGTGTGTGTGCGCGTGCGTGTGTATGTGTGTGTGCGCGCGCGCGCGTCTCCCGCCCATTTCCCTGCTGCTGTGCTTTTGGCAACTGCCTCTGCTCTTTCCCAGGGATGGTTGTGGCATTGCATCAGGGGATATTTGTGCTTGTAATTTGCTCACTCAGCCCAGGAGGAGGGTGAATAGTATGCTGTAGAGATGGGGGGCGGGGGCAGGGTGCCGTCAGCTTGGCTGGGTAGACAGAGAAATGGGTGTGGTGAGGGAATACAGCTGCTCTAGGCCTTTGGGGTAACACTGCCCAGTCATCAGCCCAAAGAGATTCAAAGAGCACCACCAGCAGCTATTTTTATAAATCAATCCTGAATCCAAGCTGAGCACATGGATTTAGAGTGAACAGTTGTCATGCTCTATTACAAGCTGGGTGTTTGGTAGACAACATTAAAGTTGCTAAGCAGGAGACTCCCATCTGTACTGTGCAGTGTGTACTTTACTTGCAACTTTTAAACTTTGCTTTTCTCAACTCCAAAGATTGGGACATCTCTCTTCAGGCTGTGTCTTTTAAATTAACGTAGTTTGCTGATCCGTACTACTACTTTTCAAATGAAATGTTTTCACCTCAGTTACACACTTCCTTTCAAATTTAGCTTCAAAATAATAAAGCTGTCACTTTTTGAGCACTTGCCATCTCCCAGGCACTAGCTATGTTTGTTAACAGATGAGGAAATTGAGACTGATGGGAAGAAGAGGTCACACAGATAGTTAAGTGGCAAAAATGGTATCCAACCAAACCAAGGTCTCTCCAACCCCCACATAGTAGTTCAGAAACTTCAGAATTTTGGTTTACATTGGGATGATTCAAGTGCTTGAGAATTTATTCATGCAAAGTAAACAAACTCACCAGAGACTGATAAACCAGATACCAGTTAATGCATGTTGGAAGTATTAAGTGCCATGTGCACAATTGGATTTAATTGTCCACTGACCAGGACACCTCCATTGTTCTGGGCTGCCTAATCAGTAATAAAAAGGTAGTTGATTATGGAATTGGAAAGGCACTAGATATTCTTAGTGGGTATTTTTTAAATTTAAATTTTATTTATTTATTTATTTTTGAGACAGGGTCTTGCTCTGTCGCCCAGGCTGGACAGTGGCAGGATCTCGGCTCACTGCAGACTCTACCTCCGGAGTTCAAGCAGTTCTCCTGCCACAGCCTCCGGAGTAGCTGGGATTATAGGCATGTGCCACCACACTCGGCTGATTTTTGTATTTTTAGTAGAGACGGGGTTTCGCCACGTTGGACAGACTGGTCTCAAACTCCTGACCTCAAGTGATCCGCCTGCTTTGGCCTCCCAAAGTGCCCTGGGATTACAGGTGCAAGCCACCATGCCCGGCCATTTATTTTTATTTTATTCTATTTTATTTTTTAAGATGGAGTCTCGCTGTGTCATCCAGGCTGGAGTGCAGTGGCATGATCTTGGCTCACTGCAACCTCTGCCTCCCAGGTTCAAGTGATTCTCCTGCCTCAGCTTCCTGATAGCTGGGATTATAGGCACCCACCACCACACCTGGCTAATTTGTGTGTGTGTGTGTGTGTGAGTGTGTGTATATACGTGCACACACATACATATATACATACACATATACATATATATACACACATACATACATATACACACACATATATATATATTTTTTTGAGATGGAGTCTTACTCTGTTGCCCAGGCTGGAGTGCAGTGGCACGATCTCAGCTCACTGCAACCTTCGCCTCCTGGGTTCAAGTGATTCTCCTGCCTCAGCCTCCCTAGTGGCTGGAACTACAGGCACGTGCCACCACGCCTGGCTAATTTTTTGTATTTTTAGTAGAGACAGGGTTTCACTGTGTTAGGGTGGTCTCTATCTCCTGACCTCGTGTTCCGCCTGCCTCGGCCTCCCAAAGTCCTGGGATTACAGGCGTGAGCCACCGCGCCTGGCTAATTTTTGAATTTTTAGTAAAGATGGGGTTTCACCATGTTGGCCAGGCTGGTCTTGAACTCCTGACCTCAGATGATCCACCTACCTCGGCCTCCCAGAGTGTTGGGATTACAGGCATGAGCCATCACGCCTGGCCTTACGGGTATTTTAATCAAGGAACAAAAGTCTAGTGAGTCTCCCTTTCCCCAGTGTAAAAACACATACAGTGCTGGAGGATGTCTTAACACATTTTCCTACTCTGTCTCACTTGTTTTTTAAGTAGTCTCTTCAAATATTTGTCATTCCAGCATCCCTTTGTTAAAATTTTCAAATTTACAAATACATTTATATTACCTATTAAAAAGTCATTTTCCATTGTTTGCTGACAGTGAAGGAAGCACCTGGATTTTCTTATATATAGGCGGCTTAGCTTTAGTCAGAGAGTAGATTCTTCCTAATCTCATAGTGTCTTGTTCTTCCTAATCTCATAGTGTCTTGTTCTTTCCTAATCTTGTTTCTGAATTTGGTGATCAATCCTTTGGCTCTGTAAACTTTTGCTCTTGACAGTTTTTGGAATCACTTTGCTTTTTTTTTTTTTTTTTTTTAAAGATTAAGCGTGAGTAGTTGCTATGTAGCTTTTAGATTTCCTTAAGATGTGAGAAAATCTGAGAGGAACATTTTGACCCAGTGGAAGGCATCTTGGCAGTTCATGTATATAGTCAATTTGAAAAGGAAACCAAGTAAGTATCAGTGATTTCACTTTGTCTTTCTAAACAGCACTTTTAGAACCAGGTTATTGTAGACTTATTGCTAGGAGTGAGTGGGTTGAGAACAATTAAGGTTAAGAAGGGGGATTGTAGGGCTGGGTGGCTCATGCCTGTAATTCCAGCACTTTGGGAGCCTGAGGCGGAGGATTGCTTGAGGCCAGAAGTTTGATACCAGCCTGGATAACATAGTGAGACCCTGTCTCCATTAAAAAAAAAACAAAAACAACTTAGTCGGTCCCCAGATAATTTTAGTGTACAGCAAAACAACAAAAACAACAACAACAAACTTAGCTAGGTGTGGTGGCATGTGTCTATAGTCCCAGCTACTCTGGAGGCTGGGGTGGGAGGATCACTGGAGCCCAGGAGTTCAAGGCTCCAGTGATATGATTGTGCCACTGCACTTCAGCCTTGCTGAAAGAGCCAGACCTGCTCACCCCTGCAAAAAAAAAAAAAAGGGGTAATAAAGCACACTGATACATATAGGGGATCATATTCATCATACTCATCTACCATTTTAGAGCTCCTAGGCCAGTCTTTAAATGCAGACCTTATGGTGAACTATTTTGGATGTCATTAACATTTTAAGGTTGAAAGTCAACACAATTACTTTCGTGATTCTTTTTCCTTTTTTTTTTTTTTTTTTAGAGATGAGATCATGTTCTGTCAGCAGTGGGGGAGATCATAGCTCACTGCAGCCTTGAACTTCTGGCCTCAAGTGATCCTCCTGCCTCAGCCTCCCCAGTAGTTCAGACTGTGTATGTGCACCATCACACCTGGCTAACTTTTGTGATTCTTGTTCTTATTCTTTTTTTTTTTTTTTTGAGACTGAGTCTCGCTGTATTCCCAGGCTGGAGTACAGTGGCGCGATCTCAGCTCACCACAACCTCCACCTCCCGGGTTCAAGCAATTCTCCTGCCTCAGCCTCCTGAGTAGCTGGGATTACAGGCACTCCCGCTGCGACCAGCTATTGTGATTATTTATAGGTTAAAAAAGTTAATCTTCTTGGCTTGGGCATGATGGCTCATGCCTGTAATCCCAGCACTTTGGGAGGCCGAGGCAGGGGGATCACTTGAGGTCAGGAGTTCGAGACCAGCCTGGCCAACATGGTGAAACCCTGTCTCTACTAAAATACAAAAATTAGCTGGCATGGTGGCAAGCGCCTGTAATCCCAGCTACTCGCGAGGCTGAGACAGGAGAATCACTTGAATCTGGGAGGCACAGGTTGCAGGGAGCCAAGATCACGCCACTGCACTCCAGCCTGGGCAACAAGAGTGGAACTCCATCTCAAAAAAAAAAAGTTAATCTTACTGTAAACTAATATTTTATTAGTTTGCATATATTTAAATATGTTTAAAAATTTATTTATGCTGGGTGCGGTGGCTCATGCCTGTAATCCCAGCACTTTGGGAGGCTGAGGTGGGCAGATCAAGAGGTCAGGAGTTCGAGACCAGCCTGGCCAACATGGTAAAAACCCCGTCTCTACTAAAAATACAAAAATTAGCTGGGCCTGGTGGCGGGCGCCTGTAATCCCAGCTACTCGGGAAGCTGAGGCAGGAGAATCACTTGAACCCGGGAGGCAGAGGTTGCAGTGAGCCGAGACTGCACCATTGCACTCCAGCCTGGGCTACAGCGAGACTGTCTCAAAAAATAAATTTTTTTATTTATAACTTTCCTCACTTCTTTTTATATGGAAAATAGTTTAAAACTCCTTTTAAATAATTTCAGGTTTACAGAAGAGTTGTAAAGGTAGTACAGACTTTCTATATACATTCTGTATTCATTCCATTTCTCTTAGCGTTAACATTTTATATAACCTGATACCCTTATCAAAATTAAGAAATTAGCATTAGTGGAATATTATTGAGCAAACTACAGACTTTCCTCTGATTTTCCTGTGTTTTCCACTGATGTCCTTTTCCTGTTACAGGATCCAATCCAGGATACCACATTGCATTTAGATGTCACAATTCTTTAGTTTCTTCCAATAGGTGACAGTTTCTTAGTCTCTCCTTCCCTATCTTTCCTTGACACCTTTAAAGATGAGTGGTCATGCATTTGTAGAATGGTTCTCATTTTGGGTTTTCTGGTGCTTTCTCATGATTAGCCCGAGGTTATGCATTTTGGGGAAAAATACCATAGAGATGGTTTACCCTTCTTGTCACATCATATCTGGGAATACCTGATATCAACATGACTCGTTACTGATTAACTTTTTTTTTTTTTTTTTTTTTTGAGACAAAGTCTTGCTCTGTTGCCCAGGCTGGAGTGCAGTAGCATGATCTTGGCTCACGGCAACCTCTGCCTACCCAATTCAAGTGATTTTTGTGCCTTAGCCTCCCAAGTAGCTGGGACCACAGGCACGTGCCACCACACCTAATTTTTGTATTTTTAGTAAAGGCAGGGTTTTGCCATGTTGCCCAGGCTGGTCTTGAACTCCTGGCCTCATGCAGTCCACCGGCCTCATCCTCCGAAAATGCTAGGATAGCAGGCATGAGCCATTGTGCCTTGTTAACTTTGATAACTTGATTAAAGTGATGTTCTGCACTGTAAAGTGACTGTTGTTCTGCTTTTTAATTTTACTTGATAGAACCTAGAAATGAGTCACCAAGTCATATCCATATTCTGGGGGAAGGGAATTAAGCTCCAACCCCTGAAGGGAGGAGTATCAAAGAATTTGTGGGCATGTTAAAATTCCTAAAGTAATTAGTTAATATTTTGGGGAAGATAACTGTGAGGTTATACAGAATCTGATTTCTCCTTAAAAATTTCCTCTACTTATTTTAGCATTCATTAGTGAATCTTGCCTGCGGCAGCGTTGATTATATTATTCTGTTGGTTTTCTATTTTTCTAATTCTTTCTACTTTTATGATTTGGAATCCTTTTGTAAGGAAGATTTATGCCTCCCCCATTTATTTATTAAATCATTTATGTCAACATGGACCCATGAATATTTTTTTCTTTGCTTATAATCCAGTACTGTATTTTGTTGCTCAAGTTGTTCCAGCTTTGGCCATTCTAACATTGGCACCTATGTTCTTTTGAAATACCTTTCCCTACCTTTCTTTGTCTTTTAGCACTTTTGTACTTCCTGGCACTGTAAGATGCCCCAGTCTCATCTTGTACTTTACCTGCCCCAACCCTAAAATCAGCCATTTCTCCAAGGTGTCCTGGTTCCTTCTGTTGGAGAAGAGTATTTGGAAACCACTATCTGGTTTCTAAATGAGCTTGATGCACTCATTACTGCTAGGGTATCACTGCTTCTAGGCCCTCTCAGGGGATAGTTAGGAAGTAATATATATATATACTGACCCACACATATCTTCGTTTACTTCCGTATCTGTCTGTATATAAATATAAACATGAGTTTATACTGATATCTCTGATGCTGATCCAGCACCACAGAGTTCATTCTAGCATTCTCTTCCTTGCTTCTTTCTCTGAAAGTGAGAAATTTGGCTGATTTAATGAATAATACATGCTAATTTTTTCAACTCTAATATATATATGAAGTAAAAAATAGTCTTAATTGTCATATAAAGTAAATTTCCAAAGCATTTTGCAGTTGTTAACTAATTTAAATTATACTCCTATAATATTGGTATTTTAAATTACTGTTTTTCAGCTCAGGTAGAGAGATGAAATCATTTACCCTTGGCCAAACAGGAAGTGAGTGATTGTATCTAGAATTGAAGATTTATTATTTATTTATTTATTTATTTATTTTATTTATTTATTTTTTTTGAGATGGAGTCTCGCTGTTTCCCAGGCTGGAGTTCAGTGGCGCAATCTCGGCTCACTGCAAGCTGCGCCTCCGGGGTTCACACCATTCTCCTGCCTCAGCCTCCTGAGTAGCTGGGACTACAGGCGCCTGCCACCACTCCCGGCTAATGTTTTTTCTGTTTTTTGAGATGGAGTCTCGCTCTGTCGCCTGGGCTGGAGTGCAGTGGCATGATCTCGGCTCACTGAAAGCTCTGCCTCCCGGGTTCACGCCATTCTCCTGCCTCAGCCTCTTTAGTAGCTGGGAATACAGGAGCCCGCCACCACGCCTGGCTAATTTTTTGTATTTTTAGTAGAGACGGGGTTTCACCGTGTTAGCCAGGATGGTCTCTATCTCCTGACTTCGTGATCTGCCCACCTTGGCCTCCCAAAGTGCTCGGATTACAGGCGTGAGCCAGGGCGCCCGGCCAACTGGCTAATTTTTTGTATTTTTTTAGTAGAGACAGAGTTTCCCCATGTTAGCCAGGATGGTCTCGATCTCCTGACCTCGTGATCCGCCTGCCTCAGCCTCCCAAAGTGCTGGGATTACAGGCTTGAGCCACTGCACCCGGCCTATTTATTTATTTTTTAAGAGACAGAGTCTTGCTATGTTGCTCAGGCCGGTCTTGAATTCCTGGCCTCAAGCAATCCTCCTACCTCAGCCTCCCAAAGTTCTGGGATTATAGGTGTGAGCCACTGTTCCTGGCCAAATGACCTATTCTCACTCCCAGTGCTATACTTGATCCTAAGGAAAGCAGTCTCATTATCTTGACTAACAAATCAACCTTTGTCTTCTTGATGGGATTGTTCCTTTTAATTAAAGAAGTTCCTGGTATTTAGCTTTTTTAAAAAAAATACTTTCAGCAGTATTGAGAGCAAAAACAATTCTTTTTCTGGACTTCTTCCTCCTCGTAGAATCATAGAAGAGATTTAGAGATAATCTAGACAAATGTTTCACATAATAGGTGATTCCTCCAGTTCTCTATGCAGGTATTTCCCAAGATAAGTACTTCACAGCTGGTTGCTACCAATTCCAGGTTTGCAGATTTGTCATTTTAGAAAGATTTTCCGGATAATGATTGTAGATCTGCCTCCCTGCAGTTTCTCTTCAGTGGTCCTAATTTTTCTGTCTACAGTTATTCCCTGTAGCTCTAATCTCAACTTTGCACCTATTCAATGACAGTTATTTTGTCCCACCTTTTTCTTTTCCACACTAGTGGCTTTTCCCCCAGCTACCTCTCGTGAAATGTGCTTTCTAAGCCTTTTATTATTGTCAGAAGACAAAGTTACAACAAATTTATTTATAGATTTTTTTTTTTTTTTGAGACGGAGTCTCACTCTTTTGCCCAGGCCGGAGTGTAGTGGCACTATCTCGGCTCACTGCAAGCTCCGCCTCCCGGGTTCACGCCATGCTCCTGCCTCAGCCTCCCGAGTAGCTGGGACTACAAGTACCTGCCACCGTGCCCAGCTAATTTTTTGTATTATTAGTAGAGACGGTGTTTCACTTTGTTAGCCAGGATGCTCTCGATCTCCTGACCTCTTGATCCGCCCGCCTTGGCCTCCCAAAGTGCTGGGATTACAGGTGTGAGCCACCGCACCCGGCTTTTTTTTTCTTTTTAAGATGGAGTCTTGCTGTGTCACCCAGGCTGGAATGCAGTGGTGTGATCTCGGCTCACTGCAACCTCTGCCTCCTGGGTTCAGGCGATCCTCCTGCCTCAGCCTCCCAAGTAGTTGGGAGTACAGGTGCACACCACCAGGCCCCAGCTAATTTTTGTATTTTTAGTAGAGATGGGGTTTTGCCATATTGACCAGGCTGGTCTTGAACTCCTGACCTCAAGTGATGCGCCCACCTTGGCCTGCCAAAGTGCTGGGATTACAGACGTGAGCCACTGCACCCAGCTCCAGCCTTGAAATTCTTAATCAGATATAGGTTGAGTATCCATTATTTGAAATATGAGACCAGAATTGTTCATATTTTGGATTTTTTGGATTTTGGAATATCTGTAGTATACAGATATTCCAAAATGCTCTCTAGTGAGCATTTCCTTTGACATCAAAAAGTATTAGATTTTGGAGCATTTCAGATTTCGGATTTTTGTGTGTTTTTTGAGACAGGGTCTCGCTCTGTTGCCAGAGTTTAGTGGCATAATCACAGCTCACTTCAGCCTTGAACTTCTGGGCTCAGGTGATCCTCCTGCCTCAGCCTCTTGAGTAGCTGGAATTATAGGCACGTGCCACCATGCCCAGCCAATTTTTGTATTGTTTGTAGAGACAGCGTTTCACCATGTTGCCCAGGCTGGTCTCAAACTCCTAGGCTCAAGTGATCTTTTCACCTCAGCCTCCTAACATGCTGAGGATTTCATGCATGAGCCACTACACCCAGCCCAGGATTGAGATTTTTGGATTTGGGATGCTCAGCATATAATTCACTTGGGTTAGCCCACTTTCTCTTTTAGGAATAGAAATCCACTAGTAGGACTCTGGAGAGCTCTCAGTCATTTTCTTATGGGAAGAACATATTTTTATTGAAATAATTTGAATTTGGGTAGTGAGTGTGTTGCTTTGGGTGACAAGTGATTTCTCAGTTTAGGAAGGATTGGGAGCAGAGAAAGTGGGGGATAAGGCAGATTTACAGGCTTAGTTCTCTACATATCAGCTCAAGTTTCACCTTTAGAAGGTCATTCACGGCCCCTTTCTACCCTACTCTTTGATGTTTTCCCCAATGTATATCTTTGGGCATATGTCATTCCACATTTAAAAAAGTTGATACATAATTCACATATCGTAAAACTCACCATTTTAAAGCATACAATTTGGGGTAGGCATGGTAGCTCATGCCTGTAATCCCAGCAGTTTGGGAGGCTGAGGTGGGAGGATTGCTTGAGCCCAGGAGTTTGAGACCAGCATGGGCAACATAGCATGGCAACCCTGTCTCTACCAAAAAAAAAAAAAAAAAAAAAATTAGCCAGGCATGGTGGTGCACACCTGTAGTCCCAGACTCTTGGGAGGCTGAGGTGGGAGGATCATTCACTTGAGCCAAAGAATTTGAGATTGCAGTGAGCCATGATCGTGCACTCTAGCCTGGGCCACAGAGCAAGACCCTGTCAAAACAAAACAAAACAAAATCATAGAATTCAGTGGTTTTTGGTGTATTCACAATGTTGTGCAACTACCACCATTATCTAAGTCCAGAACATTTTCATTACCCCCAAAAGAAACCTCATACCCGTTAGCAGTCTCTTCCATTCCCTTCATTCACCCAGCCTCTGGCAACCACTAATCATCTTCCTGTCTGTTCTGGACATTCCATATTAATGGAATCATACAATAAATGGCCTTTCTGTGTTTGGCTTCTTTCATTTAGCATAATGCTTTTAGGTTCATCCATGTTGTAGCATGTATCATTTCATTCATTTTTATGGCTGAATAATATTACATTACATGGATATAATGCATTTTGTTTATGCATTCATCCATTGATGAACATTTGGGTTGCATTTTTTAGCTATTATGAATAATGCTCTGTGAAGATTGATATGCTTTTATATGGACATTTATTTTTGTCTAAATACCTAGAAGGAGAATTGCTTGGTTATGTGTTAATTATGTTTAACCTTTTAAAAAATTATTTATCGCCAGGCGTGGTGGCACATGCCTGTAATCCTAGCATTTTGGGAGGCTGAGGAGGGTGGACTGCTTGAGCCCAGCAATTCAAGACCAGCCTGGGGCAGGCAATATGGTGAGACCCTGTCTCTATAAAAAAAAAAAAATTAAAACCAGAAAATTATTTTTTTCTTCTCTTTCTTTCTTTCTTTTTTTTTTTTTTGAGACTGAGTTTCGTTCTTGTTGCCCAGGCTGGAGTGCAATGGCACGATCTCAGCTCATGGCAACCTCCGCCTCCCGGGTTCAAGTGATTCGATTCTCCTGCCTCAGCCTCCTGAGTAGCTGGGATTACAGGCATGTGCCACCATGCCCGGCTAATTTTGTATTTTTAGTAGAGTGGGGTTTCTCCATGTTGGTGAGGCTGGGCTCGAACTCCCAACCTCAGGTGATCTGCCCACCTCCGCCTCCCAAAGTGCTGGGATTACAGGCGTGAGCCACCGTGCCTGGCTTTCTTTTCTTTTTTGAGACAAGATCTTGCTCTGTCACTCAGGCTAGAGTGCAGTGATGCGATCATGATTCACTGCAGCCTTGACCTCCAGGGCTCAGGTGATTCTTCCACCTCAGCCTTCTGGATAGCTGGCATTGTAGGTGTGTGCCACCACACCTGGATAATTAAAAAAAACAATTTTAATTAGAGATGGGGTCTCCTTATATTGCCCAGTGAACTCCTGGGCTGAAGCAATCCTCTTGCTTGGCCACCCAAAGTGCTGGGATTACAGGTGTGAGCCACCATGCCTGACTGATAGTATCTTTTGAAACACAAAAGTTTTAAATTTTGATGAAGTCCAGTTTATCTAGTTTTTTCTTGGTTGCTTGTGCTATAGGTGTCACATCTAAGAAACGATTGCCTAATTTAAGGTGATAAAGATTTCTCTTTTGTTTGTTTTTTTCATTCGTTTGTTCTTTCGTTCGTTCGTTCTTTCTTCTTTCCGAGACAGGGTCTCTGTCTTTTGTCCAGGCTGGAGTGCAGTGGCATGATATCTGCCCACTGCAGCCTCCACCTCTCAGGCTCAAGCTATCCTTCCACCTCAGTCTCCTGAGTAGGTAGGACTACAGGTGTGCACCATGATGCTTGGCTAATTTTGGTAACCTTTTTTTTTTTTTTTTTAAGATGTAGTCTCGTTCTGTCACCCAGGCTGGAGTGCAGTGGTGCGATCTCTGCTCACTGTAAGCTCCACCTCCCGGGTTCATGCCATTCTCCTGCCTCAGCCTCCCAAGTAGCTGGGACTACAGGTGCCCACCACCATGCCCGGCTAATTTTTTTTTTTTGTATTTTTAGTAGAGATGAAGTTTCACCATGTTAGCCAGAATGGTCTTGATCTCCTGACCTCATGATCTGCCCACCTCGGGCTCCCAAAGTGCTAGGATTACAGGCGTGAGCCACTGCGCCCGGCTGAGATGTGGTCTTACTATGTTGTCCAGGCTGATCTCGAACTCCTGGGCTCAAGTGATCCGCTTTCCTTGCCTCCCAAAATGCTGGGATTATAGGTGTAATTTATGTTTCTTTAAATAATTTTATAGTTTTAGCTGTTGTATTTAGTTTTTTTTTTATCAATTTCAAATTAATTTTTATACATGATGTGTGAGGTAGGAATCCAAAATCTTTTTCTTTGTTTCTTTTTTTTTTTTTTTTTTGAGATGGAGTTTCACTCTGTCGCCCAGGCTGAAGTGCAATGACGTGATCTCGGCTCACTGCAGCCTCCACCTCCCGGGTTCAAGCGATTCTCCTGCCTCAGCCTCCCAAGTAGCTGGGATTACAGGTGCCCGCTACCACACCCAGCTAATTTTTGTATTTTTAGTAGAGACTGGGGTTTCACCATGTTGGCCAGGCTGGTCTCGAACTCCTGACCTCGGGTGATTCACCTGCTTTAGCCTCCCAAAGTGCTGGGATTACAGGCGTGAACCACTGCGCCCGGCCCAAAATCTTTTTCATTTGTTTTTTTTGGTGTGTGGATATCTAGTTGTCCTTGAACCAGTTGTTGAAAAGACTTCTTTTTCCATTGAATTGTGTATCATCTTAGCATCCATGTTTTGAGTCAATTGACCACAGAGGTGTGGGCTTATTTCTGGACTTTCTTTTTTTTTGAGACAGTCTTGCTCCGTTGCCCAGGCTGGAGTGCAGTGGCGTGATCGCAGCTCACTGTAACCTCTCTGCCTTCCAGGTTCAAGCAATTCTCCTGCCTCTGCGTCTTGAGTAGCTGGGATTACAGGCATGCACCACCACACCCAGCTAATTTTTATATTTTTGGTAGAGACGGGGTTTCACCATTTTGGTCAGACGGGTCTTGAACTCCTGACCTCAAGTGATCCGCCTGACTCGGCCTCCCAAAGTTCTGGGATTACAGGTGTGAGCCACCGTGCCCGGCCTGGACTTTCAATTCTATTGCATTGGTGTACGTCTATGCCAGTACCATCATGCTTGCTTTCTTGTATTTTCACCCTGTGGTACTACTATCTGCTACTATCTGCATAAATATGCTGTCTTGATTAATGTACTTTTGTAATATGTTTTGAAATTAGGAAGTGTGAGTTTTCTAATTTTGTTTTTTTGAAGATTGTTTTGGCTATTCTGGATCCTTGGCATTTCCATTTGAGCTTTAGGATTAACTTGGCAACTTTTGCAGAAAAGGCAGTTGGAATTTTGATAGGGAATGCCTTAAATCTGTAGATCAATTTAGAGAGTGCTGCCATCTTAACAATGTCAGATCTTCCACTTCATGAACGTGGGATGCCTTTCCATTTGTTTATGTCTTTAATTTCTTTCAAGAATATTTTTTAAGCTGAGTGTGGTGGTGGCTGACACCTGTAATCCCAGCACTTTGGGAGGCTGAGGTGAGAAGATTGCTTGAGCCCAGGAGTTCGAGACCAGTCTGGCCGACATATCACACACACACACACACACACACACACACACACACACACACACACACACAATTAGCTGGATGTGGTGGCTTGCCCCTGTAATCCTAGCTACTCATCAGGGTGAGGATAAGGTGGGAGGATCCCTTCAGCCCAGGACGTCGATCTGTGATCCTGCCATTGCAATCCAGCATGGGCAACAGAGTGAGCCTCTGTCTCAAAAAAAAAAAAAAAAAAAAAAGTGTGTGTATATATATATATAATGTATTTTGTAGTTTTTTTTTCTTTTATTATTATACTTACAAGTTCTAGGGTACATGGGCACAATGTGCAGGTTTGTTACATATGTATACATGTGCCATGTTGGTGTGCTGCACCCATTAACTCATCATTTACATTAGGTATAACTCCTAATGCTTTCCCTCCCCCCTCCCCCCACCCCATGACAGGCCCTAGTGTGTGACGTTCCCCACCCTGTGTCCAGGTGTTCTCATTGTTCAATTCCCACCTATGAGTGAGAACATGCGGTGTTTGGTTTTCTGTCCTTGTGATAGTTTGCTCAGAATGATGGTTTCCAGCTTCATCCATGTCCCTACAAAGGACATGAACTCATCCTTTTTTATGGCTGCATAGTGTTCCATGGTGTATATGTGCCACATTTTCTTAGTCCAGTCTATCATTGATGGACATTTGGGTTGGTTCCAAGTCTTTGCTATTGTGAATAGTGCCGCAGTAAACATACATGTGCATGTGTCTTTAAAAGACACATGATTTATAATCTTTTGGGTATATGCCCAGTAATGGGATCGCTGGGTCAAATGGTATTTCTAGTTCTAGATCCTTGAGGAATCGCCACACTGTAGTCCACAATGGTTGAACTAGTTTTACAGTCCCACCAACAGTGTAAAAGAGTTCCTATTTCTCCACATCCTCTCCAGCTATTTTGTAGTTTTTAGTGTACAAGTCTTTTACTTTAAATTTATTCCTTAGTATTTTATTCCTTTTGATGCTATTGAAAATGGAATTATTTTCTTATTTCATTTTGTGTTGTTGATTGCTGGTATAGAGAAATAAAAGATTTTTATAGATCTGGTATTCTGTGGCCTTGCTGAACTTTTTTTTTCTTCTTTTTTTTTTTTGAAATGGAGTTTTGCTTTTATCACCCAAACTGGAGTGCAATGGAGCGATCTCGGCTCTCCGCAACCTCCGCCTCCTGGGTTCAAGCGATTCTCCTGCCTCAGCCTCCCAAGTAGCTGTGATTACAGGCATGTGCCACCATGCCTGGCTAATTTTGTATTTTTAGTAGAGTCGGGGTTTCTCCATCTTGGTCAGGCTGATCTCATACTCCCGACCTCAGGTGATCCCACCCGCCTCAGCTTCCCTAAGTGCTGGGATTACAGGTGTGAGCCACCGCACCCGGCTGAACTTGTTTACTAATGCTAATTTGTGTGTGTGTGTGTGTGTGTGTGTGTGTGTGTGTGTGTGTGTGTGTGTGTGTATTCCTTTGGATTTCCATATTGTTTTAAAATTATGATTATTTTTTGAGATGGAGCCTCTCTGTTGCCCAGGCTGGAGTGCAGTGGCACAATCTCTGCTCACTGTAACCTCTGCTTCCCAGGTTCAAATGATTCTCCTGCCTCAGCCTCCTGAGTAGGTGGGATTACGGGCATGTGCCACCATTTTTAGTAGACAGGGTTTCACCATGTTGGCCAGGCTCGTCTCCAACTCCTGACCTCAAGTGATCCACCAGCTTCAGCCTCCCAAAGTGCTGGGATTACAGGCGTGAGCCACTGCACTTGGCCTAAAATTAAATATATCTTGTCACTGGCCTGAGAGTCCCTTGAAGTCAGAGACCATACTTCATTTCTTGTTTCTCTTTCTCTACTGGCAAATGTATGTTCAATTGATGCTGCAGTCAGGTGCTACAGTAGTGGGACTTAGCGGAGCATAATGCCACTAATGACTTGGAAAATGGCACAGAAGGGAAGTGGGATATTGTAAAACTATTTTTACCTATTATAAAATGCTTCCTGAGGTCCAGGAAAGGCAATTCTCACGTTTGTCTCTGCTCTTCTATACCTTTTGCCCCTAATTATCCTTTGTTTCTGGAACTCAGAATACTAAGGATCATAAAGTTAGGCATTTAAGAATAGGAACATTAATTTGATTTTATATATTATTTCCCTAGGGAAATGTGTTCTGGCCTCATTAAAAAAATAGTTTTTTCATGAATTTATAATTTATTTTTTTGGGACAGAGTCTCACTCTGTTGCCCAGGCTGGAGTGCAGTGGCGCCTTCTTGGCTCACTGCAGCCTCTGCTTCCTGGGTTCAAGTGATTCTCCTGTCTCACCCTCCCAAGTAGCTGGGACTACAGGCACACGCTGCCACACCCAGGTAATTTTTGTAGAGACGCAGTTTTGCCATGTTGGCCAGGCTGGTCTTGTGAATGCCTGACCTCAAGTGATCCGCCCACCTCGGCCTCCCAAAGTGCTGGGATTACAGGCATGAGCCAGCGTGCCTGGCCAAATTTATTATTAGTAGTAGTAGTAGTATTTTTGAGATGGAGTTTCCATCCCAGGCTGGAGTGAAGTGACATGATCTTGGCTCACTGCAACTTCCGCCTCCTGGGTTCAAGTGATTCTCCTGCATCAGCCTCCCGAGTAGCTGGGATTATAGGCGCATGTCACCATGCCTGGCTAATGTTTATGTTTTTAGTAGCCAGGCTGGTCTCGAACTCCTGACCTCAAGCGATCCACCTGCCTGGGCCTCCCAAAATGCTAGGGTTACAGACGTGAGCCACTGCTCCTGGCCTCATTAATTTATTTATTTTTATTTTTTATTTTTTTGAGACCAAGTCTAACTCTGTTGCCTAGGCTGGAGTGAAGTGGCGCGATCTTGGCTCGCTGCAACCTCTGCCTCCTGGGTTCAAGCAATTCTCCTGCTTTAGCCTCCCGAGTATCTGGGACTACAGGTACGCACCACCACACCCTGCTAATGGGGTTTCACCACATTAGCCCAGCCAGTCTCGAGCTCCTGACCTCTAGTGATCTACCTGCCTTGGCCTCCCAAAGTGCTGGAGTTACAGGTGTGAGCGACTGCACCCGGCTACTTTTTTCATGAATTTAGAAGTATTTATCGTAATGATTGGCTATGTTCATTGTTAATTCTGTGTTCAGATTTTTTCTCTTTTCTTTTTTTCTTGAGATGGGTCTCAGTCCATTGCCCAGGCTCTGGAGTGTGGTTTGGCATCATGGCTCATTGCAGCCTTGACCTTCTGGTTTCAGGTGATCCTCCCAACTTCAGCCTTATGGGTATCTGGGACTGCAGGCGTGTGCCACCACACCTGGCTGATTTTTTTTGGTATTTTTTTTGTAGAGACAGGGTTTCACTATGTTGCCCAGGCTGGTCTCGAACTCCTGAGCTCGAGCGATCTGCCCATCTTGGCCTCCCAGAGTTCTGGGATTACAGCTGTGAGCCACCGTGCCTGGCCCTCAGATTTCTTCTTGAGTAAACTCAAGCTTACTTATTTTCCTTTCCCTCTTATTCACTAAGTTACAGAGACATGGGGGTAACAAACCATTTGCAGTTAAAGGGCAGTATCTGACCCATTTGTTTGTTATATTTTTGTCTGCCCTTTATTACGAGACATGGAGAAATGCTTTTTAAAAGCACACTGTACTTCAAAAAGGGGTAGTTCCTTTTTACTTCATTTTATTTATTTTTTTGAGACAAGGTCCCACTCTGTCACCCAGGCTGGAGTGCAGTGGTGTGATCACTGCTCCCTGTAGCCTTGACCTCCCAGGCTCCAGTGATCCTCCTGCCTTAGCCTACCAAGTTGATAGGACTACAGGCGCTCACCACCATATGGACCTGGACCTGGCTAAGTTTTTGCTTTTTTTTTTTTTTTTCCTGTAGAGACGAGATCTCACTATGTTGCCCAGGCTGGTCTCTTAACTCCTGGCCTCAAGTGATCCTCCTGTCTCTGCCTCCCAAAGTGCTGGGATTACAGGTGTGAGCCACCACACCTGGCCCACAGTTCCCTTTTAATAAGAAAATACTAAAAATTTTTTTAAAAGAATGTATTGGTGGGTCCACACTTCCAACCTGTTCTACAAAAACACAAAATAGGGCCAGGTACAGTGGTTTACACCTGGAATCCCAGCACTTCGGATACCAAGGATGGGAGGATTGCTTGAGGCCAGGAGTTCAAGACCAGCCTAAGCAGCATAGTGAGACCCCATTTGTACAAAAAGTAAAAAATTAAAAAAAACTCAGAACAGATAAAGAAGATGAAATTACCACAAAGAAAGCAAAAAAGGCCAAGAGTAAAATTAAAATTGAAGAAGATGGAGAAGAAGGAAAAGTAGTAGTGGTAGAAGAAGAGGTCTCTGTGAAGAAGAAGAAGGATAAAAAGAAACCGTGGTTGGGCATGGTGGCTCACACTTGTAATCCCAGCACTTTGGGAGGCTGAGGTGGGAGGATCACTTGAGGCCAGGAGTTCAAAACAAGCCTGGTTAAGTAGCACCTGAGGAGGGAGAAAAAAAAAGAAAAAAGAGACTATCCTGGCCAACATAGCAAGACCCCATCTCTGAAAAAAAAAAAGTTAAAAAAAATTATCTAGCCATGGTGGTGTCTGTAGTCCCAGCTACTCAGCAGGCTAAGGCAGGAGGCTTACTTGAGCCCAGGAGTTTGAGGTTACAGTGAGCTATGATCGTGCCACTACATTCTAGCCTGGGTAATGGAGTGAGACCCTGTCTCAGAAAAAAAATTTTTTTTCACTAATATTGCTAGTTTAATAGGTTAAAAAAAGGGATAATCTCACACTTTTAATCACATCTGATTTTCTTAAAACAATAACATCAGTATTGCATGGTCATATATCTGATAATTAAAGGTAAGTTTGGGTCACCGATAATGAGGTTCTCTGATATAGCCAGTTGCTTTAGTACTCAACCAATTTAGTATGTTCCATTTTAGCAAGTTCTCTTGGGCTGAGTATATTTTAAGAGTGTCAGTGGCTACCCAGACAGTTGTTCTTTATCAAGCTAAAATAAGATAACAATAATAGGGACAAAAAAATGTTTGAAAGATATTCTGAATAACTTTGTGTGCTCAGTATAGCTGAGACTTGCTGAGATGCTTCAGAGGCAAACCAGTCAGCCTATTTCATCAGCCAGAGGTGGGGTGCCTTTCAACAGTGTGTTGTCTAAAAGTCTAAGGTAGACTTGCCCAAATTAACAAACTTTGCAATTATCAGTGACAGGCAACTATAGTATGGCAGTAATAGCACTGGACTGAGTGTCAAAAGACCAAGGTTCAGGTTTCATCTGTACCACATAATAACTGTGAGGTCTGGGGCAGATCAGTCTATCTGTTTCCTTATTTATAAAATCAAGGTTGTGAGAATTAAGGGCTTCGTGACTGGGATGGGTGACCTTCAGAATGCTAGTAAGACACTGTCTAGTGATACAAATCAGAAAATAATTTTTGTGTATATGGAATTGGTGAAGCATTGATGTTTTCAATGGAAATTACATTCCCTGTAAGTTTCATTGGGTTATATAGATGGCAAATTGGCTGTGAAATATGAAACTCATGGACTTACTGGAACCACTTTGAGTCCCAGAATAATTCTGCCTTCTCCTAAGGTCATTTACTAAGTTGTAGCTGAGTCAGAATTTGAACTTTAATCTCTAGCATTCTTTCTACTGTGTTCAATTTAATACCACGGATATTTATATACCTTCTAGGTGCATACACTGTGGTAAGTGCTGTAGGTGATTTTTTAAAAAGTAAAATAGAAGAAACAATACACACTGACTTTAAAACACTGACTTTATTATTAAAAGTGTCATGATACACACTGTAAATGCTATACATATTGTGCATAGGTATGAATGACTAAGTGGATTTAAATGAATGTCTTAGGAGCCTGGCATGGTGAACTGTACCCATAGTCCCAGCTTCTTTGAGACGGACGCTCTGTTGCCCAGGCTGGAGTGCAGTGGTGCGATCTTGGCTCACTGCAACCTCCACTTCCTGGGTTCAAGCGATTCTCCTGCCTCTGCCTTCCGAGTAGCTGGGATTACAGGCGCCTGCCACCACACCTGGCTAATTTTTTGTATTTTTAGTAGAGATGGGATTTCACCGTGTTGGCCGGGCTGGTCTGGAACTCCTCGTGATCCGCCCGCCTTGGCCTCCCTAAGGGCTGGGATTACAGGCGTGAGCCACCACACCTGGCCAGTCCCAGCTTCTTGAGAAGCAGAGGCGGGAGAATCACTTGAGCCTTGGAGTTCAAGTACAACCTGGACAACATAGTGAGATCCTACCTCTAAAATATAAATAAATAAAATAAATGCCTTAAGGAGATCATGGTGCTTTGTTGAATTGACTCACAGCCAAGGATTCAGTTAATTTTCATTAGTTTTTAATTAGTAGAGCTGGATGTTTATTACTTAAATATTCCTTTTTTTTTTTTTTTTTTTGAGACAGAATCTTGCTCTGTTACCCAGGTTGGAGTGCAGTGGCACGATCTTGGCTCATTGCAGCCTCTGCCTCCTGGGCTCAAATGATCTTCCCACCTCAGCCTCCTGAGTAGCTGGGATTACAGGTGTGTGGCACCATGCCTGGCTAATTTTTGTATTTTTTGTATAGATGGGGTTTCACCATGTTGTCCAGGCTAGTCTTGAACTCCTGAGCTCAAGTGATCTGCCTACCTCAGCCTCCCAAAGTGCTGGGATTACAGGTATGAGCCATCACACCTGGTCCTTAAATATTATTTAAAATAGTTTTTAAAAAAATGCTTCTCTGGGCCAGTTGCAGTGGCTCACGCCTGTAATCCCAGCACTTTGGGAGGCCAAGGCAGGTGGATTGCTTGAGGCCAGGAGTTCAAAACCAGCCTTGCCAACAGGGCAAAACCCCATCTCTACTAAAAATACAGAAATCAGCCGGCCATGGTGGTGCATGCCTATAATCCCAGCTACTCGGGAGGCTAAGGCAGGAGAATCGCTTGAACCCAGGAAGCAGAGGTTGCAGTGAGCCGAGATTGTGCCACCGCACTCCAGCCTGGGTGGCAGAGTGAGACTCTGTCTGGGGATTTAAAAAAAAAAAAAAAAAAGGTTTCTCTTGTTAACTTTGAGACAGTAACGGGGAGGTGGTATTATTCAGGTAGTCAGAAGCATAAATGCCCAGACCGCCTCTATATTTTTAAACCTAAGAAAGTGAAACCCCTGTCTCTACAAAACATGTAAAAATTAGCTGTGCACTGTGGCTTGTGCCTGTAGTCCTAGCTACTCTGGGAGGCTCAGGTGGTAGAATTACATGAGCCCAGCAGATAGAGGCTGCAGTAAGCCATGATTGCACCACTGCAATCCAGCTTGGCGCAATCACGCCAAAAAAAATTTAAAAATATAAATGAAAATACAGGGGAACATAATATTCCAGACCTTTAGTATTGTGTTGAGGTTTTTTTTTCCCCTCTACTGTAAAATGAGAGTGTTCAGTTTTAAGAGGCACATTTTCGGAGCATGGATAGAGTCTTTCCAGGAGAAAACAGTCTGTCTGGTGATGGAGTAATTAAAATGATTTGAGACATTATTTAAGGAATTAGAGGCTGGGCGCGGTGGCTCACGCTTGTGATCTCAGCACTTTGGGAGGCTAAGGTGGGCGGATTACCAGGTCAGAAGATCGAGACCATCCTGGCTAGCATGGTGAAACCCCATCTCTACTGAAAATACAAAAAATTAGCCGGGCGTGGTGATGGGCGCTTGTGGTCCCAGCTGCTCAGGAGGCTGAGGCAGGAGAATGGTGTGAACCTGGGAGGCGGAGCTTGCAGTGAGCCGAGATCGTACCACTGCTCTCCAGCCTGGGCGACAGAGCGAGACTCCGTCTCAAAAAAAAAAAAAAAAAAAAAAAAAAAAAAAAAAAAGGAATTAGAGATGTTTCATTTAGAGAATAAAGAGGTGGGGACAGCTATTTTCAAATACAGTTGTCCCTCGGTATTCATGGGAGATTGGTTCTCAGACCTCCTGCAGATAAGAAAATCTGAGGATGATAAGGTCCCATATATAAAATGATGTACCTCTGCATGTCCTGCGATATACTTGGCGCACGCCTGTAATCCCAGCTACTTAGGAGGTTCAGGCACGAGAATCACTTGAACCCGGGTAGCAGAGGTTGCAGTGAGCGGAGATTGCGCCTCTGCACTCCAGCCTGGGAGGCAGAGTGAAACTGTGTCTCAAAAAATAAAATAAAATAAAAAATATATATATGTGATGGCTGAATCCAAGGATGTGGAACCTGTGGCTTTGGAGGGCTAACTATATATCAAAGATCTGGCAAGTGGAATAGGCATTAGATTTAGTATTTTGTTGCTTTGACAAAAGAACAAGGACCATCAAGTAGAAGTTAAAGAGAAAAATGGAATGTAACTTTCTTATAAGATAGTGAGTTTCCTCATGTTAAAGTAAGATACTGAGTTTAACTTATGTTAAAACAGAGCCAGGGTATTTAGAGATACTGGGGAGGAAGTTAAGTTGAATGACCTTTAATGTTTTTGTAAATAAATGGTTCTTAATTTCATGAGTATATATCCCCTTGAGAATCTAACCAACAGCAAAGACCCTGTCCCCAGAAAACTTCTACGGATATACTATATAGGTATATATTTTCTTTCATCCTTGAAAACTACTTTTTTGGGGGGCATAGTATTGTATGTTTGTTTGTATGTTTATTAGTATTGCATTTTATTTTCTTTCAGTTTATTGAATTTATCGTTTCTTTTTTTGTTGTTTTTGTAGAGATGGGGTCTTACTATGTTGCCCATGCTTGTCTCAAACTCCTGGACTCAAGCAATCCTCCCACCTCAGCCTTCCAAAGTGCTGGAATTACAGGTGTGAGCCACCCTGTCCAGCCTTGAACTTATCATTCCATTATCTTCTGGCTTACATTGTTGCTTGAGAAGTTAGCCTTGGTGTTAATATCTGTCAGGTACTCTGTGGCATCACTAGTTTTTTATTTCCTCAAACTGCATGACTTGACAGTCATTGGCTTATCCAGATTATAAGAAACTAAGATGCCAGTGCATACAGGGATTCCTCGTGGCTATGATTTCTCAGGAATTTTTTATTCTTTTGATTTGCTCAACACCAAGGCAGGCTTCTATATAGTCCGCTAGGGATAGTGAAAAATTTGGGGCTTGGTTTAGATTGGAGAGGTATATGGTGGGGTGTCTTATAAGGCTTAACTTTGGGAGGGCCCAGGGCCTTGATTTCTGTCCCCCTTGCCTTGTGTGGCCTTTGAATTGAAAGCTTTGGATTAGGCCTTCATAGATTTTAGTGTGCATACAAATCACATGATCTTTTTATAAGGCAGATTCTGATTCTGAAGGTTTAGTGTGGGACCCAAGATTTTGCATTTCTGATCTATAAGGTGATGCTAATCCTGTTGGTCTACAGATGACACTTTAAGTTGTAAGGAGTTAGATTGCTATGTTTGAGATGTGAGTGGTATTAGTAATGTTAGTCATGGTTATGAGGTGGTACAGTAGTATATAAAGAATGAAGATCATTCCATTGTGCAGAGGTTCTTTTTTAAAATTAATAGACTTTTCTTTTTTTTAAGAGACAGTGTCTTGCTTTGTTACCCAAGTTGGAGTGCAGTGGCACGATCATAACTCACTGCAGCCTGGAACTTCTGGGTTCAAGCAGTCCTCCTGCCTCAGCCTCCACAGTAGATGGGACTACACGTGCACACTACCAAGGCTGGCAATTTTTTTTCTTTTTTTGTAGAGATGGGTACTTTCTATATAGTGGAGCTGAAAATTTTTCATTGCCTAGTGATGTAATGCTTGGCATAACACCTTAGTTTTTCTGTTTTTAGATATGTTTAGATACACAGATGCTTACCATTGTGTTACAACTGCCTGCAGTATTCAGTAGTTACATGCTGTACAGGTTTGTAGCCTAGGAGCAACAGATTATACCATATAGCCTAGATGTGTAGCAGGCTGTACCATCTAGGTTTGTTTAGTACACTCTATGACAGTTGCACAATGATGAAGTCACCTAACACATTTCTTAGAATGTATTCCCATTGTTAAGTGATGCATGACTGTCTAATTGTAACCACCCAACGGGGTCACCTTGCCCGCTGGCTCAACAGAACCTATTTATCAAGATGGGAATTACAGTAGAGAAAGAGTAATTCAAGCAGAACTGACTGTGTGGGAGACCAGAGTTTTATTATTACTTAAATCAGTCTGTCCGAGAATTTGTGAATTGGAGTTTTAAAGGATAATTTTGTGGGTAGGGGACCAGTGAGTCAGGAGTTCTGATTGATTGGGTTGGAGATGAAATCATAGGTAGTTGAAGCTGTCCTCTTGTGCTGAGTCAGTTCCTGGGTGGGGGCCACAAGACAAGATAGGCCAGTTTATATCAGTCTGGGTGGTGCCAGCTAATCCATTGAATATAGGGTCTGCAAAATATCTCAAACACGATCTTGGGTTTTACAATAATGATGTTATCCCCAGGAGTAATTTAGGGAGGTTTAGAATCTTGCAGCCTCTAGCTGCATGACTCCTAAACCATGATTTCTAATCTTGTTAGAATTTGTTAGTCCTGCAAAGGCAGTCTAGTCCCCAGCCAGGAAGGGGGTTTGTTCTGGGAAAACTAACCTAAACTGTAAACTAAGTTCCTCCCAAACAAAGTTAGTTTGGGCTAAGTCTAGGAATGAACAAGGACAGCTGGGAGGTTAGAAGCAGGATGGAGTTGGTTAGATCAGATCTCTTTCACTGTAATAATTGTCTCAGTTATAATTTTTGCAAAGATGGTTTCATAATAATATGTATATGGAATAGTTTCACTGCCCTAAAAATCCCCTGTACTCCACCTATTTATCCCTACTTCTTCCCCTTAACTACTGTAACCACTAATATCTTTCTGTCTTCATAGTTTTGCCTTTTTCACAATGTCGTATAGTTAGAATTATACAGTATATAGCCTTTCAGATTGGCTTTTTTTTCACCTAGCAATATGCATTTGAGGTTTCTCAATGTCTTTTTGTGGCTTGATGGCTCATTTCTTTTTATTGCTGAATAGTATTCCATTGTCTGGGTACACTACAATTTGCTTATCCATTCACCTATTAAAGGCATCCTAGTTGGTTCCAAGTTTTGGCAATTGTGAATAAAGCTACTATAAATGTCCACATGTAGGTTTTTGTGTTGACATGAGTTTTCATCTTTGGGTAAATATCAAGGAGTGCAATTGCTGGATTGTGTGGTGAGAGAGTATGTTTAGTATTGTAAGAACCTCCCAAACTGGGTATAACTTTTTTTTTTTTTTTTTAAGACACAGGTCTCGCTATGTTGTTCAGGCTAGACTCATCTCCTGGGCTCAAGCAATCCTCTTGGCTTAGCGTCCTGAGTAGCTGGGACTATAGGTGATTCCAGCTCACCTTGCTGGCTGTACCATTTTGCATTTCCACTAGCAATGAATGAGATTTCCTATTGTTTGACATCCTTGTCAGCACTTGGTGTTGTGCTTTGGATTTTGGCCATTCTGATACGGACACGGTGGCATCTCATTGTTGTCTTTTTTTTTTTTAATGAATTTGAAGTCTTTTTTTCTTATTAATAATTTCTTTTAACCACGGTTGTCAGAATTATTGTTGTCTTAATTGGCAATTCTCTGATGACATATGTTATTGAACATCTTTTCGTTCATATGCTTATTTGCCATTCGTATATCGTTGGTGAAGTGTCTGTTCAGATCTTTTGCCTATTTTTAAAATGGGGTTGTTCATTTTCTTTCTTTTTTTTTTTTTTGAGACAGAGTTTCACTCTTGTTGCCTAGGCTGGAGTGCAATGGCACGATCTTGGCTCACAACAACCTCCCGCCTCCCAGGTTCAAGTGATTCTCCTTCCTCAGCCTCCCGAGTAGCTGGGATTACAGGCATGTGCCACCACGCCTGGCTAATTTTTTGTATTTTTAGTAGAGATGGGGTTTCTTCATGTTGGTCAGGCTGGTCTCGAACTCCCAACCTCAGGTGATCTGCCCGCCTCAGCCTCCCAAAGTGCTGGGATTACAGGCGTGAACCACCACGCCCAGCCACATTGTTCATTTTCTTTTTTTTAATTTATTTTTAATTTTTTAAATTTTTTTATTTTTTAAACATTATTTTATTTTTAATTGACAGATAACAATTGTACATAGTCATGGGGTACATAGTGATGTTTTTTTTTTTTTTTTTTTTTTTATTGATCATTCTTGGGTGTTTCTCGCAGAAGGGGATTTGGCAGGGTCATAGGACAATAGTGGAGGGAAGGTCAGCAGATAAACAAGTGAACAAAGGTCTCTGGTTTTCCTAGGCAGAGGACCCTGCGGCCTTCCGCAGTGTTTGTGTCCCTGGGTACTTGAGATTAGGGAGTGGTGATGACTCTTAAGGAGCATGCTGCCTTCAAGCATCTGTTTAACAAAGCACATCTTGCTCCGCCCTTAATCCATTTAACCCTGAGTGGACACAGCACATGTTTCAGAGAGCACCGGGTTGGGGGTAAGGTCATAGATCAACAGCATCCCAAGGCAGAAGAATTTTTCTTAGTACAGAACAAAATGGAGTCTCCTATGCCCACTTCTCTCCACACAGACACAGCAACAATCTGATTTCTCCATCTTCTCCCCACATTTCCCCCCTTTCTACTCGACAAAACCGCCATCCTCATCATGGCCCGTTCCCAGTGAGCTGTTGGGTACACCTCCCAGACGGGGTGGCGGTCAGGCAGAGGGGCTCCTCACTTCCCAGAAGGGGCGGCTGGGCAGAGGTGCCCCCCACCTCCCGGACGGGGTGGCGGCCGGGCGGAGGCGCCCCCCACCTCCCGGACGGGGTGGCTGGCCGGGCGGGGGCTGCCCCCCACCTCCCTCCCGGATGGGGCGGCTGGCCGGGTGGGGGCTGCCCCCCACCTCCCTCCCGGACGGGGCGGCTGGCCGGGCGGGGGCTGCCCCCCACCTCCCGGACTGGGCGGCTGCCGGGTGGAGACGCTCCTCACTTCCCAGACGGGGCGGCTGCCGGGCAGAGGGGCTCCTCACATCCCAGACGATGGGCGGCCAGGCAGAGACGCTCCTCACTTCCCAGACGGGGTGGCGGCCGGGCAGAGGCTGCAATCTTGGCACTTTGGGAGGCCAAGGCAGGCGGCTGGGAGGTGGAGGTTGTAGCTAGCTGAGATCACGCCACTGCACTCCAGCCTGGGCAACATTGAGCACTGAGTGAACGAGACTCCATCTGCAATCCCGGCACCTCAGGAGGCCTAGGCTGGCAGATCACTCGCAGTTAGGAGCTGGAGACCAGCCCGGCCAACAGGCGAAACCCCGTCTCCACCAAAAAAATACGAAAACCGGTCAGGCGTGGCGGCGCGTGCCTGCAATCGCAGGCACTCGGCAGGCTGAGGGAGGAGAATCAGGCAGGGAGGTTGCAGTGAGCAGAGATGGCAGCAGTACAGTCCAGCTTCGGCTCGGCATCAGAGGGAGACCGTGGAAAGAGAGGGAGAGGGAGAGGGGGAGGGGGAGGGGGAGGTGTTCATTTTCATATTAAATTTTAAGAGCTCTTTGGGTCCAGGCGCGGTGGCTCACGCCTGTAATCCCAGCACTTTGGAAGGCCGAGGTGGGTGGATTACGAGGTCAGGAGATTGAAACCATCCTGGCTAATGTGGTAAAACCCCATCTCTACTAAAAATACAAAAAAATTAGCCGGGCGTGGTGGCGGGTACCTGTAGTCCCAGCTACTTGGGAGGCTGAGGCAGGAGAATGGCGTGTACTTGGGAGACGGAGCTTGCAGTGAGCCGAGATCGCACCACTGTCCTCCAGCCTGGGCGACAGTGAGACTCCGTCTCAAAAATAAAAAAAGTTATTTGTATATTTTGTTTCGTTTTTAATTTTTTATTTATTTTGAGATTGGGTTGTAAGACTGGCTACATTTTTTTTGTATTATTATTATTTTTTTTTTTGTAGAGACAGGGTTTCGACACGTTGCCCAGGCTGGTCTTGAACTCCTGGGCTCCTGTGATCCATCTCCCTCGGCCTCCCAAAGTGCTGGGATTATAGGCGTGAGCCACTGCGCCTGGCCTCTGTATATTTTGGATACCAGTTCTTTGTCAGAGATGTGTTTTGCAAATATTTTCTCCCAATCTGTTGAGTTTCTATTCTCTTAGCAGTGTATTTTGCAGATCAGAATTTTTAACTTCAGTAAAGTCCAGCTTATCAGTTTTTTCTTTCCTACATCATGTTTTTGGGGTTGTATCTAAGAAGTCATTGCCAAACCCTAGGTCACCTAGATTTTCTTCTATGTTATCCTCTAGGAGTTTTATAGTTTCGTATCTTACATTTAGGTCTATAATCCATTTTTTTTTAATGATCCATCAATCTTTTAATCTTCCACAGTTTTGGTGGGTTCTCTTGGACTTTATTCTGTAGCAGTTCATGACCATGTACCATTTACAGGCATGAGTGATAAACTTCATAGTGGCTGAGAAAGATCAACAGAATGAGTTGCCTTGTCCAAAGGAAATATGTCAGTGACATATGAGTGACTGAGTTTTTACTAATTGAGATTACATCCAGGTACCTTTTGGTGATGAAACTGTTTATTGTTTGTTGCAGAGTTCTACTGCAGACTAACAATTCCTGAACCCATTTAATAACCCATGTATATTAAATGTGATATGATTGGGATTTTAAAGGCCAGAGGTTTAAGAGAGAGATGTTCAAAAGTTTTTTTTTTTTTTTGAGACAGAGTCTCACTCTGTGGCCCAGGCCAGAGTGCAGTGGCACAATCTCAGCCCACTGCATCCTCCAGGTTCAAGCAATTCTCCTGCCTCAGCCTCCTGAGTTGCTGGGATTACAGGTGTGTACCACCAAGCCGGCTAATTTTTTGTATTTTAGTAGAGATGGGGTTTCACCATGTTGCCCCCAGGGTGGTCTCGAACTCCCGAGCTCAGGCAATCCGCCTGCCTCAGCATCCCAAAGTGCTAGGATTACAGGCGTGAGCCACCCGCTTCAGCCTCCCAAAATGCTAGGATTACAGGTGTGAGCCACTGCACCCAGCCCAAAAGTTGTTGAATTCTCAAATAATTAAGATTTCATGTGTTCATATGGACCATAAAGGATCAAAATAAGTATGGCTTGCCATTATTGTAATGTTGCTATCCTGAGTAGGTCTTTTTTTTTTTTTTTTTTTTTTTTTTGAGATGGAGTCTTGCTCTGTTGCCCAAGCTGGAGTGCAGTGGCACGATCTCGGCTCACTGTAACCTCCACCTCCCAGGCTCAAGTGATTCTCATGCCTCAGCCTCCCAGGTAGCTGGGACTACAGGCGCACGCCACCATGCCTGGCTAATTTTTTGTATTTTAGTAGAAACGGGGTTTCACCATGTTGCCCAGGGTGGTCTCGAACCACTGAGCTCAGGCAATCTCCCCACCTTGGCCTCCCAAAGTGTTGGGATTAAGGTGTGAGCCACTGTGCCTGGCCCTGATTGGGTTTTTATCATTATCTGTTCAGTTCATGTAGTTTTGGCTGTTAATTCTGTACTTGAATTATTCAATCACAAAGTGTTTTTACTGACTGCTGACTCTACTTTCACTTTCATTACTTAATGATGAAGGCTGTTTAAAATAATGTTGTAATGCCGGGCACGGTGGCTCACACCTGTAATCTCAGCACTTTGGGAGGCCAAGGAGGGCAGATCACCTGAGGTCAGGAGTTCAAGAGCAGCCTGGCCCACATGATGAAACCCATCTCTACTAAAAATACAAAAATTAGCCGGGCGTGGTGGTGCACGCCTGTAATCTCAGCTACTCGGAGGCTGAGGCAGGGAGAATCACTTGAACCCAGGAGGTGGAGGTTGCAGTGAGCCGAGATAGTGCCATTGCACTCCAGCCTGGGCGACAGAGCAAGACCTCATCTCAAAAATAAATAAAATAAAATAAAATAATATTGTATCTAGATTTTCAAATCAGGTGTTTATGCAGGAAAAGACAATTGTTTTATTGGTTTTAGAAAACCAACAAACCAAAGCAACAATAAAGATTCCTGTATACATTTTTTTCTTTAATTAATGAATTACTTGGGTCATTCTGGTAAAATAAGATGCTTTCTTGTTACCGAATGCCAGTTTTATCAGATGAAAAGGACTGTGTTCATAGATGATGGAGATAATCACCAGTTCTGATAGTTACTCTAAAAGATAAGACATAATCCTGTTCAGCCAGACCTAGTGAAAATCAGAAATACCGATGAAACTTGGACACGTAGAGTAAGATTTTTGGCTTAAAACACCTTTGCAAGTGGGTGGGTATGTGTAGTATTTATGTGTGCTACTTGGTTTCTAAAGACTCCCTACTATATGCTAATTTTTAAATTATGTACATGGTACTTTTTAAGCCTCGCAGGCTGGCCAGCCGGCCTACTGGCCTCCCTCCCTCTCTCCGTACAATAAATTAGCCAAAATAATGAGGTAATATCTAAGTCATTGTAGTCTAGGACTGAGTCATTTTTCTCTTTGAAAAAATTCCAGAATACTTTATATTTTCTTGAAGGTAACTTTTTTGCACTTGTTTTAAGGTATTGTTACTTTATTTACAGCCAACGAAATGGAACTGTTAGGTTTGTAAGCATCTTATATTTTTGAAGTGCTGATTGTATGTTCAATCTAATTCAATAAATATTTATTGTCTAATATGTTCTAGGCTTTGGTGTAGGTGCTTGGGATATAAGGATATGTAACTCATAGTTCAGCCTTAAGTCTAAATATTTAGTATATTTGTGTTTTTTAATTTAGTTTTTAAACACAGTTTTTTAAAATAATTTTGAGATAATTATAGATTTACATTCAATTGTAAGAAACAATAATACAGAGATATCCCTTGTACACTTTACCCAGTTTCCCCTGGTGGAAATTTCTTGCAGAATCATGGTACAATATCACAACCAGGGTATTGACATTGAAACAGTTAACAGTAAAGTGGTACAGCCACTCTGAAAAATAGTTCGGCAGTTTGCCTAGGAGTACAGTTGCTAGGCCATATGGTAGTCGCATGCTTACTTTTTTTTTTTTTTCTTTTTTTTCTTTTTTATTTATTTATTTATTTATTTTTTTATTGATAATTCTTGGGTGTTTCTCACAGAGGGGGATTTGGCAGGGTCATGGGACAATAGTGGAGGGAAGGTCAGCAGATAAACAAGTGAACAAAGGTCTCTGGTTTTCCTAGGCAGAGGACCCTGCGGCCTTCCGCAGTGTTTGTGTCCCTGGTTACTTGAGATTAGGGATTGGTGATGACTCTTAACGAGCATGCTGCCTTCAAGCATCTGTTTAACAAAGCACATCTTGCACCGCCCTTAATCCATTTAACTCTGAGTGGACACAGCACATGTTTCAGAGAGCACAGGGTTGGGGGTAAGGTCACAGATCAACAGGATCCCAAGGCAGAGGAATTTTTCTTAGTGCAGAACAAAATGAAAAGTCTCCCATGTCTACTTCCTTCCACACAGACACGGCAACCATCCGATCTCTCAATCTTTTCCCCACCTTTCCCGCCTTTCTATTCCACAAAGCCGCCATTGTCATCCTGGCCCGTTCTCAATGAGCTAGTGGGCACACCTCCCAGACGGGGTGGTGGCCGGGCAGAGGGGCTCCTCACTTCCCAGTAGGGGCGGCCGGGCAGAGGCGCCCCTCACCTCCCGGACGGGGCGGCTGGCCGGGCAGGGGGGCTGACCCCCCCCACCTCCCTCCCGGACGGGGCGGCTGGCCGGGCGGGGGGCTGAACCCCCCACCTCCCTCCCGGACGGGGCGGCTGGCCGGGCAGAGGCGCCCCTCACCTCCCGGACGGGGTGGCTGGCCGGGCAGGGGGGCTGACCCCCCCCCCACCTCCCTCCCGGACGGGTCGGCTGGCCGGGCGGGGGGCTGACCCCCCCACCTCCCTCCCGGACGGGGCGGCTGGCCGGGCAGAGGGGCTCCTCACTTCCCAGTAGGGGCGGCCGGGCAGAGGCGCCCCTCACCTCCCAGACGGGGCGGCTGGCCGGGCGGAGGGCTGACCCCCCCACCTCCCTCCCAGACAGGGCGGCTGGCCGGGCGGGGGGCTGACCCCCCCACCTCCCTCCCGGATGGGGCGGCTGGCGGGGCTGAGGGGCTCCTCACTTCCCAGTAGGGGCGGCCGGGCAGAGGCGCCCCTCACCTCCCAGACGGGGCGGCTGGCCGGGGGGAGGGCTGACCCCCCCCACCTCCCTCCCGGACGGGGCGGCTGGCCAGGCGGGGGGCTGACCCCCCCACCTCCCTCCCGGACGGGGCGGCTGGCCGGGTGGGGGGGCTGACCCCCCCATCTCCCTCCCGGACGGGGTGGCTGGCCGGGCTGAGGGGCTCCTCACTTCCCAGTAGGGGCGGCCGGGCAGAGGCGCCCCTCACCTCCCGGACGGGGCGGCTGGCCGGGCGGGGGGCTGACCCCCCCACCTCCCTCCCGGACGGCACGGCTGGCCAGGCGGGGGGCTGACCCCCCCACCTCCCTCCCGGACGGCATGGCTGGCGGGGCGGGGGGGCTGACCCCCCACCTCCCTCCCGGATGGGGCGGCTGGCCGGGCGGGGGGCTGACCCCCCCCCACCTCCCTCCCGGACGGGGTGGCTGCCGGGCGGAGACGCTCCTCACTTCCCAGATGGGGTGGCTGCTGGGCGGAGAGGCTCCTCACTTCTCAGACGGGGCAGCTGCCGGGCGGAGGGGCTCCTCACTTCTCAGACGGGGTGGTTGCCAGGCAGAGGGTCTCCTCACTTCTCAGACGGGGCGGCCGGGCAGAGACGCTCCTCACCTCCCAGACGGGGTCTCGGCCGGGCAGAGGCGCTCCTCACATCCCAGATGGGGCGGCGGGGCAGAGGCGCTCCCCACGTCTCAGACTATGGGCGGCCGGGCAGAGACGCTCCTCACTTCCTAGATGTGATGGCGGCTGGGAAGAGGCGCTCCTCACTTCCTAGATGGGATGGCGGCCGGGCGGAGACGCTCCTCACTTTCCAGACTGGGCAGCCAGGCAGAGGGGCTCCTCACATCCCAGACGATGGGCGGCCAGGCAGAGACACTCCTCACTTCCCAGACGGGGTGGCGGCCGGGCAGAGGCTGCAATCTCGGCACTTTGGGAGGCCAAGGCAGGCGGCTGGGAGGTGTAGGTTGTAGTGAGCCGAGATCACGCCACTGCACTCCAGCCTGGGCACCATTGAGCACTGAGTGAACGAGACTCCGTCTGCAATCCCGGCACCTCGGGAGGCCGAGGTTGGCGGATCACTCGCGGTTAGGGGCTGGAGACCGGCCCGGCCAACACAGCGAAACCCCGTCTCCACCAAAACCAATCAGGCGTGGCGGCGCGGGCCTGCAATCGCAGGCATTCGGCAGACTGAGGCAGGAGAATCAGGCAGGGAGGTTGCAGTGAGCCGAGATGGCAGCAGTACAGTCCAGCTTCGGCTCCGCATGAGAGGGAGACCATGGGGAGACGGAGACGGAGACGGAGACGGAGACGGAGACGGAGACGGAGAGGGAGAGGGAGAGGGAGACTTTTTAAAGAAACTGCCATTTGTATTGATATAATATGGTGGAGGCCCAGGTTCCCCACGTGGTCCCCGCTGATCTTGTTACTGGTCTGCAGGGATGAAATTCCTGGATACCCTACTTGGCTTTCTGTCTCCACCTTGGAAGGGGTATTGAGTGCTTAATTACAGCTTTGAGAGGTTGGAAATCTAGGCTCCCCACTTGGCCTTTGCTAGAACGGGTAGGTTTTAAACCACAGTATTTTCTTGGTGTTTGGCTGGGGTAGATTGGTTATTGTCTAAAACTTTTCTGTCTTGCTAGACTGCTACTTTCTTGGTCTTTTAGCTAAAGAAGACTGACTTTTGTTGGGGCTTTTCTTTTCTTTTTTTTTTTTGGAGACAGAGTCTTGCTTTGTCGCCCAGGCTGGAGTGCAGTGGTATGATCTTGGCTCACTGCAACCTCTGCTTTCAGGTTTCAAGTGATTCTCGTGTCTCAGCCTCCTGAGTAGCTGGGATTACAGGAGCCCGCCACCATGGCCAGCTAATTTTTTTTTTTTTTTTTTTTTTTTTTTTTGAGATGGAGTCTTACACTGTCGCCCAGGTTGGCGTGCAGTGGCATGATCTCGGCTCACTGCAACCTCTGCCTCTCGAGTTCAAGTGATTCTCCTGCCTCAGCCTCCTGAGTAGCTAGGATTACAGGCGCCCGCCACCACACCTGTAATCCTAGCTACTTTATTGTATTTTTGGTAGAGACGGGGTTTCACTATGTTGGCCAGGCTGGTCTTGAACTTCTGACCTCATGATCCACCCACCTTGGCCTCCCAAAGTGGGATTACAGGCGTGAGCCACCGTGCCTGGCCTGCTCCAGCTGATTTTTTGTTTTTGTTTTTTGTTTTTTTTGTTTTTTGAGGTAGAGTCTTGCTCTCTCGCCAGGCTGGAGTGCAATGGCGCGATCTCGGCTCACTGCGATCTCCGCCTCCTGGGTTCAAGTGATTCTCCTTCCTCAGCCTCCTGACTTGCTGAGACTACAGGTGCGTGCCACCACACCTAATTTTTGTATTTTTAGTAGAGATGGGGTTTCACCATGTTGGCCAGGATGGTCTTGGTCTCTTAACCTCATGATCTGCCTGCCTCGGCCTTCCAAAGTTTTGGGATCACAGGTGTGAGCCACCATGCCTGGCTGGGTATGTTTTTAAAATGACATTTATTTTTTCTTTTTGCAAAAGTTTTATTTAATGTAGATAATTTAGAAACACAAAAATTATAAAAGAGAATAACATTTTCATATATATTCTTCTAGACATTTCCTGTGAATATATATACATATTTTTCTTGTGAAAATAAGAACTATATATACTACTCATGAACTTTTTGCTCGATATAAGCATCATTCCTTGTTAATAAATGCATGAATATAGCACCAATTTGGTATCAATCAGGTTGTAATGTGCACATTCTGGAGATCATCAATATGTGTTACTCCCCTAGGTCGAGTGCCTGAGAGACAGATCATGTACAAATAAACGACGTACATTTTCACATGAATCTCATAGTTCAGACATCACTTATATACTAGAGAGAGTTAGAAGTAAATCAGATTTAGTCATTAGTTTTAGAAACACTGGGTATTTGGGTAGGTATTTAGATTTTAAAGTTTAAAAATAAAAAAAATAAAAGTGTTCATGTGGCTTTACGAATGCTATTTTGATTAAAATTCTTGTTCATATTTTCCATAATATTATAAGAAGGGTCATTATACTTTTCAGAAGAACATTTGAGATAATAATGGCTTTCTTGTTTGTTCTTGGAGGAAATAGGAGATACTAGCAGTGTTGTTTCAATGAACCCTAGCATTAGTTTTCTGCTGGAACTTGCAAAACAGAAACCAGAACGACTTAAATCTTTTCCATAGTACAGTTTTTTCTAATTGCTATGTGGTATACTTGCAGATGTTCAGATTTATTGGGAAATTTAGATTTCATAGCTTAGGATTTTTGGTATTAGCTATTCAGATTGATGCATCAGGTCTAATTAAAAATTATACTCAAGTTTATTCTTGTACTTTATGTTGTCTTTTTCTTATGATGTGAGTAGCTGCAGTATAACTCAAAACCAGTAATTATAAAACCACTTAATGAATGAATGTAGATGTAAAAGCATATAATATTTGGAGTTGTTTTAGTTTCTGTTTCTTTAAAGGTGAAGGTACATATGTCATAATTTGGGAAGCTATCCTTTCAACTTAACATGGAGTTGAAATTGAAATGTGTTCTTAGACATAAATTTGAGATGTGTTATTGAACATATTTAACACGTTATCAGTTTCCATATTTTTCCAAGCAGTTAACCATTGGGTAGTGCACAGCAAGCTCATTTTCCTCTTAGCCGTTCTGTGCATCTTGTGGTTTGAGATGTTCATCACTGTCTGGCTGTGAACCCCAAATGTCCTCCTAGTGATCCTGGAAGGTATTTTAGAATAGTTTTGGCTTTCTGCTTTTGATTCTAATTTATGAGATCTGGAGTGGAGTCCAGAATCTGAATTTTAAAAAGAATAGCTCTATTGAGATACAATTTATAAAACATACAGTTCAGCCACTTAAAATGTACAGTTCAGTGGTTTTCAGTATTTTCACAGTTGTGCATCCATTACCACAATCAGTTTTAGAACATTTTCATTACTCAGGCAGGACGCGGTGGCTCACACCAGTAATCCCAGCACTTTGGGATGCTGAGGCGGGTAGATCACTTGAGGCCAGGAGTTCAAGACCAGCCCGACCGATATAGCGAAACCCTGTCTTTCCTAAGAATACAAAAAGTTAGCTGGGTGTGATAGTGCACGCCTATAATCCCAGCTACTCGGGAGGCTGAGGCACGAGAATAGCTTGAACCAGGACGTGGAGGTTGCAGTGAGCCAAGATCGCGCCACCGCACTCCAGCCTGGGCGACAGAGCGAGACTCTGTCTCAAAAAACAAAAACAAAAAAACCCACCCTGTTCTCCTTAGCTACTCTTCCACCTAATCCTTCCATTTCCCTGCACTCACAACTCCTAGATTTTTATGGTGTATGGCTCTCAGTTGGCGTAGGGGTAGAGTTGTGATTTTGCCCTTTAGGGGACATTTGACAGTGTCTGGAAACATTCTCATGGGTCACAACTGGGAAGGTGCTATTGGCATGCTATTAAACATCTTCCAGTTTAGAGGACAACCTCTCATAACAATTTTCTTGTCCAAAATTTCAGTAGTGAAGGTGTTAAGAAACTCTGGAAGAGAGTTAGACTAAACAAATTGCAAGATCAAATTTTTAGCCCTCACATTGGCAGTAGGATATTATCTTACATGGTCGATTTATAATTTATGTAAAATTGTTAAATGTATTGGGGTTATACAGATGATAGAAAAAAGAGTCTTAGGGACCTAAGGGACTCAGTTTAGTCTAGTCTGGAATAGTATGATGTCCTCGCTGGGAGCCATGAACCCTAGTCTAGAGCCTGGGATGTAGTTGTTGAATGAACATGATTATGTGGTGGTAGTTTGAACTAAAATGATTCTTAGTTATTTCATAATTGATGGATATCTAGATTGGTAGACTTCACATAGCTGTATAGACTATTCCCTCTTTTAATCCTCCTATCTTGCCAAAATCAATAACCATAAAAAAGAATGTGTAGAAGAGTCTGATTTTTATAGTTTATTTCAAAGAAATTTAAGAGTCTCAATGGTGCTATAAAGAAATTAAAGACTGGCTGTGGTTTGGTTGACTTGAAAAGGATATGTGGGTCTGAGTGTGTGTGTTTAATTTTTTAAATTTTCTTTTGTTTTTGTTTTCAGAGAGAGTCTTGCTCTGTCTCACTGCAGCCTCTGCCTCCCGGGTTCAAGCAGTTCTCCTGCCTCAGCCTCCTGGTAGCTGGGATTACAGGTGCACACCACCACACCCAGCTAATTTTTGTATTTTTAGTAGAGACGGGGTTTTGCCATGTTGCCCAGGCTGGTCTTGAACTCCTGACCTCAGATGATCCATCCACCTTGGCCTCCCAAAGTGCTGGGATTACAGGCATGAGCCACCACAGCCAGCCTAAGTGTGTGTGTGTGTGTGTGTGTGTGTGTGTGTGTGGAAATTGAATGGTTTTCAAAGGTGATTTGATTAGCATTTGCATAGACTGTGAATCCAAGATGTTTGTGTTCCCTTCCCTCATTCTTCCATTCTTTTCTCTGTTTGTCAATTTTTGTACCGCGATATATGAGGGATTAAAGAAAAATCTTTTAGAATAGTTTTGGCTTTCTGCCTTTTTTTTTTTTTTGAGATGGAGTTTCACTCTTGTTGCCCAGGCTGGAGTGCAATGGCGCGATCTCAGCTCACCGCAACCTCTGCCTCCTGGGTTCAAGCGATTCTCTTGCCTCAGCCTCCCGAGTAGCTGGGATTACAGGCATGCGCCACCATGCCCAGCTAAGTTTTGTAGTTTCAGTAGAGATGGATTTCACCATGTTGGCCAGGATGGTCTCGATCTCTTGACCTGTGATCCGCCTGCCTCAGCCTCCCAAAGTGTTGGGATTACAGTTGTGGGCCACCGCGCACGTCCTCTATAGTTTTTTTTTTTTTTTAAGTTTATGATAAATTGAAACAACACTAAGAAAATCAGATAATACAGGAATATTAAATGAAAACCGAATCTTTCTGAGAAATGAAAAATAGTATCTCATTGTTTAATTTGTATTTCTTTTTAGATGAAAGAGGCTGAATTTTTTTTTCACATTTATTATTTGGATTTCTATGAAGAGTTTGTGTCCTGGACTCATTTTTCTGTTGGGTTGTTGATAGTTGTTCTGTTTGTTTGTGAGAGCACTTAGTATATTATAAAAATTAATCCATTGTGTAGTACATGTAACACAAATATTTTCTTCTACTCCGTTATTTGCCTTTTGACTTTACTATTTTTTTTTTTTTTTTGAGATGGAGTCTCGCTCTTTTGCCAGGCTGGAGTGCAGTAGTGTCATCTCGGCTCACTTCAATCTCTGGCTCCCGGGTTCAAGCGATTCTCCTGCCTCAACCTCCCGAGTAGCTGGGATTACAGGTGTGTGCCACCACGCCCAGCTACTTTTTGTATTTTTAGTAGAGACGGGGTTTCACCATGTTGGCCAGGCTGGTCTCAAACTCTTGACCTCCGGTGATCCACCCGCCTTGGCCTCCCAAATTGCTGGGATTACAGGTATGGGCCACTGCACCCGGCCAAAAATTTTTAATTTAATTTAATTAATTTATTTTTTTTCCCAGACGAAGTCTCACTCTGTTGCCCAAGCTGGAGTGCAGTGGTGCGATCTCGGCTCACTGCAACCTCCACCTCCTGGGTTCAAGCAATTCTACTACCTCAGCCTCCCGAGTAGCTGGGACTACAGGCACGCGCCACCATGCCCAGCTATTTTTTTGTGTGTGTGTTTTTAGTAGAGACAGGGTTTCACTATGTTGGCCAGGCTGGTCTCAAACTCCTGACGTCGCGATCCGCCTGCCTTGGCCTCCCAAAGTGCTGGGATTACAGGCATGAGCCACCACACCTGGCCTTAATTTAATTTTTACTAGTCAATTTTTTTAGTAGACCTGGTCTCACTCTGTTACCCTGGCTGGAGTGCAGTGGTGCCATCATTGCTCACTGCAACCTGAACTCCTGGGCTCAAGTGATCTTCCCACTTCATCCTCCCAAGTAGCTGGGTCTATAGGTATGCACTATCATGCCCGGCTGATTTTTGCATTTTTTGTAGAGACAGGGTACGGTTATGTTACTCAGACTGGTCTCAGACTCCTAGGCTCAAACGATCCTCCTGCCTTGGCCTCCCAAAGTGCTAGGATTACAGGTGCTGGATCCAGCTGGCAGTTTCTTTAAAAATTAAACATGTACTTACCATACTACCCAGAAATCACTCCTTTGGTTATTTACTCCAAATAAAATAAAATTTATGTTCACTTAAAAACTTGTACGTAACTGTTCATAGCAGACTTATTCAAAACAGCAAAATGTGAACCAATCCAAATGTTGTGTCAACAAGTGTAAAGCAAAACATATGACATCCATAGCATGGAATACTACTGAGTAATCAAAAGGAACAAGCAAGCTATAGATAACCTGCAACACCTTGAATAGACTACAAGGGTAATGTGCTTAGTGGAAAAGCTTATCTCAAGAGGTCACATATTATATAGTTCCATTTATATGACATTCTCAAAGTGACAAAACTGTAAAGATGAAGAATAGATTAGTGATTGCCAGGGGACAGGGGGGTAGTAGGTGGAGGGGCTATAAATACAGAGAGGTAGCAGAACAGTTCTGTATCTTGATTGCAGTTGTGGTTATAAAAATCTATACATGAGACAAAACTGCTTAGAAATACACACACAAATGCAGGTTAAAAAAAATAGTGAAAACTGAATAAGGTCTGTAGTCTAGTTAACAGTTATGTATCAGTGTCATAATGTTTGAGACCAGCCTGGGCAACATAGTGAGATCCTGTCTCTACAAAAAAATTTAAAAAATTAGCCCAGTGTGGCGGCATGCACCTGTGGTCTCAGCTACTCTGGAGGCTGAGGTGGGAGATCACTTGAGTCCTGGAGGTTGAGGATGCAGTGAGCCTTGGCGCTGCCACTGCACTCTAGCCTGAGTGACAGAGTGAAGACTTTGTCTCAAAAAAAAAAAAAAAAAAAAAAAAAAAAGATAATTGAGATCTGGATCTACCTGATGATAAAGTGTGTGTTCCTTGCACAGTACCATCCAGTCTTGCCTGGTAATTCCTTTCAGGCCTTTACTTGGTTCTTAAATACTAGATGTTGCCAAATAAGTGATGCTACTTTTACTAGGTGTGGTTAGGAGGCACAGCATCCAAAGCAAGGACATGAGATTGTAATACAAGGAAGGTGATGACTTGCTCCATTGTCTGTGGCTTTCTTATGTTGTAATGGGAGCTTATCAGTGTGCACCATGATCAGGTTACAGCATCAGGAGGAGCTCTACAACCTATTTTAGATTCACAGTTAATATTGTCTGCTTTTTTCTTTGTTCTTGTCATTTTCTTTTCTCTTTTGTACTTTCTCTTTCTCTCTCTCTTTTTAAAAGATGGGAGTCTAGATACATTGCCCAGTACAGTGGCTGTTCACAGGCATAATCATAGCTCATTGCAGCCTTGAACTCCTGGACTCAAGCAATCCTTTCTGTCTCAGCCTTCCAAGTAGATGGAACTATAGGCTGTGTGTCACTGTGCCAAACATCTCTCTCTGTCTCTTTATTTTTTAAGTGATAGAGAACCACAAATGTGTTTTTTAAAGAACCAGCATTTTTTCAAATACCAAATATTTGTGTAGCTGATGATGAGGCATCACTAGGAGTTTCCTTTTGTTGACAAATTCAAGAGAGACATCATTCCAAATGAAATTTTATTCCGAAAGTGAATTTTGTGAAAACCAGTGCTAAGAAAATAACAAAATGAACGAACACCAAAACACCCATGTGTTTACAAGGAAACAAGAAAACATGGAGTTAAAGTAAGTAATTGTGTCTACTTGACAGATGTTGGGTTTTCTTTCCCTCTTGGACTATTGTGTTTCCTCAATTTGTAGGTTTCATGTCATCTTTTTAAAATAGTAGCCGTCTTTTGACTCCTTATAAGTTATGTTGGGCCAGGCCACCTTACCACATGAATTCCCTCCCCACTTTGCTTGGTATTTGATACCCTGCTTTCAGCCACCATGGCTTCCTCCCCACCCCTAAACGAAGACTCTGATTTTGCTCTGCTTGCTCTACCCTACCTGATGGCTTTAGGCTAAATTGTTTATGCTGACCGGAGTCAGATTTTATTTTTAGAGAGATAATTCTGGTGACCATATGGAGAACTGGGTGAGAGACTGTCAGTGTTCAGTTGAGTCTAGTGCAGAATCTAGGTGAGGGGTTTGAACCAAAGTACATGGGGATGGATAAGGAAGACTAAGCACTCTACAGACGATGATGATAATATGATAAATTATATAGGTTATAATTTACTGAACACTTGCCATCCCTCATAACAACTTCATGATTGAAGGCCTTAACATTTTTATTTATTTATTTATTTATTTATTTATTTATTTATTTTTGAGACGGAGTCTCACTCTGTTGCCCAGGCTGGAGTGCAGTGGTGTGGTCTCGGCTTACTGCAAGCTCCGCCTCCTGGGTTCACGCCATTCTCCTGCCTCAGCCTCCCGAGTAGCTGGGACTACAGGCGCCTGCCACCACGCCCGGCTCATTTTTTGTATTTTTAGTAGAGACGGGGTTTAACCGTGTTAACCAGGATGGTCTCGATCTCCTGACCTCGTGATCCACCCGCCTCAGCCTCCCAAAGTGCTGGGATTACAGGCGTGAGCCACCGCGCCCGGCTAACATTTTTATTTTATAGATGAGTAAACAGTCATGGAGAGATTACATACCTTGCCCAAATTTACCTAGCTCAACAGAGGAAAAGAAAGGATAGGAATTCAGGTGGTCTGATTTTAGAACCTGTGCTTTTGACCATTATACTAGCTGGGGGCTTTATTTTTCTAACTGTTAGAAGTGTTCAACAATGAAAGAGCCACCCTGTGAAGTAATGTGGGCATCACTTGAAATGGTCAGGCAGGAAGTAGACGGGTCATTAATACTACATCAAGGGTCCACATACACACTGTGGCTAGATTACTGTGAAGAAGGCTTTTAAGTTCTGTGATTTTGTGATGTGATATACAGGGAGTTGTTGCTTTATGTGGTTCTCATATACACTTTCACTTACCATGGTTTGGTTAAATAATACCAATTCCCTAATAACATGGTTTAAATTTTACACAGCATATTAACTGTGAATAATCGTATAAAGTACAAAATTCGCTGCCAGCTCTTCTGTCACTACATAAGTAACAACTGTGCAAAGCATGGGTTTGTGTTACCTCCTTGTCTCCCAGTGATAAATCTATGTGATAGTTAAGAAAAATCGATAACCGATAGAGAGAATTGGCCGAAAAAGATGAAAGTTCAGGAAAAAACCAAAAAGTAACAACAGTGGAAGTGAAATTCAAATTGAACTCAAATGGAGTTATAGAAGAAATAGATCACTGAGGGAATGCTGATGCTCTCATTCAAAACACTCTGGATATGTAGCCGAAATAACTTAGTGAAGGTGAGCTTATCTACATAAGTGAAGAAAGTGGTTTGGTAAAAAAAAAAAAAAAAAAAAGAAGTGATGCAAGAAATTTTGTAGTGAAAGAACTCTCGAAGGTATTCTGTGATATTGAAATATGAAACATAAAGTATTTGATGCTATTCCAGACTCAGACAGGAGTGTGACAATTGGCTAAGGCATAGAAAAGATGTCTATTGCAGCCGGGCGCGGTGGCTTACGCCTGTAATCCCAGCACTTTGGGAGGCCGAGGCAGGCGGATCACAAGGTCAGGAGATCGAGACCATCCTGGCTAACAGGGTGAAACCCCGTCTCTATTGTATGATGAGAAGAATGTAAGCACTATTTAAACTACCCCTAATAAATTTTTTCAAAGAACTTAAACATTATAATTTTCAATATTTCTATGTTCTCTAGTGCAGTGGTCCTCAACCTTTTTAGCACTGATTTAGTGGAAGACAGTTTTTCCATGGAAGGGGACGCTGGGGGAGGGGATGTTTTCGGGATAAAACTCTTCCACCTCAGAAGATCATCAGGCATTGGATTCTCATAAAGAGTGCACAGTCTAGAGCCCTCGCATGCACAGTTCACAGTAGGGTTTGTGCTCTTATGAGAATCTAATGCCACGACTGATGTGACAGGAGGCAGAGATGCTCGCCTGCCCTTCGCTCACCTCCTGCTTTAGTGCATTAATGATTAGTTTTCCTGTTCTTTCAATTTTCCTATAATTATAACTGACAGAGTTTTTAATGTTTCAATGAAATTTTTTTTTTTTTTTTTTTTGAGACTGAGTCTCACTCTTGTCACCCAGGCTGGAACACAGTGGTGCGATCTCGGCTCACTGCAACCTCCGCCTCCTGGGTTCAAGCGATTCTCCTGCCTCAGGCTCCCTAGCAGCTGGGATTATAGGCATGCACCACCATGCCTGACTAATTTTTTGTATTTTTAGTAGAGATGGGTTTTCACCATGTTGTCCAGGCTGGTCTTGAACTCCTGACCTCAGGTGATTTGCCTGCCTCAGCTTCCCAAAGTGCTGGGATCTCAGGTGTGAGACACTGTGCCTGGCCTCAACAAAAAAAAAATTCTTTTTTTTGAGATAGGATCTTGCTCTGTTGCCCAGGCTGGAGTGCAGTAGTGTGATCTCGGCTCACTGCAACCTCTACCTCCTGGATTCAAGCAATTCTCCTGCCTCAGCCTCCCGAGTAGCTGGGATTACAGGTGCTCACCACCACCCCTGGGTAATATTTATTTTATTTTTTAAATTATTTTTTGAGATGGAGTCTCACTGTGTCACTTAGGCTGGAGTACAGTGGTGCAGTCTCAGCTCACGCAACCTCTGTAGTGAACCCGTCCTAGGTTCAAACAATTCTCCTGCCTCAGCCTCCCAAGTAGCTGGGATTACAGGCGTGTGCCACTACCCCTGGCTAATTTTTGTATTTTTAGTAGACATGAGGTTTCGCCATGTTGGCCAGGGTGGTCTCGAACTCCTGACCTCAAGTGATCTGCCCACCTCGGCCTCCCAGTGCTGGGATTACAGGCATGAGCCACTGTGCCTGGCCCAAAATTTTTTAAAAATTACAGAGTGGCGGCCGGGCACTGTGGCTTACGCCTGTAATCCCAGCACTTTGGGAGGCTGATGCGGGTGGATCACGAGGTCAGGAGATCGAGACCATCCTGGCTAACATGGTGAAACCCCGTCTCTACTAAAAATACAAAAAAATTAGCCGGGCGTGGTGGCGGGTGCCTGTAGTCCCAGCTACTCGGGAGGCTGAGGCAGGAGAATGGCATGAACCTGGGAGGTGGAGCTTACAGTGAACCGAGATTGCGCCACTGCACTCCAGCCTGGGCAACAGAGTGAGACTGTCTCAAAAAACAAAAACAAAAAAAAATTACAGAGCGGCTGGGTGCAGTGGCTCACGCCTGTACTCCCAGCACTTTGGGAGGCTTAGGTGGGCAGATCACGAGGTCAGGAGATCGAGACCATCCTGGCCAACATGGTGAAACCCCATCTCTACTAAAAATACAAACATTAGCTGGGTGTGGTGGCACGTGCCTGTAGTCCCAGCTACTCAGGAGGCTGAGGCAGGAGAATCGCTTGACCCCAGGAAGTGGAGATTGCAGTGAGCCAAGGTCGCGCCACTGCACCCTAGACTGGACACAGAGCGAGACTCCGTCTCAATTTTAAAAAAAAAAAGATTACAGAGCAATTGCAGTTTTTCTCATTAATTATTATGATCACTTTGCATGGTTTCAGCGTGCATTCTTACTTTTACGGTTTTGCACTATTGTGTAAAATGAAAGCTGCCTGTTTGTAAACTGTGGAAAGTTTAATTTTTCTTCTTAGTTTTTAGGGGTACCCCCTAACTAGCCTTTTCTTTGCAGAGTTTGTATATGCATCTCTAACAAAGTATGTTTCCTTTGACAAGTTTTGCTTTTAAAAAACTTGGACTGACTGAAAATAATATTTGTAGAAAATATTCTAAAAGTAATGCAAAAAGGAAATATCCTTAAAGCTAGTATTAAGAATAATCTCATAGGAAGGAAGTTTCATGTGTTTGGTGTTATCTCTCTTTTTGGTAACAGTTTTGTTGAGATATATTTTATATACCATACCATTCACCCACTTAAAGTGTAGAATTCAGGCCAGGCACAGTGGCTCATGCCTGTAATCACAGCACTTTGGAAGGCCGAGGCAGGTAGATCACTTGAGGCCAGGAGTTCGAGACCAGCCTGACCAACATGGCAAAACCCCGTCTCTACTAAACATACAAAAATTAGCCGGGCATGGCGACACGTGCCTGTAATCCCGGCTACTTGGGAGGCTGAGGCACAAGAATCGCTTGAACTCAGGAGGCGGAGGTTGCAGTGAGCCAAGATCATGCCATTGTACTCCAGCCTGGGTGACAGAGCAAGACTCCATCACAAAAAATAAATAAATAAATAAAATGTACAATTCATTGTTTTTTGGTATATTCACAGACATGTGCACCATTAGTGCAGTAAAGTCTAGAACATTTTCATGACCCCCAAAAGAAATCCCATGTTCTTTATCACTCCCTAATACAATAAACCCCAAGCCCCAGGCAACCATGAATCTACTTTCTGTATAAATTTACCTACTCTGGATATTTTATATACACAGATTAATATAGTAGGTGGTCTTTTGTGATGTTTTCAGGGTTCACCCATCTTGTAGCATGTATTAGGACTTTATTCCCTTTTATGGCTGAATAATATTCCATTGTATGTATGTACCTCATTTTATTTATCATTTATTTGTTGAGGAACATTTGGGTTATTTCTGCTTTCATATGGTAACTCTGTTTAATCTTTTGAGGAGCTCCCAGACTTTTTCAAGGTGGCTGCACCATTTTATGTTCTCATTAGCAGTATATGAGGGTTCCAGTTCTTGCCACATCTAAAACACTTGCCATTCATTACCTGTTTTTTTTTATTTTAGTCATGCTACTGGGTGTAGGATCTCATTGTGGTTTTGACTTTCATTTTTCTGGTGACTAATGTGTTTATTGGCCATTTGTATATTATCTTTGGAGAAATGTACAGATTCTTTGTTCATTTTTAAATTAATTTGCCTTTTTATTATTAAGTTGCCAGAGTTTTTGGTATTTTAGATACAGGTGTGTGTGGAAAAAACAAACTCCGTTTCTCCTACTGCTGATATTCTTATAGCACCCTACTGAAAGCAGATGTGTGGGGATTTCTCCCCACCAGCAGGCAAGCAAGCAGTCATTTCTGCAGCTGACAGCCACTCAATTCTGACATAATCAACCTGGAGATAGCATCAAGATTCCACAGGTTGAGGGCTCAGTTTCCAAGACTGCCTCTCCCCACACTTCACATGCCAGTTGTAAGCTCCCGCTTATTTTACCTGTGCTTCTGACTGACTGGCTATAAATTGGTGTTCCCATTTATAGCCATGGGCTTAACTTGCTAGAGCAGCTCGCACAACTCGAAAACACATGTTTACCAGTTTATTACAAAGGATATTTTAAAGGATACACATAAATAGCCAGCTGAAGAGATATATAAGACAAGGTCTGGAAAGGTCCTGAGAGCAGGAGCATCTCTCCTGGTGGAATTCGGGTGTGCTACCCTCCCAGGACTTTGTCTGTGCTTATACTAGTACCACATTGTCTTGACTATTATAGCTTTCTGTAGTATGTTATGAAAGTGGAAAGTATGTGTCCGTCAACCTTGTTTTTATTTCAGGGTTGTTTTAGCTATTCTGGGTCCCTTGAATTTCCATATGAATTTTAGGATTGATTGTCAATTTCTACAAAGAAGCTTGGTGTGATTTTCATGTATTTTTTTGGACACAGGGTCGCACCGCATCACCCAGACTGAGATGGGGTTTTGCCATGTTGCCCAGGCTGGTCTTGAACTCCTGGGCTCAAGTAATAATGCCCAGTTTGGCCTACCAAAGTGTTGGGATTACAGGAGTGAGCCACTGTGCCTGAATCTGTAGATCAGTTTGGGAAGCATTGCCATCTTAGCAATGTTAAATCTTCTGATCCATGAACTTAAATGTCTTTCCATTTATTTAAATCTTCCTTAATTTCTTTCAGGAATTTTTTTTTTTTAATTTTTCAGAGTATAAATTGTTCACTTCAGCCGGGCACGGTGGCTTATGCCTGTTATCTCAGCACTTTGGGAGGCCAAGGCAGGTGGATTACCTGAGGTCAGGAGTTTGAGACTAGCCTGACCAACATTATGAAACCCCATTTCTACTAAAAATACAAAAATTAGCCGGGCATGGTGGCATGTGCCTGTAATCTCTGTTACTCAGGAGGCTGAGGCAGGAGAATCGCTTGAACCCGGGAGGCGGAGGTTGCAGTGAGCCAAGATTGTGCCACTGCACTCCAGCCTGGGCAGCAGGAGCAAAACTCCATCTCAAAATAAATAAATAAATTGTTCACTTCTTTTAAGTATTTTTTTATGCTATTTTAAGCAGAATTGTTTTCTTAATATCATTTTTGGATTGTTGACGCAGGTACTTGGTGCATTTAAAATACAATTTTATTGGCTGGGCATGGTGGCTTATACCTGTAATCCCAGCACTTTGGGAGGCCAAGGCTTGCAGATACCTGAGGTCAGGGGTTCAAGACCAGCCTGGCTAACAACGGCAAAACCCCGTCTCTATCAAAAATACAAAAATTGGCTGGATGTGGTGGCGCACGCACGCCTTTAATCCCAGCACTTTGGGAGGCTGAGGCGGGCAGATCATAAGGTCAGCAGTTCAAGACCAGCCTGACCAATTGGTGAAACCCCGTCTCTACTAAAAATACAAAAATTAGCTGGGTGTGGTGGCGCATGCCTATAGTCCCAGCTACTCAGGAGGCTGAGGCAGGAGAATTGCTTGAACCTGGGAGGCAGAGGCTGCAGTGAGCCGAGGTTGCGGCACTGCACTCCAGCTGGGTGACAGTGAGACTCTGTCTTACAAAATAAATAAATAGGCTGGGCGCGGTGGCTCACGCCTGTAATCCCAGCACTTTGGGAGGCCGAGGCGGGCGGATCACAAGGTCAGGAGATCGAGACCGTCCTGGCTAACATGGTGAAACCCCATCTCTACTAACAATAAAAAAAAATTAGTTGGGCATGGCTGCAGGCGCCTGTAGTCTCAGCTACTCGGGAGGCTGAGGCAGGAGAATGGCCTGAACCCAGGAGGCGGAGCTTGCAGTGAGCCGAGATCACGCCACTGAACTCTAGCCTGGGGGACAGAGCAAGATGCCGTCTCAAAAAAAAATAAAAAAATAAAAATAAATAATATGATTTTGTCAAATTTAAAACCTTAAGATCCTATTGGCTTGTAATAGCAAGGAGTAGAAGCGTGGATTGTAGAATGTTCTTATGAAGGCTTTATTTCATCAATGGCTTTTAAGCACTTTGGGGTCAGACTTTGAGCTGTTAGTGATTGTTTTTGAGCTGTAGTCCTTAGAGATTCCAAACTGATGACTGCATATGTCACTTGTATAGTCAATGTGACTGGTTTTCAAAAGCCCTTTCAGTTATAGAGCCAATGACTGGGCAACAGAAATGCCTTTCATTTATATCATTCTTCTGTTTTCTTGGTGCAAAGGGCTGTAGTTAAGAGGAACAGTTAGATTTTAGTGGCTTACCAAGTTGCTTTAGAGGAAGTCTATGAAAGGACTGTTGAGCCAAACAATGTTCAGATTAAAAACCAGTCTGTTAGCAGGACAGAATCCTCTTGCAGATACTTTGTTTAACCTTTAACTTAGTGCAAGAAGAGTTCAAGCTATGACTTTTGAGATTAAATCTTAAATTATGTAAGCATGTTTCTGATAAGGATTGTTTTATCATCTGCATCAGAACCATTTGGACTGCTTTAAAATACAGATTTCTGGACTCCTACCCAGATTTACTAAATCAAATTCTGGGAATAGAACTTCATAATCTCTTTTAAACCACCTTTCCATGGGATGTCCACGTTAAAGTTTGAAAACTACTTTTATTTATTTTTGGCATCCATATGTGTTTATTGATATAGTTTCCCACTCATCTTGATTCAGGGTTCTTTCAGTGCTGTCTCTATCTGAAGGAGAGCCTTCCTGTAGGCTGGCAGAGGACAGCAGAGCAGCCAGACACACAACTACTATTGTGCATGACTGACGACCATGGTGATTTTATAGCATCCTGGGCATTTCACGTTCAGGAAGTAAGAATTGGGGCTCTGCACCAGGCACTTCTTGTGCTTGCTCTTTTTTTCTGGAGAGGGAGGGAGATTCTTTGTGAGAGGCCTGTTCTCGTGAGGGGATCGTCAGCACTGGAAAACTGAAAACCAGTTTTAATAGTACCTCTTTCTGTTAAGAGATTGGTTTTTACCAGGACTGAAATTTTTCAAATTATGACTCACTGCCAACTATTTTTTCTGTTGCTGTTTTTGTTTGTTTGTTTTTTTTGAGACAGAGTTTCCCTCTGTCTCCCAGGCTGGAGTGCAGTGGTATGATCTCGGCTCACTGCAGCCTTTACCTCCCCAGGCTTAGGTAATTCTCCTATCTTAGCCCTCCCAAATAGGTGGGACTATAGGCGTGCATCACCATGCCTGGCTAATTTTTGTATTTTTTGTAGAGACTGGATCTCACCATGTTGCCCAGGCTGATCTTGAACTCCTGGGCTCGTGTGATCTGCCTACCTCAGCCTCCCAAAATGCTGGGATTACAGGCATGAGCCATCGCCCTTGGCCTACAGCCAACTCTTAAAAGCAAAACAACACTAGAAGATAATGGAATAGAAGATTTCAGTAGGCCGGGCACAGTGGCTCACGCCTGTAATCCCAGCACTCTGGGAGGCCGAGGCGGGCGGATCACGAGGTCAGGAGCTCAAGACCATCCTGGCTAACACGGTGAAACCCCGTCCCTGCTAAAAATACAAAAAATTAGCTGGGCGTGGTGGCAGGCGCCTGTAGTCCCCGCTGCTTGGGAGGCTGAGGCGGGAGAATGGCATGAACCTGGAAGGCAGAGCTTGCAGTGAGCCAAGATCGTGCCACTGCACTCCAGCCTGGGCAACAGAGTGGGACTCCATCTCAAAAAAAAAAAAAAAAAAAGTTTCAGTGCATTGTACATAGTATGGATGAGTATTGATTTATAAAACTTCTGTTTCATTTATATATGTGTATGTGAATATGGATCATAATATAAATTTTTTTTTGCCATGGATGGTGATAAAAAGAAAAAAATGAAGACTTGAGAATTAGAAAAACACATATTTTTCTTTCCTTCACTCTTTCATACGTTCTTTTGCATCTGCCATGCTCCTGGAACTGGGATAGGTGCTGGGTGAGCATCCAAATATTCCGAAAATCCTCACTCTTTTTTTTTTTTTTTTTTCTTTTTTTGGAGATGGAGTCTTGCTCTGATGCCCAGGCTGGAATGCAATGGCGTGATCTCGGCTCACTGCAAACTCCACCTGCTGGGTTGAAGCGATTCTCTTGCCTCAGCCTCCTGAGTAGCTGGGATTATAGACGCCTGCCACCAATGCTTGGCTAATTTTTGTATATTTAGTAGAGATGGCATTTTGCCATGTTGGCCAGGCTGGTTTCAAACTCCTGACCTCAGGTGATCCACCCACCTTGGCCTCCCAAAGTGCTGGGATTACAGGCGTGAGCCACTGTGCCTGGCCGAAAATCCTCACTCTTGAGCTCACAGTTTATAGAGGGTAATAGGCACATAAATAATAAAGTGGTATAGTAGAAGCACATGTCATACATTAACTGTGTACTAGAAGTACATATCATATAGAGTGCTCCTGAAGTCATGGCGACTTTCATAGGGATGGAGGTAGGTTGAGGGGTAGGTACTGAAAATATTGAAGCTGGGTGCTGTGGTTCACACCTGTAATCCTAGCACTTTGGGAGGCCAAGGTGACAGGATCGCTTGGGCCCAGGAGTTTGAGACCAGCCTGGGCAACATGGAGAAGCCCTGTCTCTACAAAAAATACAAAAATTAGCCAGGCATGGTGGCATGTGCTTGGAGTTCCAGCTACTTGGGAGGCTGAGGTGGGAGGATCACCTGAGCCTCAGGAGATCGAGGCTGCAGTAAGCCAAGATTGTGTCACTGCACGCCAGCCTGAGTAACAGAATGAGACCCTGTCTCATAAATAAATAAAGTGAAAAGGTGGAGAAGAAGAATAGCATTTTAATTATTAAGCGTGAAAGAATTATTTTAGTATTGAAGATGGACAATAATTGATATAAATCATTTTTGATTTAGTATTCTTATCCACTCTTATTCATATGTTACTCATTCTGATGCAGCTTTTGAGTATATAGGATCAATCCAGCACATGAAGAGCTAAAGGGAGGTTCTGTACCTCTTGTGACAGCTTTTCCTATTCTTGGAGGGACCCTTTTTTACTTTCCTCAGAACTTTATTTACTAGAGTTTATTTCCTTTTTAGATTTTATTTCATGTTGATGCTAGTATTCTTACTGAATGTATTCTGACCCACTAAGAATCAATGACAGGGTAGGGAGGTGTAGTTGAGATTTGGGGAGAGCCTTATGCATTTCATAGGGGTCCAAATTCTGTATCTGATTTTTGGCTTCAGAATACTTTTCAGGCTGTAAGCCAGTAACCTCATTTTAGTCTTTATCTCTCAGCCTTATAGTCATCTTTTGTTTTATCTTACTGTAGGCTAACATTCACCATTAGAAAGTCAGACAGCTGGTCTACACACCAGAAGATACTATATTAGCTTTCATTGCTTATGTTTGCCTGTTGCAGGCTCTTTTGTTTACATCAGCCGCCTTCACTCATTTGGTTTTCATATGCATACTGATTGATACATATAAACTTAGGGAGATTCACTCTAAACAGTGCTCTTGATCTATTTTGTGTTTCTTAAGTGTTTTAGCTCAGAGACTGGTACTGTTTACATAGAAAGAACAGCCTCGTCAAGAGTCTGGAGGGGCATACCCTATGTCACAGCATTTGGCCATAGCTCTATACATGACGATATCAAGAAGGCGCCCCCTTGGACCTACGAAGACAGAAGGCACATTCATGTACTTTGAGTACACAGAAATATGATAAATGATGAATAACAACTGTTTTTAAGAATTAAAAAACAGGAGGCATAAAGTTAATAGGAGATGAATGCTTAATGTGTGGCAGTTTCACGTGTTACATTTGAGGGTCAGGTCGGTAGTGGTGTTGGTGAAGGGAGCTAACTGGTTACCCAGCCTGGATGGGATTGGGTGGCTGTGGGTGGAAAAGGTGGGAGGTAGCGTTATAAACAATTAAACTAGTGTTCAATTGTTAAAGGCTATTATCATAGCCTTTGACTTTTCAGTCTGTTGAATGATCATTTTGCTTTGCATAGAGCTTGCTATAAAGATTGCTGTGAGAGACAATATTTGGTAGTAAATTAAGAGTTGTGCCACTTTACTAGCTGAGCAATCTTAGGCAAGTTATTTAACCTCTAAGTGCCCTGGTGTCCTCATTTTAAATGGGGTTATCTATGTCCTAGAGTTGTTCAACATATTAAGCAAAGTAATTTATGTAAAGTGATTAGAATGGTCTCTGGAATATAAGTCTGCAATAACTGCTGTTTTTTTTTGAGAGGGGGGGATGGAGTCTCGCTCTGTCGCCCAGGCTGGAATGCAGTGGTGGGATCTCGGCTCACTGCAACCTCCACCACCCAGGTTCAAGCAATTCTCATGCCTCAGCCTCCCGAGTAGCTGGGATTACAGGTGTGTGCCACCACACCTGGCTAATTTTTGTAATTTTAGTAGAGGCGGGGTTTCATCATGTTGGCCAGGCTGATCTCGAACTCCTGACCTCATGTGCTCCTCCTGCCTTGGCCTCCCAAAGTGCTGGGATTACAAGTGTGAGCCACAATGCCCAGCTGGCTCTTCTTATTTTTATTTTTAGTCTATTGAGACAGGATCTCACTCTGTTGAGTGAGTGCAGTGGTGCCATCACGACTCACTGCAGCCTCAACCTCCTGGGTTCCAGCAATCCTCCCACCTCAGCCTCCTGAGTAGCTGGGACCACAGGCACATACCACCATGCCTGGCTAATTTTTAAATTTTTTGTTGAGACGGGATCTCCCTATGTTTCCCAGGCTGATCTGGAACACCTGTGCTGAAGCAGTCCTCCCTCATCGGCCTCCCAAAGTGCTGGGATTGCAGGTGTCAGCCACTGCATCTGGTCTAGTTCTTATTTTTTTATATGGGTTGGAGTTTCTTTTTTTTTTTTCCTTTTTCTTCTTCAATTTTAATATTTTGTCATTTTATTATATTGCATCTCCCACTGAAGACTTGTATATTTCTTGGGGTCTTATTGGAGAGAAATCCTTTTTTTTTTTTTTTTTTCATACAAATCAGACCCAAGGTAGGTTTAGTGTTTGGACTGTAATATGAAGTTTGCTTTTTAATTGTTAAAATAATGATTTTTTTCTTGCATTAAACAATTCTGAAAGTTTTTCTTTTTGTTCACTTGTAGTCAGACACCAAAGAAAGGGGGAAAACTGTAGAATAAGTTATTTTTTTTGACAGTGTCTCACTCTCTGTCTCCCAGGCTGGAGTGCAGTGGTGCAGTCACAGCTCACTGTAGACTCAACCTCCTGGTCTCAAGCAAATCTTTCACCTCAGCCTCCCAAGGAGCTGGGATTACAGGCATGTGCCACCATGCCTGGCTAATTTTTGTATATTTTGTAGAGACAAGGTCTCAGTATGTTGCCTAGGCTGGTCTTGAACTCCTGGACTCAAGCAATCCTCCCACCTCAGCCTCACAAAGTGCTGGGATTACAGGTGTGAGCCACTGCACCTGGCCTAAGTGAAAAAAAATTTTTTATTTTTTGGATACAGAGTCTCTCTCTGTCGCCCAGGGTGGAGTGTGGTGGCATGATCTCAGCTCACTGCAACCTCCCCCTCCAGGTTCAAGCGATTCTCATGCCTCATACTCCCAAGTAGCTGGGATTACAGGTGTGTGCCACAATGCTTAGCTCTTTTTTTGTATTTTTAGTAGAGACGGGGTTTCACTATGTTGGCCAGGCTGGTCTCGAACTCCTGACCTCAAGTAATTCACCTGTCTTGGGCTCCCAAAGTGCTGGGATTACAGGTATGAGCCACTGTGCTGGGCCCCTAAGTGATTTTTTTAAATGGTCAATGTGTGAGCTGTTTTTTCCTTATGGTTTTCTCTGTTCCTTTTCCTTGCCATAAAAGTAAAAATAGATCTGGTTTCCTGGGTTATCACAGCTTTTAACAAAAAGCTTTTTGATAAAATTAGCTGTTGGGTCAGTGGGATGAGATCATTCCTTTCTAAGTAGTGTGAAATGTCCTCTAAGCATTTGTGAGACAAAGGCATGCCAGATAGGCTAACCACACAATAAGCCTAACTCTGTGGTTATGTTTAGGGCAGGAGTGTGAGTTTTCTGTGAAATAGAATACTACTGATATGTAGAAAAAGGTGAAAGGTACTTGGCACAATATGTATGCACTCTGGTTGGCCACGTGTAGAAAGAGATTAGAATGATAAAAGGGCTCAGGATACACTTGATATGAGGGCATAGGCCATCATTATCTTCAGATGTGATTAATTAACTGAAAATTGAGTAGCTCATCTACATTTGGATTAGTGCATCTTTAATTAAAAATTCTTGGCTGGACACGGTGGCTTACACCTGTAATCCCAGCACTTTGGGAGGTTGAGGCGGGCAGATCACCTAGGATCAGGAGTTCGAAACCAGCCTGGCCAACATAGTGAAAAAATCCGTCTTTACTAAAAATACAAAAACTAGCTGGCTGTGGTGGCGTGCACCTATAATCCCAGCTACTCTGGAGGCTGAGGCAGGAGAATCACTTGAACCTCGGAGGCGGAGGTTGCAGTGAGCTGAGATCCTACCACTGCACTCAAGCCTGGGTGACAGAGCGAGACTCCCGTTTCAAAAAAATTAAAAATAAAAATAAAAAAATTCTTAAGGACAGTTTGAAACTGGAGAGAAATCATAATGTACTTTAAAATGGTTAATTGTATGTTATGTAAACTTCACTTCAATTAAAAAAATTAAGGACAGCTGGAAAGAAAACTAATATACTTTTCTGTTTGTACAAAATAAAATGGTAGATTTAAGAAGCTTTAACCAGGGCTTCAACTTTCACATCATAGATACTAACTGTAGAAGCATAGTGCGATAACTGATAGTTAAATAGAAGATAAAAATCCACATGAGGAGGGCATGCCATTTTAAAAAGGAGAGCTATGTGATGCTATTTCCAATACATAGATATAGCTGGACTTACCTTCTTTATCCCTGAGAAACGAAAGCATTCTAAGTTAGCAGAGGAAATGATGATCAGAATGATAATACCTCCTACCTTTTCCCCTTGCTTCCTGATTTGGGATATAGGACAGAAAAGAAATTCTACTTTTAGTTGAGAACTCAGGGATGACTTTGAACAAATATATTTGTTAATCTCCTTGGACTTTTCTCACTTTTAAAATAAGGAGGTTGGATTCAAATGCCCTTTCTAAAGTTTTGTGATTTGGTTGGAAATATTAGATGTGCACATCACCAAGTTACTTTGTTTTGTTTCTGTGTACATGAATAAGCTTTTATTAGACTTGGTCACTGTTGTCTCTCTGTGATCAACAAGGGTAAGTTAGCTTCTAAGAGTACCAGTGGTAGAACTTTAAGATTTGAAGCTTTAACGAGAGTCAGCTAGTTTGCAGTGATTAGAGACTTGTAAGTTAATTGATATACACACTTTTGTCTATATTTATTAAGTTTCTCAGGGGAATTGTAGATTATTTCAGAGTGCAGTTTTAGGTCGTGGATCAGATTTAAGTTGGAAGTAAATAATGGTTATTACTAGAATTTTTTGTTTTTGTTTGTTTTTGAGAAGGAGTCTTTCTCTGTCACCCAGGCTGGAGTGCAGTGCCACAATCTCAGCTCACTGCAACCTCTGTCTCCTGGGTTCAAGCGATTCTCCTGCCTCAGCCTCCTGAGTAGCTGGGATTACAGGTGCCTGCCACCACACCTGGCTAATTTTTTTTTTTTTGAGACGGAGTCTTGCTCTCTTGCCCAGGCTGGAGTGTAGTGGTGCGATCTTGGGCTAACTGCAACCTCCGCCTCCGAGATTCAAGTAATTCTCCTGCCTGAGTCTCCCTAGTAGCTGGGATTACAGGCGCACACCACCATGCCCATCTAATTTTTTTATTATTTTTTTTTAGTAGAAATGCAGTTTCACCATGTTGGCCAGGCCGCTCGCGAACTCCTGACCTCAATTTTCATACATTATTATTAACTAAAGTTCATAGTTTATTTAGATTTCCTTAATTTTTACCTAAATACCTTTTTCTGTTCTAGGATCTCATCTAGGATACCACATTATGTTTAGTTATCATACTTAGCTTTCTCTTGGCTATGACAGTTTCTTACACCTCCCTTGTTTTTGATGACTTTGACAGTTTTGAGGAGTACTGGTCTGATATTTTGTAGAGTGTCCTTCAGTTGGGAGTTGTCTGATCTTTTTCTCATGATTAGACAGAGGTTATGCTTTTTAGAAGGAAGATCACAGAGGTAAAGTGCCACTCTTATCACATTATATCAAGGGTGCATACTATCAAATCATGTCAGCATGATTTATGTCTGTGTGTGTGTGTGTGTGTATGTGTGTGTGTATGTGTGTGTTTTGCTTTATCACTCAAGCTGGAGTACAGTGCTGTGATCACAGTTCACTGGAACCTCCTGGACTCGACTCAAGCTTCCTCTCAACTCAGCTTCCCAAATAGCTGGGACCATAGGCACATGCCACCAAGCCCAGCTAATTTTTTTTTGAGAAAGAGTCTTGCTCTGTTGCCCAGGCTGGGTTGCAGTGGCACGATCGTGGCTTACCGCAACCCTGGCCTCCAGGGCCCAAGTGATCCTCCCACCTCAGCCTCCCGGGTAGTTGGGACTACAGGCACGTACCACCATGCCTGGCTAATTTTTTTGTTTTTTTGTTTTTTTTTGAGATGGAGTCTTGCTCTGTCGCCCAGGCTGGAGTGCAGTGGCGCGACCTTGGCTCACTGTAACTTCCGTCTCCTGGGTTCAAGTGATTCTCCTGCCTCGGCCTCCCAAGTAGGTGGGACTACAGGCATGTGCCACCACACCCAGCTAACTTTTTGTATTTTTAGTAGAGACAGGGTTTCACCATGTTAGCCAGGATGATCTCAATCTCCTGACCTTGAGATCCCCCTACTTTGGCTTCCCAAAGTGCTGGGATTACAGGTGTGAGCCACCGCACCCAGCCTAATTTTTGTATTTTTCATAGAGATGGGGTTTCGCCATGTTGCTTGCCTAAGTTGGTGTCAGAACTCCTGGCCTCAAGTGAACCTCCTGCCTTGGCCTGCCAAAGTGCTGGGATTACAGATGTAAGCCATTGCACCCAGCTGATTTATCACTATTGATATTAGTCTTGATCACTTGGCTTAGGTAGTATTTGTCATATTTCTCTTACCCCCCCCTCCCATTTTCATATTGTACTCTTTAGAAGGAGGTCACTATGTGCTATGCACATGTAAAGGATGAAGGGTTATGTTCTACCTCTTGGAAGTGGAGTATCTTGTTTGGAATTCTTCACTGAAGACTTGCTTATTCTCTCTCATTTATTTATTCAGTCTATTGTTTATATTGTTCCAGCTTTGGTCATTGGGAACTTTTTTAGTTGACTCCTGTGTAATTGAGTTACCCCTATCTTTTTTTTTTTTTTTTTTTTTTTTTTGAGATGGAGTCTTACTCTGTCGCCCAGGCTGGAGTGCAGTGGTACAATCTCGGCTCAGTGCTACCTACACTTCCTGGGTTCAAGCAATTCTCCTGTCTCAGCCTCCCGAGTAGCTGGGATTACAGGCACCCACCATCATGCCTGGTTAATATTTGGGTTTTTTATAGAGACGGGTTTTAATCATGTTGGTCAGGCTGGTCTTGAACTCCTGACTTCAGGTGATCTGCCTGCCTTGGCCTCCCAAAGTGCTGGCATTACAGGCCTGAGCCACCTCGTCCGGCCAACTTACCCCTATCGTTGTTTTTTTTTTTTTATTTTTATTTTTAGCACTTCCTAACTTTCTGGAAATACAAGGTACTTCAGGCTCATCTTGAATATTTTGTTCTCAGTCCTAGAATTAGTCATTTCTCCAAAGAGTCTTGGTTTCTTTATCAGAGAATGGTATTAGAAACCAGCATCTGGGTGTGAGGTATGCTGTTGCTTTACTGGGGTGTCCCCTGAAGATTTTAATTAAACTTCATCTGAGTTTGAAAGGACTGGAAATGCTGTGTTTAAATTTTTTTTTATTTTCTAATTGAGACAGGGTCTCACTGTGTTGCCAAGACTGAAATCAAATTCTTAGCCTTAGATGATCCTCCCACCTCAGCCTTTCAAAGTGGTGGGATTACAGACGTGAGCCACCACACCTGGCCAGAAATGCCATATATATAAAATATATAATATATATTACATGTGAATATGTAATATATAATACATAATATTACATATGAATATATAATACATATATTATATATATATATTTTTTTTTTTGAGATGGAATCTTGCTCAGTTGCTCTGTGCAGTAGGGATCTCGGCTCACTGCAACCTCTGCCTCCTGGGTTCAAGCGATTTCCCTACCTCAGCCTCCTGAGTAGCTGGGACTACAGGTGCATGCCACCACGCCCAGCTAATTTTTTGTATTTTAATAGAGACGGGGTTTCACCGTGTTAGCCAGAATGGCCTTGATCCCCTGACCTCGTGATCCTCCCACCTCGGCCTCCCAAAGTGCTGGGATTACAGGCGTAAGCCACCGTGCCCGACCTACCTCTTTTTACTACGATTTTATTACTACTGGAACTAGATCTTAAAATATCATGTAAGATCTCTGCCATTATACTAGTTGTCTGTAGCTACATGTATGGAATTTTAAACCGTTCAGATTACTACCTTAGGAATCAGTATGCATTCTTGCCTTTTCCATAAAGCAGAGGTGTCAGGACCAAGCTTTTCAGGTCATTGACAAAACTGAAAAAGGAGTTAGTGATTATTGCTTCCTAGGGAAGTAAGACTTAAAAAAATATGCATTTACTTATTTATTTATTTAGAGACAGAGTCTCGCTCTGTCACCCATGCTGGAGTTCAGTGGCGCCATCTCGGCTCACTGCAGCCTCCGCCTCCTGGGTTTTAAGCATTCTCATGCCAGCCTCCCGAGTAGCTGGGATTATGGGTGTGCACCACCACGCCTGGCTAATTTTTGTATTTTTAGTAGAGACAGGGTTTTACCATGTCGGCCAGGCTGGTCTTGAACTCCTGACCTCAAGTGATCTGCCCGCTTTGGCCTCACAAAGTGCTGGGATTACAGGTGTGAGCCACCCCACCTGGCTTATTTAATTTTGAGACAGAGTCTCACTCTGTTGCCCAGGCTGGAGTGCAGTGGCACAATTTCGACTCACTCATCCTCAACTTCCCAGACTCCAGTGATCCTCACACCTCAGCCTCCCAAGTAGCTGGGACTACAGGTGTGTGCCACCACAACCAGCTAACCTTTTTTGTATTTTTTATCGAGGCAGGGGTTCACCATGTTGCCCAGGCTGGTCTTGAACTCCTGGGCTCAAGCGATCTGCCCGCCTCGGCCTCCCAGTATGCTGGGATTACAGACCTTTGCCACGGTGCCTGACCAGAAGTAAGACATTTTGGATGTGTGAATGAAGTTCTGATTATGTTCTAAAGGAATTACCACTAGTTTTGTGGTACCTTTTTTTTTTTTTGAGAAGGAGTCTCACTCTGTTGCCTAGGCTGGAGTGCAGTGGCGCAATCTTGGCTCACTGCCACCTCCGCCTCCTGGGTTCAAGCAGTTCTCTGCCTCAGCCTCCTGAGTAATTGGGACTACAGGCGCCGGCCACCATGCCCAGCTAATTTTCGTATTTTTAGTAGAGACGGGGTTTCACCATCTTGGCCAGGCTGGTCTGGAACTCCTGACCTTGTGATCCACCTGCCTCACCCTCCCAAAGTGCTGGGATTACAGGTGTGAGCCACCGTGCCCAGCCATTTTGTGGTACTTTTGTTTTCCATTTCTCTCCCTCTCACACCTTTCCTGTCTACTGACTTTGTGATTTAGTTAAACCAAGCCACTAAAACCCAGCCAAAATTCTACTACCAATAAGAAATGTTTAGAGTTGATGTTGATTTAAATAGCTTTAGTGCAGCTGTGTCGTACTTAAACTCCTGCAAATTTCCCTCCCCCCCCAGAGATGGTGTCTTGCTTTGTTGCCCATGCTAGAGTACAGTGGTGCGATTTTGGCTCGCTACAACCTCCGCCTCCTGGGTTTGAGTGATTCTCCTGCGTCAGCCTCCCAAGTAGTTGGGACTATAGGCGTGTGCTACCACACCTGGCTAATTTTTGTGTTTTTAGTAGAGATGAGGTTTCACTATGTTGGCCAGGCTGATCTCAAACTCCTGGCCTCAGGTGATCTGCCCACCTTGGCCTCCCAAAGTACTGGGATTACAGGCGTGAGCCACAGTGCCTGGCCCCTGCAACGTTCTTGAAGTTAAAGTGAGTGAAGTTGGTCTTGATTAAGAACTTATGCTGCAGATATTGTGTGAATGGGTATCTACAGAGGCAGTTATTTCTCAGCTCCAGTATATTGTTGCTAAGTGGAAATACATAGTCATGGCCTGATCTTCGGATTTTTTATTTTTTTGAGACAGGGTCTTACACTATCACCCAAGGCTGAGGTGCAGTTCCGCAATCATGGCTCACTGCAGCCTTGACCTCCCGGGCTCAAACGATCCTCCCATTTTAGTCTCCTGAGTAGCTGGAACCACAGGTGCATGCTCGGCTAATTTTTTTTATTTTTTGTAGACACGGAGTTTCACTGTGCTGCCCAGGCTGGTCTCGAGCCCCTGGGCTTAAGGGATCCTCCCATTTCAGCCTCCTAAAGTTCTGGGATTACAGGACTGAGCCAACGCGCCTGGCCCTGTTTTTTAAAAAAGCTGTAAAACTGTATTTTCATTCAAAGATTACTGATTTTGGAGATATTGGCCATTTTTCAAAACACTATATGGGCCACTGCACCAAGGGGCCTGTTTGACCTAGGTTTGCACTCTGAACTGGTGCTTCTCTTGTGGGTTCAGTGAGTATTCATTTTGGGGAGGGAACTCTGGGCTTGGTGGGAGTTGGGAGATGTTTGTCCTAATTGTAGCTTTGTCTCTAGTTTTCTAGATGGCTTTTGGCAAAGGGAAACCACTTTGGATCTCTCTTTTCTGAGTTTTAAAATTTGAGAGTAAACTGGAGAATTTAAGGTTCTCCCTTACTCTTTTTTATTTTACATGTTCATACATGTATTTACTTGAGCTGTGAAACAATGACCATTTATGAGTTGGAGACTTCAGGAAGTCTTACTAGTCTTAAGTGCTTTGGGAATAGAGGAGACTATTATGTTTTCTCTAGATACACTTTTTTCTAGGCTACAGAAGATTCTCACCTGCTTTTTGGACTCTTGGCATACTTGCCGCCTCTAATCATTATCTGGCAGATGTGTACATAGTAATGGGTGATGCATATGTTTCTGTTTTTTCAAGCAAATTGATTCTAATTTGATGAAAGCTGTATTGATATGTAGGGTTTTTGGGGGGTAGTCGTGGTGATGGGTAGAAATAGTAAAGCTGACAGTGACAGTATTTTCTTAGTTATGGAGAACATTTTAATACTTTATTTCATTATTTTTAGTTTGAACTAATTAATTGTTGGTGGTTCTATATGGAAATAATGATGTAGGTGGGTGTTCATCACTTAAAATCAACTGCATAAGATAATGGCATAACTTAATTACTGTAACAGCAAAAATGAAATCTGAGAAACTTCTGAAATTTAGTCTTTTATTAATTTGAGATAAGATTTATTTGGAGATAAGATTTCAGACTTCCTTTTATCAGACAGGTGGTTTTATAGGAAGATTAAGATTCTTCTAGAAAAATCTTAAAGACAAGGGAAATAAGTTTTTCTTACACTCTAACCATATATTCACTTGACATATAGTGTTTTTGTAAAAATATATTCGTTTCTTACATCTTCAGAATAAAGCATCTTGATGTAATGTGATTTACTAAGAATCATACCTCTCTGTCCTGAAGGCCAATCTAAATTGCTGTTTTGTATAGATTGCCAATTTTTAAAAGAGAAACTGTTGTATTTGAGTGGGATGTAATAAATATGAGCGTTTATGATGTAGTCTCTTGTGGGAATGTTTATTTACAAGTAATTTAAGCCTCTGTGAGCCTGACAAGGCAAACTCAATCTTAAATCCTTGATTAAGTGGAAGTATAAACTGATGGAATAATAGGCAAGCAGGATTTATGTTTACATGGTAATTGCAACAATTTTGGCCAAAACATTTGGCCTAATAGTCACTAATTTTGATCCTTTATGTTCATTAGCTGAAATTGTATATGTAGTAGTTTCTTTGTAAGGTAATACAAAGCAGTAAGGACACAGGAGAAGAGTATATTTAAAAGAAATTTCTCTTCAGATGTATAGACTTTGCTTTATAGTTCTAATGACAATAGTCCAGGAGCCTCTAAGTCAGCATATTATTATTATTGTTATTATTATTATTATTATTATTATTATTATTATTTTTGAGGCAGAGTTTCGCACTTGTAGCCCAGGCTGGAGTGCAGTGGTACGATCTCGGCTCACTGCAACCTCCGCCTTCCAGGTTCAAGTAATTCTCCTGCCTCAGCCTCCTGAGTAGCTGGGATTATGGGTGTGCACCACCACGCCTGGCTAATTTTTGTATTTTTAGTAGAGACAGGGTTTTTACCACGTCGGCCAGGCTGGTCTTGAACTCCTGACCTCAGGTGAGCTGCCCGCCTTGACCGCCCAAAGTGCTGGGATTATAGGTGTGAGCCACCACACCTGGCCAAGTCAGCATATTATTTCTTCTTGTAAAAAGATGTCATGGTGGCTCATGCCTGTAATCTCAGCACTTTGGGAGGCTGAGGTGTGCAGATCACCTGAGGTCAGGAGTTGGAGATCAGCCTGCCCGGTGTGGTGAAAACCCGTCTCTACTAATAATACAAAAATTAGCTGGGCATGGTGATGCACGCCTGTACTGCCCGCTACTTGGGAGGCTGAGGCATGAGAATTACTTGAACCCAGGAGGCAGAGGTGGCAGTGAGCCGAGATCGCACCATTGCACTCTAGCCTGCATGACAGAGACTCTGTCTCAAAAAAAAAAAAAAAAAAGTGTGTAGGTATGTATACCTAATAAAATTAGCGCTTTCTAAAAATGCAGTGCTTGTCATTTACTATTAAGTCAAGCCATATGAAATCACATTTTGTCAGTAAATAAATGTTCAGATATCCACAATCTTATACAGTTCTAATAGATACTCAAGAAATTTTGTCGACATGAAGAGAGTCAAATCATAAAATGGTAGACTGAAAAAGAACTTCGTGGAGAATTCTTTTCTTTTTGCAAACAGAGGTGACTGGGAGGTCGAGGCTGCAGTAAGTCATGGTCATGCCACTGCACTCGAGCCTGGACACCAGAGTGAGACCCTGCTTCAAAAAAAAAAAGAAAAAGAAATGATTGCACTGCCTTTTTTTGGTTTTGGAACAAATATTGTGATAATAACTTTTACTTATAAATGTAGCACAGAAATCTTTTACTTTGTAAAAGTCCCTGAATAGAAAGTCAGGAGACCTGTTTCTCCTACCAACTAGTATAATTTTTGGAAAGCTCATTGTTCATCAGTTTCCTTATTTGTAAAATGAGGATGTTAGATATGTAAGATCTCTGTATTAATTAGGATAGTTGATGCTAACTCTTTAACATAACTAGCATTTCAGTGACTTAACACAATAATGGTTTATTTCTTGCTCACGTCATAGTGTGAGTGTTTAGCCTGTGGCTGTCATGTAATTGAGGAATTTCAACTCCTTCCATCTGGTGTCTTGGAGTCTCCTGCTGGATTCTTTGTATTTAGTTGGTTGATAGCAAAGAGCACCAGCAAGCAGAATTTCATCAAGTGCTTTGTAGTGAAGCATAATTCTTCAGCTCACATTGCACTGTCTAGAACCCACTCACATGGTCTCAACTTCTAACTCCAAGGGAAATAGGAAATGTCTTTCTGAGCACCCAGGGAGAAGAAACAGAATCCCCATCTTTGCCACGGTCCCTTTCATTTTGTACATTTTTAAAATTTTTTTATTTATTATTTTTTTTAAAGACAGAGTCAAACTCTGTTGCCCAGGCTGGAGTGCAGTGGTGTGATCTCAGCTCACTGCAACCTCTGCCTCCCAGGTTCAAGCGATTCTCCTGCCTCAGCCTCCCGAGTAGCTGGGACTACAGGCACGCTCCACCACGCCCAGCTAATTTTTGTATTTTTAGTAGAGACAGGATTTCACCATGTTGGCCTGGATGGTCTCGATCTCTTGACCTCATGATCCACCTGCCTCGGCCTCCCCAAGTGCTGGGATTACTGGCGTGAGCCACTGCACCTGGCCCATTTTTTGATTCTTTATTCACACCCAAATACTTTCTCCTGTTGCATATTGCTTTTTGTATCTTTGGTTACTCTGAATTTACTTCCAAATTTCTTGGAAGGAGTTTAGTATTGCAAGTCAAAGCAGCCCTTTGGTGCTTGCTATGTTTAGGAGAGGGTCTCCCCCCAACCCCTGCCATCCCCAGATGAGTATATTTGTTATTTTTGTTAGTAGTTTCATTTGTGGTGTAAGTTTGTCTTTTATATTGTCATGGCTTGCTTAGTTTTAAATGATTAAAAATACATCAATTGCAAAAATCTCCCAGTGCTTGTATAAGAAAAACAATAGAATATTGAACACAGCCAACTTCAGAGGGAAAGTCATTGTCTACCATGTTCAGTCTAGCAGCCTGCTAGCAGAAGGGAAAACAGACAAACCTTATACTGTCTTTTAAAGGTCAGCACATGCAGACTTAGAGACCAATAGAGAAACACATTCCAGTGAGCAGGCAAAGTTCTCTTTGACTTCTGCCCACTTAAGAGTAAACTCAGAGAGTCAGCAAAAGTCTTTCAGTTGATTTCAGCTGCTGTTTTGGAGTCATCTCCATCTTTCCGAAGCCTCCTTCTCTTTTCTCCTTTTTTGTTCTTTCTTGATACATTATATTGTACATGTTCATTTGTATGTAAATACAAAATATCCTTCTTTATGGATCCATCTTATGTTGGTAAGTTTGATGAGAGTGTTCTAATTCTAAGCCTTGTCTCCTTAAAATATATAATTATCTCAGAATAATGCCATAGTTCAGTTTGCCTTATGTTTGGATTAGTACTTTCTTGTGTAGTTCTCTTTCAGTAAACTGCTCCCCTCCCCTGTTTTTAATTGCACCTTTTTTCATATACCATTTGCACCACATGTCTAAGTCATTGGTCTTTTTAAATTACACTATGGAAAGGTTAATTTTGGACAGAGTTGTTTCTAGATCCTAGTGCATTATCGTCATCCTAGGATTGCATTTCATTTCTCTTGTAGGCTAATGGTACTATTTTTTGGATATTGCAGCTTTAATAGGATGCTGTGTTCATTTTTCATTTCCTGGAGTCTGTGCTGAAGTTCATTTTCAGAAAGAATGCCTGGAAAATAAATTTTTTTTTTTCCCCCCTGAGATGGAGTGTCACTCTGTTGCCCAGGCTGGAGTGCCGTGGCGCAATCTTGGCTCACTGCAACCTCTGCCTCCCGGGTTCAAGTGATTCTTCTGCCTCAGCCCCCTGAGTAGCTGGGACTATAGGCGCATGCCACCACGCACAGCTAATTTTGTTGTGTTTTTCGTAGAGACGGGGTTTCACCATGTTGGCTAGGATGGTCTCCATCTCTTGACCTTGTGATCCGCTCGCCTCAGCCTCGCAAAGTGCTGGGATTACAGGCATGAGCCACCACGCCCAGCCAATAATTTTTTTTAAATTGTGTGTTTGAATTTCCCATTTTAGCCTTCACTTAATGGATGAGTTGGCTGTAAAAATCTAGCTTCAAAATAGTTTTTCTCAGTTTTAAAGGCATCACTTCATTTTTTAAAAAAAATCATTTAGTGTTACAATTAGAAATAAGCCCATCTGTTTCTTGTAAGTTGGTAAGTACTGCTGAGGGGAATTTCCCTCCCTCCCTTCTTGCCACCTTGCCGAGGCTGTATTCAAATTCCTGGGCTCAAATGATCCTCCCACCTCATCATCTTCTTTTTGCTTTTCTTTTTTCCTTCTTTTGTCCCTGTCTCTCTACTCTCTCCATTGTCTGTTCGTTTTCTTCATCTGCCTCTGTGATCATGAAAATATTCGCCATGTTATTGTTTACCGTTCACATTTAGGGCTGCCATCCACCTGGAATTACTTTTTGTATATACTGTGAGGTAGAGCTCAAAATATCCAGTTGACCCAGCACCACTTATTGAAAAGACAGTTAATTCCCCCACTATTTTGCAGTGTCACATTTGTCAGATATTAAGTATCCATATGCATGTGGTTCCGTTTCAAAACCATTTTTTTGCATTGGCCTCTTGTTTTGTTTTGTTTTGTTTTTCCATATGTTCAGCACACCAAGTACATTGGCCTCTTTCTTGGTGATTGTGCAGGTACCACAATGTTTTCATTACTATATTTATGTATTTTTAGTTTCAAACATATGACATTGCCATAGGTTAGAAACTCATCAGTTTTCAGCATTTTCACATGGTTCAATCCATCAGTAAGTTTTGATATCCAGTAGTTTAAGTTCCTCTAAGTTTGTTCTCAAAGATTATCTTAGCTGTTCTTGACTTTTTAAATTACTATGTAAAACTTAGGATCAACTTTTCAGTTTGATTTGAAAAGAAAAAACCTACTGGACTTTGCTTGGGGTTATGTTAAATCTATAGATTAGGCCGGGCGTGGTGTCTCACGCCTGTAATCCCAACACTTTAGGAGGCCAAGACAGGTGGATCACAAGGTCAGGAGTTTGAGAACAGCCTGGCCAACATGGTGAAACCCTGTCTCTACTAAAAATACAAAAATTAGCCGGATGTGGTGGCGCACGCCTGTGGTCCCAGCTATTCAGGAGGCTGAGGCAGGAGAATTGCTTGAACCTGGGAGGCGGAGGTTGCAGTGAGCCAAGATCATGTGCCACTGCACTCCAGCCTGGGCAACAGAGTGAGACTCTGTCTAAAAAAAAAAACAAAAACAAACAAAAACTATAGATTAGTTTGGGGATAGTTGATACCTTTAAAATATCATAAAACCTTAAAATAAAATAAAACCTTATAGGTTTTTCCTAAAAGCACTCCCTTAGTAAATCACTTGTACAAAAATCCGTGCCTCAGATTCTACATCTAGTAAACTGATTCTAAAACACCTTCCTAACAAGGGGGAGTGTGATGTCTTTCTATTGTTAAGTTGTATTAATCCTGTGTTGCATTTCATTTCAGTGAATTTTATCTTGAATGGATTAGGTAGATTGTTGATTAATTCAGTGACCCTCAATTGTGGGTGCCTCTCGGACTCAACTTTAATGAGATTTCTCTGTGTCATGATTACCCTTACTGCAAGAAAACCAACAACACTGAGATTTTTGGTGCAGTAGCACATGCTTCTAGTCTCAGCTACCTGGGAGGTTGAGGCTGGAGGATCGCTTGAGCCCAGGAGCTTGAAGCTGTAGTGTACAATGAGCACACCTGTGACTAGCCAATGCACTCCAGCCTGGGCAACATAGTGTGACTTGTCTCTAAAAAAAACAAAACAACAACAACAAATAATACTCATATTGCTTAACCCTGTCCCTGAACAATTCTGATCCAGCGTGTTTTTTTTGTTTTTTTAATACTTTTAATTCAGATTTTTACTTGTATTTCAGGTAAAATATTAAAAGTTATGTTACTAATAACTTGAAAGATCTCTTCAACTTTTGCTGTTCAATTTTCATTTAATAATGATATTCCCCCCCTCCTTTTTGAAAGCATCTGTAAGATATTAGGTCAAAGTAAGGCCTTTGCCACGACTACAAAATGCTTGTTAAGTACTCCCATAGAGTTTGTATCTTCTCCTTCTTGCTCAGAAAAGCTGAGCTACTCTACCCTTAGTCGTGCCTAGAACCAATACTTAGAAGAACTATGAGGGTGCTTCCAGCTGTGCAAACATCAACCCCAGCAAGAGAAGGCTGGTATGGTATGGAGCAGAGCGCACCTAGCAGGACAAATGTGCATTTAATGAGAGCCTGTGAGGTTTCAAGTTTATTATATTTAGATGTCCAGGATAAAAGGTGAGAAAGATGCTATCCTAGCCATCGAGGAACTCAAGCGTTAAGGGGAACTCTGGGTGGGACACACATTGTAAATAAACAATTACAAGGGTGGGCATGGTGGCTCACACCTGTAATCCCAACACTTTGGGAGGCTGAGGCAGGCGAATCACTTGAGGTCAGGAGTTCAAGACCAGCCTGACTAACATGGTGAAACCCTGTCTCTACTAAAAATACAAAAATCTCCGTCTCAAAAACCCCACAAAAAACAAAACAAAACAAAAATTATAGAATTGGCAGCACAAATTCCTATGTCCTCTTCTACCTTCCACTTTTCTTTATTTTCACTGATATAAAATAGAGTGAAACTTCACTTTGCTTAATGGGAGAAGTTTTTCTTTTGTTATCTATTATTTTCAAGACAGGGCCTCACTCTGTAGCCCAGGCTGGAGTGCAGTGGTGCTATCACGGCTCACTGCAGCCTTGAACTTCCTCTGCTGAAGTGATCCGTCCACCTCAGCCTCCCAAGAGCTGGGACCACAGGTGTGCAGGCTAATTTTAAAATGTTTTCTGTGGAGACGCAGTCTCAACTGTGTTGCCCAGGCTGGTCTTGTACTCTTGGGCTCAAGCAGTTTTCCTGCCTCAGCCTTCCAGAATGTTGGGATTATAGGCATGAACCACCATGCCCAGCCAAAAGAGAGTTTTTTCTTTAATAAAATAGTTCTCAAAAGCTAAGAGCTGATCAAGTATGAATATTCTTCCTTTCTTCCAATCTCCTCAGCACTAAGTCATCCTAAAGTTACATGATATGCTTATTACTTTCTGACAGATATATGAGCTGATAACTATAGAGATTTAATATTTTAATAATTATAAAGTTTTAATATTTATATGATCATATTAACATGATGGTAGTGGCTGATATCTTTCTCTCTTTCTCTCTCTGTCCCTCAGAGATGTGGTCTCACTTTCTCGCCCAGACTGGAGTACAGTGTTGTAATCATAGCTCACTGCATCCTCAAGCTCCTGGGCTCAAGGAATCCTACTGCCTCAGCCTCCTGAGAGGCTGGCACTACAGGCACACACCACCATGCCCAGCTAATTAAAAACATTTTTTTTTGTAGAGATGGTGTCTTGCCATCTTGCCCAGGCTAGTCTTGAATTCCTGGGCTCAAGTGGTCTTCCTGCTTTGGCCTCCCAGAGTTCTGGGATTACAGGTGTGAGTCACCATGCCAGGCCAGTAACTGGTCGACCATCTTGAATATTTGTTTTTGCCACATTGCATCATGTCATGCTTTTCTAAAAGCAGAGAGAGCTATTTTTATTGCTATGCCTAATAATGATAAGATGACCAGCATGGAGAGCTGGTTCGTACGGTTACTCCTTACTGGCTTTCTTTCTATAATTCCAGACAACATGCTTGCTCTTGTACAAACTGTGTTTAGAAAGTGGAAGAAAATAGGTGAATATTCTTTTTTATTTTTATTTTTTTGAGACAGAGTCTCACTCTGTCACCCAGGCTGGAGTGCAGTGACACGATCTTGGCTCACTGCAACCTCCACCTCCCAGGTTCAAGTGATTCTCCTGCCTCAGCCTCTCGAGTAGCTGGGACTACAGGTGCACACCACCACGCCCGGCTAATTTTTGTATTTTTAGTAGAGAGGGGTTTCACCTTGTTGGCCAGGATGGTCTCAATCTCTTGACCTCATAATCCACCCACCTCAGCCTCCCAAAGTGCTGAGTGCTGGGATTACAAGCATGAGCCACCACACCTAGCCAAGGTGAATATTTGTAATTGGTGATAACCTTTCAGCCTTGAATCTGTTTATTCTTTTTCTAGTTGTGAAGAGTTTTTGTAATTTTGGAACTTCTGATTAATTTCAAATTAGATTCAATTTCTAATAACTTTCATCGTGTCATTTTAGAAATGTGTTTTTAGCCCCTTGTTTTGTTGGTTTTTATCATTTTGGCCTGTCTCCTCTGTAGTCTACTAGGAACAGAGAAGGTGTGCACATCACTTTGATGTGGTCCTCTCTTCTGGGACCCAGCAGTTTACAGGAGCTGGTATATACAACTAACTACAGTGGGGGGTCCCCAACCCTCGGTCTGTAGATTGGTACCAGTCCATGGCCAGTTAGGAACTGGGCTGCACGGCAGGAGGTGAGCAGCAGGTGAACAGCATTACATTAACTTTGCGATAAGTGTGCCTGAGTTCTGCCTTCTGTCAGATCAGCAGTGGTTTTAGATTATCATAGGAGCGCAAACCCTATTGTGAACTGCACATGCGATGGATCTAGGTTGCATGCTCCTGTGAGAATCTAATGACTGATGATCGGAGGTGGAAGAGTTTCATCCCGAAACCATCTCCTCCCTCTCACCCCTCCTGCTATCTGTGGAAAAATTGTTTTCCACGAAACCTGTCCCTGGTGCCAAAAGGTTTGGGGACCACTGAACTACAGTATAGATCAGACTCTACTGTTACAAGTACAGATGATGTATTAGTTCTGAATACTACTGGGAGAAAGATTCTAAAAAGCAGTCACAGAAAAGGTGGTAAGACAATTTATGTGGACCTTGATTTCAAGACTTTCACAAATGAGGAGGGAGAGAAGATAACTTCAAGTTTGGAGAGCAAATGAGCATAGGGTGTACAGTGATAATGTAAGATGGTAGATGGTCCCATGTGACTAAATTGTAGGGAGACCCTACATGGAAAGCTGCTGATGATTATGGTGGGTGATAGGACTGAGTCTTGTCAGTCAGCCTTGATATTACACGTAAGAGTTTGGATTTACAAAAAAAAAAAAAAAGAAAAAAGAAAAAGACATCTAGGCATTGGGGTCCCTTTAAAGATCAGGTGGAATGTTTTCCTGATGTTCAGGATTCTTCCTGCCTGCCTCCCTCCTTGCAGAAGAAAAGATAGGTAGGTATAAGTAGTAGGTAGGTAAAGGTATGTATAAGCAGGTATAATTCAAAAGGTATATGAAGTACAGCGAAGTCATTGTGTTAGATAAAAGCAGAAACTACAAAACTGTAAGGTTTTGCTTATTTTGTCACGCTCTGCTTCTGTTTTTGGTGTTCTGTGGCTCTTTTCGCCGATCCTTTGTCTCAGCCTCATTTGTAAGTGACTTGTTTTTTCCATTTCTCATTTTTTTTTCCATCTATTAAAGTGAGGGGATTGGATCCTAGATCAGTTCAACTGGTGTAAGCCTTTAGAGCCAGGCATGGTGGCTCATGCCTGTAATCCCAGCACTTTGGGAGGCCAAGATGGGTGGATCACTTGAGGCCAGGAGTTTGAGACCAGTCTGGCCAACATGATGAAACCTCGTCTCTACTGAAGATACAAAAATTAGCCAGGCATGGTGGTGTGCATGCCTGCAATCGCAGCTACTCAGGAGGCTGAGTTAGGAGAATCACTTGAACCCAGGAGGCGGAGGTTGTAGTGAGCTGAGATCATGCCACTGCATTCTCCAGCCTGGGCAACAGGCCAAGACCCTGTCTCAAAAAAAAAAAAAATGCCTTTAGAATGTGGTTAGAAATAATTTTTGGATTGGTATAGATTAACTCTGAATGTTTTCCTGTGTTAGAGGAAGGAAGTGGGATAAATGTAAAGTTTAAAAAAAATGCTCCTTTTTCAAAATTTTGAGGGGTTAGGTATTAAGAATCTTTTAAAGTTTTACTCATTTAAAAAATTTAGATAAAATGGAAGATTCATTCTTAAGGTTGGTGATATCAGAAATGTAAGTGCTGTGTCATTGTCATTTCTTATTTTGGCCTACATAACCGTAACCAGACTTCAGACATCATGCTGCCTGTATCACATGGCTAACAGTGGGAGGTATCTGGTGTGTTCTTCCTGGAGAAATAGATTGAAATTCATTTGGACAGAAATGTTGAAGGCAGGTGCCTGATCCAAAATGCATTTAGTCAGGACTGAACACAAGCTGCCTGGATAGTTCCTGTAAGTAAGCAAGGTAGCCTTTTAACTTTGTGATGCAAGGTTTTATGTATGTGAGTATGTGTGTGCAAGTGTATACAGTATTTTTATATCCAGAGAACAGGGCTCCCTTAAATGGGGGGTGGGGGGGACTCTGGTAACTACATGAAAGTAAAATATAACTTCTTTAAACCTATATCAGTGTGTTCTTTCATGTAGGAATGTAGCTGTGTGATGGCCTCAGCTATTCTAGTAATCAAGGGCTCTCTGCTGTTGCTAATCCTATGATGAACAGGACAAATGGTGGTTACGAACAGAACCCTGTCAAGCCTGGAAATTCCATCAGTTTGTAATAGCACAGCTGTTGTCCTTGAACTGTGTAGGGAGGAACCTAGGGGTGGACAGTTAATATATTCTTCAGGGGGGTTGTAGTTTATTGCTCAGGATAGTCAAGATCTTCCTCAGTTGTCTGTTGCTATCTGCAAGTCTGGTTTGGAGGAGAAGCAGGAGAAATTCAGATTTGTCTGAGGAATCATATGTGTCTGTGAACTGTGTAAGTTGGTAGTTGATTCCTGTAGACATCCTTGCTAAAGATTTATTTTTAAGTAAAATATCATTTTGCTTGAAAGTATAAATCAAGGTTTTGTGGTTAAATAAATTAAAAACAGCACAGCTGCCAGACAAAGTTCAGCTTGATGTATAACAGGCCTCTGAAAGAAGTTCAGTAAGAAACAAATCTGGGTAATAAAGTTAATTAGTAACTAAAAACCTGCTAGGCATACTAAAAAAAAATCTGATGTTGAATATTAAATTATTATGAAGCAGGCTATACCTGTATCCATCAAGATTATAAATGATCTCCCACACTGGCGACGTGGGGTTCCTTTCAAGCCTGAGGAATGAGCACTATATTTTGGCCACAGCATTCTCACTAATGTCCTAGGATAGCAGCTTAGTGTTGGCTTTAGAATTCTCTGTCATTTAAATGTCATGCAAAAACAAACGTATAAAAGAAAACATTAACCCAGATATCTTTATGGTTCCTTGTCTTGTCCATAACCGCCCCCGCCCCCACCCACCCAAAAAGGACAGGCTATCAGTTATAGAGAAAATATAAGTGAGCATTATAAGCAGTATCCTACCTTTAGTAATAATTATTTAAAGTTTATTAAATGGGTTGTTTGGAACTCAAAATGATTTGCCTCAAAGTAGCCTAGGTCACTGAGAAGAAAGTTTATTTCTTTCTGCTGAAACTGACAGGAGGCGATATTTTGAAAGATAGCAAGCTTGTCTTTGGCATGGTATTAACTCCCTTTCTTTTGCCTCCTAGGGCTCCTGGGCCTGTATACCCTTTCCCTACTTTGATACCATATCTATATCTGCTTTATTCCCTGAAAGTTCCCATGTTGCCATAATATTTTTCTTCCTTTTTCACACCAGAACCAAGAACTCAGACATCTTCAATAGAACCATCTCTGGGATGAACAATGGTCTTTCCAGGGATGTACATTTTCTTACCCACTTTTAAATTAAGAAATAGGATTCTATACTTTTAAAAAGAGAATGCTGGCTACTGCAAATGAATGTCGGTAGAAATTTGGCTAATGTGACACAGTAAAATGAAGGTTTCCTAACACAGTGGTTAGGAAAAGTGAGTATGATGGTGGGAATCAGGCTTCTGTTCTTGCTTTTTTTTTTTGAGTCAGGGTTTCACTCTGTTGCCCACGCCGGAGTGCAGTGGTGCAATAGTGGCTCACTGCAGCCTCAACCTCCTGGGCTCAATCAGTCCTCCCACCTCAGCCTCCTGAGTAGCAGGGACTACAGGCATGTGCCACCATGCCTGGCTAATTTTTACATGTTTTTGTAGAGATGGGGTTTTGCCATTTTGCCCAAGCTCTGTTCTAGCTTTTCATGAGTTTTTTCCCTGCATTTTAGCTCCCATAGTAGCACCTTTCAAGGGGTGAATAGAAGAGGACAGAGACAGCAACAGGCCATTGGTAAACCAGATTGCCAATTTCTCATCAGACAGAATGAGCACAGACCCCGAGTGAGTGGCTCTAGATGCGAATGACCTAAAATTTTCAGGAGGACTTCATGGAGCTTAAAAGGTTCTTCAGAACTTCTGTGTAATTAAGTTAGATATTAACACTGTTTAATCTGTATAGACCTGTAAAATATTTTTAGTACAGTAATTAATTCCAGAGTTTGTGAACTATCCAAAGTAAAGCATACAACAAAGTACTGTGGCCTCATCATATATCCTTATTTCCTGTTTATGAGCACCTAGCTCTTAATAGTGAGATTGTAGTCAAGAGAGTATTTTATCATCATGCCATGTAGTTGCCTCTTGCCTTAGTTTACCTATTTTAAAAAACCCGGCTCACTAATAGTTTCACTTCAGGCATGTCATCAGAATGAAAGATCAGATATACAAAGTGCTGTGCTTGAAAACTGTGTGTTCCCTTAGTGCCTGGTTAGATAATACAGGGCTTATTTTCTGGCAGAGTGGTGTTGAGTCTCCTTTGATGTTAGCCAGAACTGGGTGGAGTTTCTTAAGCTCCAGTCAGATTGGCTCAAGCAGGGCACCATGCAGTGGTGAATTTGTTTTCAGTCCCTCCCTTTGCCAAAAAGCTTTTTTTTTTTTTTTTAATAAACCTCAACCCAATTATAAATGAGAATACTTGATATATGAAATAATATGAAATGATAGTTGTTCATATTCACACTGAGGGTCTTAGGGGGTTTATTTATAGCTAACTGAAATGATGCAGCTGAATTACAAGTAGCTGATAGAATAATCAACCTCAGTAAACATTTAACATAACACTCTCATTTTACAGATTAGAGAACTCAGCCCTGAAAGGTGACTCATTCAAGGCCACAGTGAGTGTCAGATTAAACTGGTGCTTCAGTAAAGCATACAGACTTCTGTACCCAGCTTTCAAATTCTCTTGACTCTTACTCACAAATCTATTTAAAGTTAACTTTATTATCTGTATGGATAGAAGAGGAATAGTATAAATGGTCAATTGGTCAGTGAGAGGTTTTTTTTTTAGAGTAAATGCTTCTCATTCACAAGGGTTCATTTTTTGATCCTCCTGAACATCCAGATTTGAAAATAATAGTGTCATATCCTTTTATCCATAAAATATGTAACTAAGCATTTAAGGCATAACCGAATAGTAAGTAACTTCAAGTGATTCTGTGTGAGATGAAATTCATACATGAATTTATTAAAATTAATTTTGGAATACTTGAACCAGTTTAACATCTATAGAGCATTTAAAGAGTGTATTGTACTTATACATGTTTCAGAATAAAATAACTATAAAATTGGATAATCGCTTTAATTTATTGAAAACTGGGGATTTCTGGGAAAAAAAAAACAACAGTACTTTAACTTGAAAGATGACACTAGCATTACCTTTCTAGGATCATTTTCCATAAGGGGGTGTGTGTGTGTATTTTAAAATCATATTCTATTTATGTGGTGACAAGTAAAGAATAGCTTAACTGTTGATGAAATACAGATGCTAAGTGGCTAGCTAGATGTGCTCATAGCTTCATGACCTTCCCACTTTCCAATTGTATAATTTTCTATCAGTTTTACCCTCTTAGGCTGAATTTCAGCTACTGTTCATATTCCATGAACCACATGCAGCCCAGGAAGTCATCTGAGAGTGTGTGGCTGGGGGCGGGGTGGGGGTGCTGAGGGTTGGATAGGGGAAAGATTACAATGGATAAAAGCTGCCCTTTGATAATCTGCATTCTGATAAATGATATTTAAAATGTATTGGTGTTTTTGACTGTATTTTTACCCTGTGCCTTAAATGAGGAAAAGATTTGAGTAGATTGCATCTTATGTCATTATGTATTTCTGGGGAAAATTAAATTTTGGATTTTTATGGTATGTTGTTAAGGATGGCACAGATGTCCTTTTAAGTTCTCTTTGACCATGAAACTGATGCAGGATTTTTGCTCCTTAGCTCAACTAGGTCCAGGTTCTTATCTCAGGAGCGGAAGAATTAGGCACGTGGACATCAAAGAGTGAGTGGAGTAGAATCTATTAATCGAAAGGAAAGCTCTTAGCAAAAAGAGAGAACATGGTAGGTGGTTCTACTACCTGAAGACAGGAAAGTTCCGTAATATGGCTGAGCCTGGGGCTCTTTATTGGTTCAGAATGGGAGTGTGTGGTCATTGGTTTGTGAGTATGCAAAAAAGGTCAAAGCGAAGACACCACTCCAAGGTGGGCAGGACAGTGTAGAAAACCAATTAGGAAAGGGTAGGTACAGGTTAAATAGGTGAAGGATGGGGATCAATCATGCCAAACGGGAAGGCAGGTTCTTAATCCGATCTCAGGATTTACCCAGGACAGTTTCCGGATTAAAGTTCGGGTTTCACTGAGGACCCGCCCCTGTCTGCCTAGACATTTGTTTGCCTCTTGCCTCTATCAAAACTAGTTACAGACGTCCTTTTTAGTTTTTGGTTCATAACAGCTCCCAAAGGATAACTACTAATAATAGTTGTCAGAGATAGAATAGGGAAATGGCATAACCGAATAGTAAAAGCAACTGAATAGTTGCTTTTCATGGAACCCTTTGACATTATAATCTGTTAGGCTTTTAAAAGCTCTTTAATGAACTCATTTCTCAGCATTTTCCCTGTCATGATCTGGAGTTACAATAATACTTTATATGTAAAGTAGGCTGGACGAGCATAGAATAGGGCTTCCCACCCACATTCGTCTGTTGTAAATGGGTCACAGGTGTGCCACTACTACTATAGGAACTTTTTTTTTTTTTTTTGAGACGGAGTCTTGCTCTGTTACGTAGGCTGGAGTGCAGTGGCGTGATCTTGGCTCACTGCAGCCTCCACCTCCTGGGTTCAAGCAATTTTCCTGCCTCAGCCTCCTGAGTAGCTGGGATTACAGGTGCATACCATCTAAATAATAAAAATCAGTGCCCAGCTAGTTATTCTGTTTTTGTATTTTTAGTAGAGATAGGGTTTTACTGTGTTGGCCAGGCTGGTCTCAATCTCCTGGCTTCAAGTGATCCACCCGCCTTGGCCTCCCAAAGTGCTGGGAGATTACAGGCTGGGATTACCAAGTCCAGTTCCTACTATAGGAACCATTGAATTCCTATTTATGGTTCCTTCAGAAAAGCTGCTAAATCCTGAATTCGGCAGTGGTTATTCAAATAGTGGAATTTATAATTCCAGTAGTGTGAGATGGCATTTGCTGTGGACAACAGCTCTGTCATGCCACAGGAGCCCCTTTGGCAGCAAAGCTATCAGTTTTTGTCACGAGCCCCACACTACTTGTTTTAGTCAGGATTCTCTTAGAGGGACAGAACTAATAGGATATATCTCCAAAGGAGAGTTTATTAAGTATTGATTTACGTGATCACAAGGTCCCACAGTAGGCTGTCTGCAAGCTGAGAAGCAAGGAGAGCCAATCCGAGTCCCCAAAATGAAGAACTTGGAGTCCGATGTTCGAGGGCAGGAAGCATCCAGCACGGGAGAAAGATATAGGCTGGGAGGCTAGGCCCATCTCTTCATGTTTTTCTTCCTGCTCTATATTCGCTGGTGGCTGATTAGATGGTGCCCACCCAGTTAAGGGTGGGTCTGCCTTCCCCAGCCCACTGACTCAAATGTTAATCTCCTTTGGCAACACCCTCACAGATACACCCAGGATCAATATTGCATCCTTCAGTCCAATCAAGTTGACAGTATTAACATTACAAGTCCACTCCTTGTCAACTTGAACCCATATACATCTGAGATCGTATGTAATCTTAAAATAAAGACAATAATAAGGTCATAATTACACCTAATGTAATAAAACTATCCTTCATACAACCAGAAACACACCAATCCCCAACCCAAATACTATTACATAAAGTTAATAATACTTAAATGCTGTTATGAAATCAATAAATCTTATGTCACATGATAAAGGAAAAGGAAATATAAAGTGAAGATATTAGTACATGTGTATACATACACAAACATGTTTTTAACAAATGAAGGAGGAAATACTCATGGCAGTTACAGTCCTCATTTCTGCAGCTGGTCACGTGGTCATAGCTGGTATTGATGACTACCTTCTTCTACCCATTCTGTATTAACTTTGCCTTCCCCAAATACCTCAGCAGGTCATGGGTTTTTTTCCTGGTGGAGTGATCCAAACCTTCATTCCTGAATGGTCCGGATCATTTGTAGTCCTGCCTGGATTTGGCTGTTGTGGTTTTGCATTGACAGTAATCACAGGGCATGGTAATACGAAGAGATGCCCTAATGGGTCTCATGTATTCCATGCATACTCTTCCTTACTTCCGTTGTGAAGTTGTAGACTGATTTCATCTTGATAGTCTGGGTCAGTCACCTTAGCCAACACTGTAACTCCCCCTCTGAGCCTGTTGACTTAAAGGGAGGAGGAGCCCAAAGTGTCCAGGTGACAATCTTAACTTCCAGTTTAATGGAATCATTGTTGTGTCTCCTGGTGGCAGCATTCTTCCCTCTGGAATTAAGACCTCTAGGCCAGCAGAACATAATGTTGCAGGAGAGGAAGCAAAAATTTTGCTAGTGGATCACTAGGGGTGATGGTGAGTGGTGCCACTTCCAGTTCCACCCCTCGATTCCTGGACCTGTGAATCCTGGCTATGGGAGAAACAGTACCTTATATTGGACGCTGATTCAGAGGATACACGGCCTTCTGGAGGACTTTCCCACAGTTCTGCAAAGTATTGTCACCTAGTTGGCGTTGTAATTGTGACTTCAATAGGCCATTCCACTGTTCTGTCAATCCAGCTGCTTTAGGATGATGGAGAGCATGGTAAGACCAGTGAATTCCATGAGCATGAGCCTACTGCCGCACTTCTTTAGCTGTAAAGTGAGTGCCTTGGTCAGAGGCAATGCTGCGTGGCATACCATGATGGTGGATAAGGCATTCCATGAGTCAGCTGGGTGCGGTGGCTCACGCCTGTAATCCCAGCACTTTGGGAGGCCGAGGCAGGCAGATCACTTGAAGTCAGGAGTTCAAGACCAGCCTGGCCAACATGGTGAAACCCTGTCTCTACTGAAAATACAAAAATTAGCTGGGTGTGGTGGCGGGTGCCTGTAATCCTAGCTACTTGGGAGGCGGAGGCAGGAGAATCACTTGAACCCGGGAGGCGGATGTTGCAATGAGCCAAGATTGTGCCACTGCACTCCAGCCTGGGCAACAGAGTGAGACCCCTTCTCAAAACAACAACAACAACAACAACAACAAACCAAAAAAACATTCCACAAATGGTAGTCTTGGTAGAAGCATTGCATACAGGATAGGCGAACCCATATCCAGAGTAAGTGTCTATTTGAGTGAGGACAATCCTCTGCCCTTTCCATGATGGAAGAGGTCCAATATAATCAATCCGCCACCAGGTAGCTGGCTGATCACCCAAGGAATGGTGACATACTGAGGGCTTGGTGTCGGTCTCTGCTGCTGGCAAATTAGGCACTCAGCAGTGGCCGTAGCCAGGTCAGCCTTGGTGAGTGGAAGTCCATGTTGCTGAGCCCAAGCATTACTTCCATCCCTGCCACCATGGCCACTTTGTTGGCCATGGGCGATGGCAGGGGAAAGAGGCTGAGTGGTGTCCACAAAATGGGTCATCCTATCCACTAGATTATTAAACCCCTCCTCCGCTGAGGTCACTTGTTGGTGAGCACTCACATGGGATACAAATATCTTGTCTTTGACCACTCAGAGAGGTCCATCCACATACCTCTTCCCCAAATTTGTCACCAAGTTTCCAATCATGCTCCTTCCAAGTCCCTGACCAGCCAAACCATTGGCTACAGCCCATGAATGAGTATATAATCACACATCTGGCCATTTCTCCTTCCATTCAAAGTGCACAACCAGGTGCACTGCTCGAAGTTCTGCCCACTGGGAAGATTTCCCTTCATTGTTGTCCTTCAGGGATGTCCTAGAAAGGGGTTGTAGTGCTGCAGCTCTCCACTTTCGGGTGTTGTCTGCATATGATGCAGAACCGTCTGTGAAGCAGGCCCTAATCTTCTTTTCCTCTGTCAGCTGATCATAGGGAACTCCCCATGAGGCCATCAGTGCAGGCTGGGAGAGAGAAGGCAGGGTGGCAGGAGTGGAGGCCATGGGCATTTGAGCCACTTCCTCATGTAATTTACTTGTGCCTTCAGGACGTGCTTGAGCCCGATCACGTATATACCACTTCCATTTGATGATGGAATGCTGCTGTGCACAATCCACTGTATGGCTAGATGGGTCTGAAAGCACCCAGCTCATGATAGGCAGGGCAGTTCAGGTCGCATGGTGACTTGATGACCCATAGTCAAACATTCAATTTCCACTAAAGCCCAGTAACAGGCCAAGAGCTGACTCTCAAAAGGAGAGTAGTTAGCTGTAATCAGCACTTTGGGAGGCTGAGGTGGGCGGATCACAAGGTCAAGAGATCGAGACCATCCTGGCCAACATGGTGAAACCCCATCTTTACTAAAAATACAAAAATTAGCTGGATGTGGTGGCACGCACCTGTATTCCCAGCTACTTGGGAGGCTGAGGCAGGAGAATCGCTTGAACCTGGGAGGTGGAGGTTGCATTGAGCCGAGATCGCACCACTGCACTCCAGTTTGGCAACAGAGTGACACTGCGTCTCAAAAAAAAAAAAAAAGGAGAGTAGTTATCTGTAGAAGATGGCAGGGCCTTGCTCCAAAATCCTAGAAGTCTCCATTGCGATTCACCTATGGGAGCCTGCCAAAGACTCCAAACAACATCCCCATCTGCCACTGACACATTAAGCACCATTGGATCTGCTGGGTCATATGGCCCAGGTGGCAGAGCAGCTTGCACAGCAGCCTGGACCTGTTGCAGAGCCTTCTCCTGTTCTGGACCCCACTCAAAACTGGCAGCCTTTCAGGTCACTCAGTAAATGGGCCGGAGTAATACACCCAAATGAGGAACGTGTTGCTTCCAAAATCCAAATATGCCCACTAGGCATTGTGCCTCTTTCTTGGTTGTGGGAGAGACCAAACACAACAACTTATCCTTTAACTTAAAGGGAATATCTCAACAGGTCCCACAACACTAGATCCCTAGAAATTTTACTGAGACAGAAGGTCCCTGAATTTTAGTCGGATTTATTTCTCATCCTCTGGCATGCAAATGTCACACCAATAAGTCCAGTGTGTTTGCTATTTCTTGATCACTGGATCCAGTCAGCATAATGTCATCAATGTAATGGACCAGTGTGATATCTTGCGGAAGCGAAAAGCGATCAAGATCTCTCCAAATAAGATTATGACACAAAGCCGGAGAGTTGATATACCCCTGAGGTAGGACAGTAAAGGTATATTGCTGGCCTTGCCAGCTGAAGGCAGATTGCTTCTGATGGGCCTTATGGACAGGAATAGAGAAAAAGGCATTTGCAGAGTCAGTGGCTGCATAGCAGGTACCAGGAGATGTGTTAATTTGCTCAAGCAATGAAACCACATCTGGTAACAGCAGCAGCAATTGGAGTCACCACTTGGTTAAGCTTATGATAATCCACTATCATTCTCCAGGATCCATCTGTCTTCTGCACAGGCCAAATGAGAGAGTTAATGGGGATGTGGTGGGAATCACCACTTCTGCATCTTTCAAGTCCTTGATGGTGGCACTGATCTCTGCATACCTTCCAGGGATGTGATATTGTTTTTGATTTACTATTTTTTTAGGTAGAGGCAACTCTAAGGGCTTCTATTTGGCCTTTCCCACCATGATAGCCCTCAACCTAGCAGTCAGGGAGCCAGTGTGGGGGTTTTGCCAGCTGCTAAGTATGTCTATGCCAATTATGCATTCTGGCACTGGGGTAATGACCACAGGATGAGTCCAGGGACCCACTGGGCCCACTGTAAGTCAGACCTAAGCTAAAACTTCATTAATTACCTGACTTCCATGAGCCCCTAGTTTAACTGGAAGACCACAGTGATGTTTTAAGTCCCCTGGAGTCATCATCAGCCCAGAGCCAGTGTCCAGTAGTCCCCAAAGTGAAAGGTTGGATGGAGGTCTCCTTGGGGAAGGATGGGAGAAAGATTCACTGCATAAATTGTCAGTAAAGTAGTGGGGTCCTTTCTCAAGGGTACCTGGCCTCCCCTTCATTCAAGGGGTTCTGGGTCTGTAAACTGGCTGAAGTCTGGAAATGGATTGAGTGAGGGGCCATGATTCTCTTTTTATAATTCAAATTAGTCTTTTGTCCATTCGACCTAGAAGTTTTGTGTTTGTATAAATTAAGTGGGAATGCAGTAGGCTTCCTGTCCGTTTCACTTCTAGGAATACCGTGATTAATTAGCCAATGCCAGAGCTCTACATGAGTCAGACTATTCTGATTGTCACTTTGCCTCTGCTGTCCATTACGGTAGCTACGCCCACCTTGCCTTTGATGGTTGAGTGCTGCTACTTGGCCCCTGCCACCTTGGGATCCAGTTATTCCCCTCGTATTTCAATTTTGTAATTGAGTGACTGCGGTTCTCACCATTAGGTCTGACATGCAGAGAAGAGCAATTACAGGGCTCTTCAAAGATTCAAGTGCTGCCCTCACAAATCTATTTCACAAGGCATTGGTCAAGGGTATATCTTCTGGACCCTCCCAGCTGGGATGAGTAGGTCTAAAGTGAGTAATCCACTCCACCACCTCAATCTCCCTAAGCTTTTGGATGCCTTCCTCTACATTAAACCAAGAGATATCAGGCATTTCCAGCTCCCTCACAGTGGGCCATCTTTTAATGCATATTTCAGCTAACCAAGCAAATAAACTATTAGAACCTTATTTTAACTCCCCGAGCTGCAACATTAAATGCAGAGTCCCTACTTAGTGGGCCCAAATCAATAAATTCAGCCTGATCCAACTCTATGTTCCTTCCACCATTATCCCATACCCTTAATACCCATTCCCATGCCTGTTCTCCAGATTGCTGTTTATATAAATTAGAGAACAGTTCTTTTTTTTTTCTTAGAGGGAGTCTCGTTCTGTTGCCAGGTTAGAGTGCAGTGGCACAATCTCAGCTCACTGCAACCTCCGCCTCCCGGGTTCATGCAATTCTCCTGCCTCAGCCTGCCGAGTAGCTGGGATTACAGGGGTGCACCACCACGCCCGGCTAATTTTTTGTATTTTTAGTAGAGACAGGGTTTCACTATGTTGGCCAGACTGGTCTTGAACTCCTGACCTCGTGATCCGCCCACCTCGGCCTCACAAAGTATTGGGATTACAGGCGTGAGCCACCGTGCCTGGCCGAGAACAGTTCTTTTTGAGTGTAGCGCACCTCCTCCTGGGTCACACTCTCAACCTCACCTCTAGGGACCTGTGGGACTTGAGTTATAGGTCTAGAAGCAAATGGGTGTTGCAGGTACCTTCTAAGGAGAATCAACATTATCTTGCCTGGCAACTGCCTGAGAGGAGGCCATGACTCTTGCCTCAGGCAGCTCAGGGTTTATGTCCGTAGACAAAGATGGAAAGGTTGATGGCGGGGATGGGGGGTTATGCTGCCACTATGGGGGATGGGGAAGCTGTTCCTTCTGGCAAAAAAAGTTCACCAGAGTTTATAAACTCAGTGTTCCCAGCTTCATCAGGGTCCTCCCACACATCCCCATTCCAAGTTTCTGGGTCTCATTCTTTTCCAATCAATGCCCTCACTTTAGCAGTAGACACCTCAGGTGGCTGTGCATGCATCTTTTGTTGCAGGTCAGCCACTCGCATGATAAGAGCTTATGTCTGTTTTTCCACAATTTCAGCTCTTTCTCAACAGGAGCTAAGACTCTCACTCAGGGCAATCTTAGCAGATTTGAGACTCAGTATCTGCTTCTGAAGCCAGGAAACAGAATCCCTGAGTTCATCATTTTCTTTCATCACTTTGTTCACTGAACTTAGGAGCAACCAACCAGCTTCATTATGTTCGTTGGTTTTCCACATATGGTCAAAGGTATTATGTATAGAGTCACTAAAGTCCTTACCTTTCATGAGCAGTGAATCAGGAGTGTCAAATGCATTTATTTTGCATAACTCTCTAAATAGTTCACGCCAAGGACTATGAATGTTCTCCATGCTATTAGAAGTAGAGTCCTCAGCATTTTTGGATCAATCATATTAAGCAGCCAACTCCAGAAACCCCCAAACCAACAAAAGAACTCCATCCTTAACATTCTGTTCCTCTGGAACCACTCCTGGTACCAGAGTCTGTGTTAGTCTGGGGTCAGAGTTTTCTTAGAGGAACAGAACTAATAGGATATATATGTATGTTTATAAAAAGAGGAATTTAGTAAGTATTGACTTACACAATCACAGGGTCCCACAAAAGGCTGTCTGCAAGCTGAGGAGCGAGGAAAGCCAGTCCAAGTCCCAAAACTGAAGAACGTGGAGTCCGATGTTCGAGGGCAGAAAGTATCCAGCACAGGAGAAAGATGTAGACTGGGAGGCTAGGCCCCTCTTGCCTCTTCATATTTTTCTGCCTGCTTTATGTTCGCTGGTGGCTGATTAGATGGTGCCCACCCAATTAAGGGTGTGTCTGCCTTCCCCAGCCCACTGACTCAAATGTTAATCTCCTTTGGCAACACCCTCACAGACACACCCAGGATCAATGTTGCATCCTTTATTCCAATCAAGTTGATGCTCAGTGTTAACCATCACACTAATAAAAGTGTAATTCTTGCTGACCAAACTGAGCTGTGGGCTAAGATGGGAGTGGAAACAGCTCTAGACAAAAGGGCCATAGACTCTTCCTGGTCTTAACCAAAGCTCAAGCAGATTTCGAGAATGCAAAGCTTCTCAACTTGTGTTCTACAGTTTGTTGATGTCCAGTGCTTTGGAATGGCTGATCATAACAGTTTTGTACAATTTAATATGTTTTTTTTTTTTTTTTTTTTGAGAAGGAGTCTCACTCTGTCACCCAGGCTGGAGTGCAGTGGCGCGATCTCTGCTCACTGCAACCTCCACCTCCTGGGTTCAAGCGATTCTCCTGCCTCAGCCTCCCGAGCAGCTGGGATTACAGGTGCCCACCACCATGCTTGGCTAATATTTTGTATTTTTAGTAGAGAGGAGGTTTCACCATGTTAACCAGGATGGTCTCGATCTTCTGACTTTGTGATCTGCCTACGTCAGCCTCCCAAAGTGCTGGGATTACAGGTGTGAGCCATTGCGCCCGGCCCATATTTACTTTTTTATGGAGAAGATTCAACAGCTTCTTTATGACATCTATTATTAAACTCTCTCAGTGCGTGTCTTTCTTTGACATAATTTGCTCTTGTCGCTATTTTTCTTCTAACAGACTGATTAAATTGGATTTAACTTTATTATAGTTATTAGATATTTCTAAATGGAATTAAATTTATTTATTTATTTATTTATTTATTTATTTATTTATTTTTGGCCTTAATGTTAACAGCCAGAGTGTGATTTATTTTTTACTTATTTATTTAAAAGTTTTTAAATTTAATTTTTGTTTTTTGAGACAAATTTTCTGTCACCCAGGCTGGAGTACAGTGGTGCAATCTCGGCTCACTGCAACCTCCACCTCCCAGGTTCCAGTGATTCTCATGCCTCAGCCTCCTAACTGGGACCACAAGTATGTGATACCACGCCCAGCTAATTTTTGTGTTTTTAGTAGAAATGGGGTTTCACCGTGTTGGCCAGGCTGGTCTCGAACTCCTGGCCTCAAGTGATCCAGCTGCCTCAGGCTCTCAAATTGTTGGGGTTACAGGCATGAGCCTCTGTACCCTATTTATTTTTTATTTTTATTTTTAAAAATTTTTTGAGACAGGGTCTCACTCTGTCACCCAGGCTGGAGTACAGTGGTGCCATCACAATCATGGCTCACTGCAGTCTTAAACTCCCGGGTTCAAGCGATTGTGACACTTCAGCTTCCTGAGTAGCTAGGACTATAAGTGTATGCCACCGTACCCAGCTAATTTTTTTTTAGTTTTTGTAGAGGCAGGGTCTCAGTATGTTGCCTAGCTGGTCTTGAATTCCTAGTCTCAAGTAATCCTCCCACTTCAGCCTCTGAAAGTGCTGGGATTACAGGTGTGAACCACCACGCCTGGCTCAGAGTGTGATTTTTTTTTTCTTTTTTTTTTCTTTTTGAGACTAGAGTCTTGCTCTGTCACCCAGGCTAGAGTGCAGTGATGCAATCGTGGCTCCACACCTGGAGTTGTGGTGGCTATTCACAGACGTGATCATTGCACACTATAGCTTGGAACTCCTAGTTACAATCTCCCTGCCCCAGCCTCCTGAAAGGCTAGAACTACAGGTGCATGCCACCACATCTGGGTCACACGTATCTTTTGACATTTTTTGAGACCTAAATGAACTTCATCAAATTCCAAGTAGTATGATGACAGAGTCGCATGAACCTGGGAGGTGGAGGTTCCGGTGAGCTGAGATGGTGCCGTTGCACTCCAGCCTGGGCAACAAGAGTGAAACTCTGTCTGAAAAAAATAAAAAATAAAAAGATATGATTTAGGAACTCATTAGTATAGTCACAGGAAATTTAAATATCACATTTGCTTTAAGAAAAGTAAGCAGGCTGGGCGCAGGGGCTCACACCTGTAATCCTGGCACTTTGGGAGGCCGAGGTGGGTGGATCACTTTGAGGTCAGGAGTTCGAGACCAGCCTAACCAACATGGTGGCACCCTGTCTCTACTAAAAATGCAAAAATTAGCTGGGTGTGGCGGTGCGTACCTGTAATCCCAGCTACTAGAGAGGCTGAGGCAGGAGGATCACTTGAACCTGGGAGGTGGAGGTTGCAGTGAGGCAAGACTCTGCCTCAAAAAGAAAAGAAATCAGAGAAACAGCTCTTTTCTACTACATTTTTGTATAATGGTACTACCTAGAATTTGAAAAGATAATCATTTAAAATTATTGATGAGGAATTAAGGTTGTTATTTCAAATAGGAAAACTCATAAAATTAGGCACATGGAAGAAGGCTTAAATTTATTTGAAATTTTTAGATTTTATTTGGAAGTCTATATAAATATAATTGATTATTTAATATCTTTCCAAATCTTGGTATTGTATTTTTTTCTTAGATAATATAAAGAATATGTAATGAATGTTTTCACTAAGCTCCATATAGGTAGAGACAAACTATCTCCAGCATTCCCAGTACTGAACACATACTATCTTTTTTTTCTAGACACTTGCCTAGAAGATGTAGATCTTGCCCCTGGCCTTAATTATCCTGTCTGTACTTATTTGGGTATCGGATCTTGATTCTTAAGCCTCTGTGCCACCACTCTAATATATAGCAACACCCTTTGCTTGTTGGATTTGGGAATTGGGGGTACGATGACTTCTGATTTTTCAGGGTCTGGAAGTATTTGCTTTGTACATGTTTTGTAATCATGGTAGCCTCACAGCATGTAAGTGGGAGGAGAGGAGTGTGTGGGAACAAAGATGAAGATAAAATAAGAAGGAAGGAAGATAGGACCATATTCCTTGCTTTAATTCTATTTCTTTTTCCTAAGTACATTTGTTGGAGAGAGGTAGACGGTGGATAACAGCTTGAAAGGAAAGCCTGAAAATTAAGTGGCTTGAATCATAGTATATTTTTACTTTTTCAAGTTTGGGTTGGAGAAAGACTGTGTATTAGTTGAGATTCTTCCATTGTAAACAACAGAAATAGATTGGCTAAATTAGGCAAAAGAAAGATGAAGGCCGCTCACTTAGACTTGAAGTAGTCAACCAGGGCAACTAAATAGCTGTCACTCATGGACTTTTCTTCCAGCGTGTAGTCAATAAATGATCCTTTCCAACTGTCTTCTTCTTGACTTCTGATTGACCCAACTCTAGTCATGTCCCAAACCCTATAGGGGTAGGGATTGGTTTGTATTAGGGGAGATAGGAAGAATAGATTTCTGGACAAACACAAGTAGTGGCCATTACATTGTGCAACTAAGGATCTGTTTGACTTGTATTTACCTTGTCAACAACATAGCTTATATGTCAACTTATCCTATGGAGTCTCTTGGAGTTTCTGTTAGACTTTTTGAAAGCAGGCGTAGTACCTTGCACACTTTATTTCCTATTATGCCCTGCATTTGAATGGTGCCCAATTTATTGCAGGCCTTTGGCTCTTTTTTTTTTTTTTTTTTTTTTTTTTGATGGGGGAGTCGGAGACTTCCTCTGTCGCCCATGCTGGAGTGCAGTGGCGCAACCTCGGTTCACTGTAGCCTCCATCTCCCGGGTTCAAGCGATTCTCGTACCTCAGCCTCACAAGTAGCTGGGATTATAGGTGTCCACCACCATGCCTTGCTAATTTTTGCATTTTTAGTAGAGATGGGGTTTCACCATGTTGGCCAGGCTGGTCTTGAACTCCTGGTCTCAAGTGATCCTCCTGCCTCGGCCTCCCAAAGTGCTGGGATTACAGGTGTGAGCCACTGCACCTGGCCCCTTTGGCTCTTTTTACTACATTATTTCTGTATTTTCTAGGCTATTCACCTATGGTTTGCTTATAGATTTACTTTTTTTTTTTTTTTAAACTTTATTTTAGGTTCAAGGGTATATGTGAAGGTTTGTTGCATAGGTAAACACATGTCACAAGGGTTTGTTGTACAGATTATTTCAATTAAGTCTAGTACCCAATAGTTATCTTTTCTGCTCCTTTCCCTCCTCCCACCCTCCACCCTCCAGGAGACCCCAGTGTCTGCAGTTTCTTTGTATTCGTAAGTTATCATTTAGCTTCCACTTACAAGTAAGAACATGTGGTATTTGGTTTTCTGTTCCTGCGTCAGTTTGCTGCGGATAATATCCTCCTGCTTCCCATCTATGTTCCCACAAAGGACATGATCTCGTTCTTTTTTATGGCTGCCAGTAGATTTACTTAACTGCAGATTATGTAATTAAGAAGCTGGTAGTCTGTAAAAATGGTAATATACGTGACTACAGAGAGGGACCATCTCCCTTAGCTAATTGAGGGAAACGTGTCTTTTTTTTTTTATGCTGGCAGGGCTAAGTAGTTTGGTTGACAGGACTATCCACAAGTGATTCATGAAGAAGCAGGTACTCACTCCAAGATAAGATCCATACTCACAGTCTTTGGTCAAGAAAGTTGATTTCATTTGTCCGATAGTAATGTAACTATGTAAAGACCTGATTTGAATCTTACTGGCTATAGCTTTGGATATGTTGATTGTGGGGTTTTTTTACACCTCACTTTTCTTATAAATAGAAAGGACACAATTGCAATTGCTTTGTCCTGCCACCACCACCTCCCTCCACCCCCAGAAATGTGAGAAAAGAGTAACTAGCGGTGAGTTACCTTGGGTCAGACTGTCCATTTCTTAGCTTTATTTTTCTCATCTTTCAAATGAGGGAGCCTCTTCTAGCTGTAAAATCTTAGATTTTGATTCTTTTGTTTGTTTCAAACAATTGACAAGAGTTTCTAGAAATGTTTTTCCTTTTGCAGTGCTCGTTACATGAAAGATCTTTTTCCTCTTCACCAGGCAGTTGCAGTGGTGCAGAATGGCTGACCTCAGTCTTGCAGATGCATTAACAGAACCATCTCCAGACATTGAGGGAGAGATAAAGCGGGACTTCATTGCCACACTAGAGGCAGAGGCCTTTGATGATGTTGTGGGAGAAACTGTTGGAAAAACAGACTATATTCCTCTCCTGGATGTTGATGAGAAAACCGGGAACTCAGAGTCAAAGAAGAAACCGTGCTCAGAAACTAGCCAGATTGAAGGTAAGTATTTAAACCAGACTGCTTATATATGTTCAGAAAGCAGGTTAGGGATTATGCCTTTGGTATAATCTTGGAAACTGAGAATTGAGCTGAGTTTTTTTAGTGTAGGCTAGTAACTTTATGTTTCTTTGTTAGATACCGAGGAGGTAGACTTACCACCCTTTGAGTGAGCGTTCATGAGTCTGTGGATGACTTTTAACCCTAATGTTTCTTCTCTAATGTTTCAACAACCATATAATCTTCTTCTTAATTTCCTAAATTAAACTGTCTACTGTGCCTTTTCTCTGAAAGTAGCTTTGAAAAGTTAAATAAAATTCTGCGGTTATATCAGAACTTCATTTAGACTGGAATCAGATGCCATTTGTTGTCTTTGGAGTCATCCCACCTCAGGATTAAAGCATAATTAAAGCCTTTAAGAGAAATTTGCCATTTTCCTGGATCAGATGTGCTAATAATTGGCTGAGTATTTTTGTATCTGTGTTCATGAGGGAATTGGTCTGTAGTTTTCTCATAATGTCTTCTGTCCAGTTTTAGAATTGAGGTCACGCCGACTTCATAAAATGAATTGGGAAGTGTTCCCTTCTTTCTCTTTTCTAGAATAGTTTGCATAGAATTGATATTTTTTCTTCTTTTCAGTGTTTGATAGAATTCATCAATAAAGCTATCTGGGCCTGGAATTTTCTGTCGGATTTTTAAACTAGGAATTTAGTTTCTTTCAGAGATCATAGAACTATTCCAGTTATCTGTTTCTTAAGTTAGCTTTGGTAGTTTGTATCTTTCAAGGAATTCCTTGGTCCCTTTCCTGGCATAAATGTTGCAGATTAATGGAGATATGCTTTTAATGTCTGTAGGATCTATTATGTCCCCTTTTTCATTTCTTATACTAGTAATTTGTGATGTTTCTTTCTTTCTTTCTTTCTTTCTTTCTTTGATAAGTCTAGGTAGAGGTTTATCAATTGTATTGAAAGATCCAGCTTTTGGTTTCATTAATTTTTTTCTATTGTCTTTCTGTTTTTAATTTCTTCTCATATCTTTGTTTTTTCCTTTCTTCTGTTTACTTAAGTTGATTTATTCTTTTTCTGGTTTCTTAAGGTGACAGCTTAAATCAGGTTTTGATCTGAGACATTTCTTTTCTAATGTAATTACTTAATGTTATAAATTACCCTCTAATCACCATTTTAGCTGTGTCCCATGGATTTTGATATGTTGTATTTTTATTTTCATTCATTTAAAAATATTTAAAAATATTTCCTTTGTGAATTCCTCTTTGTGTCTGCCTTTAAGATTTTATCTTTTTTTTTTTTTTTTTTTAGCAGTTTAAATATGTTGTGTTTAGATGATATTTTGGAAGTTTTCTTCTTGGGCTTTTCTGAGCTTCTTGATCTGTGCTTTTGAAGTGGTTAAGTCAGCTGGGAAATTTTTGGCCATTATCTTTTAAAATATTTCTTCTGCCCCATTCTTTTTCTTTTCTCCTGGGATTCCAATTATATTTTTGTTAAATTGTTGGATAGTGTCCTGTATCTCTTGGATGCATTGTTGGTTTTTTTCTCTCTTTATTTCTGTTTGTGTTTTACTTTGGGTACTTTCTTTTGACCTATCTTCCAATTCCCTGATCTTTTCATAGTTGTGTTGAATCTAATGATGAGCTTTCAGTGGCATTATCTACTTTAGCATTTTTTATGTTTTTAATTTCTAGCATTTCTGTTTGCCTCTCTTATAAGCTTCCTTATTTCTGTCAAAATTTCCCATCTGTTCACCTATGTTTTCCACCTTTTCTACTGTAGACTTTAACATATTAATCATAGTTGTTTTAAATCTCTGTGTGATAATTTGAAAATCTGGGTCATCTCTCAGTCTGATTGCTCTGTGTGTGTGTGTGTGTGTGTGTGTGTGTGTGTGTCTTAGTTTTTGATTGAATGCTGGATCTCACATGTAAAATAGTAGGCTGAGGCCAAAAGGTGTTATGGTTGGAAATAGGCATGTCTCTTGGGTTTAGTCATTTTAACAGGAGCTGAGCTAGTTTTGGGTTTTGTCATTACCGTAATTGCCTTCAGTGTACTACTGTCTTCAATCCCTTTAATTCTATGCTTAGAGTGGGGACTGAGGCCCTGGAAGGTATTTCTTTAATGTGCTTGCTCCACTCTTTCAGCCTTCCCTGTGTACCCGTGCCTCAGAGGGGTCCTTGTCCATGCTCTTTTCTCTCTTATCGGAAGAGTTCTAGCCAGGTGGCAGGCAGAGTTTGTTTTTTTATTGTCCCATTTTGTGCTTAATCCTGTGCTTAATCTCACGGTTTGGGTCTTTCTCAACGTTATTATCCTTTTCACAGTAGTAGCGTCTTCTCATGGTATTGGTGTAGGATCCTGGATGAGGAGTTTTTCTTGCTCCTCTCTCAGGTTTATAAAGTATGTTTCTATTACTCTTTCCCTAGCTACAGCCGGTCTTCTTGTGTGCTCTGGGGTTGACAGGGTTTGTACTCCTTCCCCAGGAGAGAAAGATCCCAGTGGGAGGGGTTCATGCTTTTCCCTTAATGGTGGTGGCCTTCTCCAGGTCTGTACCATGGAGGGAGGCTCTGTCTGGTCCCTCACCCTGCTTCCAATCTTTCCTGTGAGCATGCGGCAGACATCTGTGAAGACAATCCTGCAAATGAGTGTGAATTCCCTTTGTGTCTGTGGATTTGAGGGGCCCCATAGTCTCATGCTAGCCTTCATTTACCTTTGACAAATCACTACAATTTTTACTTGAATTTTTCTTACCTGCTTGTAGGGTACCCAATGTCTCTTCTGCACATGCTCTGATACAGGAGAGCTGGTGTTCACCTCCCATATTTCCTGGAGGGGCTTGTTTTTCTTTGGATTTCATACTACTAGGTGGCTTTCCAATTAATTCAAGTTTTTTGTAGTTGATATGGCTGTTTCTTGTTGTTAGGGTGGGAGTGACGTTGCTTTTGGCTTTCTACAGCCAAGTGGAAGAAGAAAACCTGCTTCCTTAATATATGTTTAATTTGTGTGTTGGGGAGGGGGGGCAGACCACAACTCATTTAAAAAAGTACCGAGAGTTCTAATTATATCCATATAAATATTTACTCCAGACCAGGTGCAGTGGCTCACGCCTGTAATCCCAGCACTTTGGGAGACCAAGGCAGGTGGCTCACCTGAGGTCAGGAGTTTGAGACCAGCCTGGCCAACATGGTGAAACCATACCTCTACTAAAAATACAAAAATTAGCCAGGGGTAATGGTGTGCACCTGTAATCCCAGGTACTCAGGAGGCTGAGGTACAAGAATCACTTGAACCTGGGAGGCGGAGGTGGCAGTGAGTGGAGAGCGTGCCACTGCACTCCAGCCTGGGCGAGAGAACGAGACTCTGTCTCAAAAAAAAAAAAAAAAAAGAAAAGAAAAAAAGTTGCTATCATTGCTTACAAAAGTATCTTGATGTTGCAAAAGCTTATGTTGAGAAGTAAAGTTCATATTTTATTTTTATCCTTTAATTCAATTTTCCAGAAACTCATACATTTTTTGAACAGGCTAAAAAATACACATGTACAAAATCCAATTGGTCCAAAGGGATGTACGGTAAAACAAATTCTCCCAATCCCTACACCCTAGCCAGACAGTTCTCCTTCCTGGAGTAACCACTCGCCAATTTCTGGAGTAGTCTTTCTGAGTTAATGAACTTTTTTTTTTTTTTTTTGAGATGGAGTCCCGCTCTATTGCACAGGCTGGAGTGCAGTGGCACGATCTCTGCTCACTGCATCCTCCGCCTCCCAGGTTCAAGCGATCCTCCTGCCTCAACACCCCAGTAGCTGGGATTACAGGCCTGCACCACCATGCCTGGCTAATTTTTGTATTTTTAGTAGAGATGGGGTTTCGCCCTGTTGGCCAGGCTGGTCTCAAACTCCTGACCTCAGGTGATCCACTTGCCTTGGCCTCCCAAAGTGCTGGGATTACAGGCATGAGCCACCATTTACATATCAAAAGTAGCAGGGAGGATTTAATTTTTTATAAATAAAATAATGTCTTAAAAACTTTCCTCCTCTTGGGCCAAGTTAATGTTACATGGATCAAATAACTCAAGATGAAGCACAAGAAAATCTACTGCTACCACCTCACTGTCCTTATCCACCTAGGCTCATTCCCAGATGATGGAAACAATGCACAGTTAAAGGAAATTAGAAAACGAAAAGCAGCTAGCTTCTTTCACCTATGACTGATGAGGGTAAGTTAATATTAGGATGGGAAGAGCATCTCAACCATGACTAGTTGCTACCATATTTACATCTTATCATTCCTTTCTTCATACTAGGTTTTCTTTGTTTATGTTAGTCAGTCAAAGAACAAATGTCTCCACCGTGCATTATGGATTAAGAGAGAATAGATTTTCCCGTTTTCCATTAAGGAATCCAAATTTTTTGGAGTAAATATTTGTTTTTCTTTTGTGCTGGGATTATAGGTGTGAGCCACTGTGCCTGGCTTTTTTACATTATTAAATGAAGAAAAATGAAGAAATGAAGAAAAATGGATGCCCTTTAAAGTTTTTTTTGGTTTAAGTTTTTAATTTTTTGTTGCTACCAAAGATTTTTTTAAAGATTAGGAAACAAAAAAGAAGGAACCAAATCAGGACTGTTGTAAGGTGGTTGCCTAATGATTTCTCATCAAAACTGTCACAAATTATCTTTGTTGATGAAAGGAATGAACAGGAGCATTGTCCTGGTGGAGAAGGACTCTCTGATGAAGCTTTCCTGGCTGTTTTTCTGCTAAAGCATTGGCTGACTTTCTCAAAACACCCTCATAATAAGATGTTGTCATTCTTTGGCTCTCCAGAAAGTCAACAGACAAAGTGCTTTGAGCATCCTAAAAAACTCTTGTGTTTGCTCTTGACTGATCCACTTTTGCTTTGACTACAGCACTTACGCCTCTTGGTAGCCATTGCTTTGATTGTGCTTTGTCTTTAGGATTATACTGGTAAAACCATATTTCATCTCCTGTTACAATTCTTCAAAGAAATGCTTCAGGATCTTGATCCCACTTGTTTAAAATTTACATCGAAAGCTCTGCTCTTTGCAGCTCATCTGGATGCAACCATTTTGGCACCAGTTGAGTGGAAAGTTTGCTCAATTTTAATTTATCAGCCAAAATTGTATAAACTGAACCAATTGAGATGTCTGTGGTATTGGCTATTGTTTCTGCTAATTGTCAATCCTCTTCAATTAGATCATTCTTTTTTCCTCTCAAATTGATATTGGTGGTCTGCCACGGTGGGCTTCATCTTCAACATCATCTCCTCCTTTATTTTTTTTCTTTTTTTGAGACAGAGTCTTACTACATTGCCCAAATTAGAGTATAGTGACTATTTACAGGTGTAACCATAGCACACTACAGCCTTGAACTCCTGGGCTCAAGTGATCCTCCTGTCTCAGCCTTCCAAGTAGCTGGGACTATAGGTGCGGACCACTGCATCTGGCTGATGTCTTAAAACAAGTTATTCATGTGTAAACTACTGATTTGTTTGGGGCATTGTCCCCATAAACTTTACACAAAGCATCAGTGATTTCACCATTCTTTCATCCAAGCTTCACCATAAATTTACCATTTGCTTTTGCTTCAATTTTAGCAGAATTCATGTTGCTTTATTAGGGGCTCTTTTCAAACTGATGTTTTATCCTTTTTAGTGCTTCAAACTAGATCCTGTTCAGACGTGTTATAACAAGTTAGTATGAGCTTTTTTTTTTTTTTTTTAAGATGGAGTGTCTCTCTGTCACCCAGGCTGGAGTGCGGTGGCACAGTCTCGGCTCACTGCAACCTCTACCTCCTGTGTTCAAGAGATTCTCCTGCCTCAGCCTCCTGAGTAGCTGGGCTTATAGGCACATGCTACCATGCCCAGCTAATTTTTGTATTTTTAGTAGAGATGGGGTTTCGCCATATTGGTCAGGCTGGAGTATGAGTTATTTTGATACAAAAAAACTCCCTTGAAATCCATGAATAATTTTTTCATAGAATGCATTTTCCACGAACTTGTTGAAGATACCATGTTTAAAGTTTATAATTATAGCTGGGCGTGGTAGTGTGCGCCTGTAGTCCGAGCTACACAGGAAGCTGAGGTAGGAGGCAATCACTTGAGCCCCAGAGGTCGAGGCTGCAGTGAGCCATAAAAGCACCACTGTGCTGCAGCCTGGGTGACAGAGAGAGACCCCGTCTCTAAAAATAATAATAATAATAAAGTTTATAATTATGATAGGTTGTAAATTACTACATTTTTTCCATACCAGCTTCCTAAAAGTTGTAGAAGTCTTAACTTAAAGGAAGGGGTGATGGCTGTTTGGAGACATCAAATAAGAAAAACGAAGGAAGCCGCCTTATTTAGTCTTGTAGAAATCTGGTGCAATTAGTGAGTTCTTTATGAATGGAGACTTCTCTGCTGTGGGTCTGATTTTTATACATTATCGGACTGATGGTTTTTGCCATAATGACAGGTTTCATATTTGTGTTTTTCCTGGAGAACATTCTAAACAAGATGTTCTTCTGAATACATCTTTAGAAGTGATGGAAGGGCCCTAGACTTCATTAATGTTTTATTATACATCTAACTTTAAGTTTGATTTTGTTCTTAGATGAGGTTCAGTAAACTACTGCTGATTGCTGACACTTTTTTTTTTTTTGAAGACAGGGTCTTACTGGGCGCGGTGGTTCACGCCTATAATCCCAGCACTTTGGGAGGCTGAGGCGGGTGGATCACCTGAGGTCAGGAGTTCGAGACCAGCCTGGCTAACATGGTGAAACCCTGTCTCTACTAAAAACACAAAAAAATTAGCTGGGCGTGGTGGTGGGCACCTGTAATCCCAGCTACTCAGGAGGCTGAGGCAAGAGTAATCACTTGAACCCGGGAGGCAGAGGTTGCCGTGAGCCGAGATCGTGCCATTGTTGCACTCCAGCCTGGGCAACAAGAGCGAAATTCCGTCTCAAAAAAAAAAAAGAAAAGACAGATTCTTTCCATGTCACCTAGGCTGGAGTGCAGTGGCACAATCATAGCTTACTGCAACATCTAACGTAACTCCTGGGCTCAAACGTTCCTCCTGCCTCAGGCTCCTGAATAGCTTGGACTACAGGTGCGCGTGCCTTGCTTATCCTTTTATTTTTATAGCGACAGTCAGACTGTGTTCCTCTGGCTGGTCTGGAACTCATGGCCTCAAGCGATCCTCCTGCCTTAGCCTCCCAAAGCACTGGGATTACAGGTGTGAGCCACCACACCCAGCCTAGTGCTCTCGATATGTTCTTACAACAGGCTTAGTTAGGCCAACCAGTGGAAGTTTATCAACCATTTTCTTGCCTCTAGATATAGAAGGGACGGTTGAGTAGGTTACACATAATAGAACTCTTTGAACAATGGTGTTTTATTTCCTTTAATTCTTACATGTCCACCCTAATTGTCTTCAACTTATAAAATGAGAAGTAAGAAAGCAGGGTTGCTTTTATGGCATTTATGACAAAGTAGGAAAATTGCTTTTTTCTCTAAGTATGATTTCTGCCTTCATGCCTGGCAACACAAGAACCCCCCGACCTTTATTCCTTTTCTTTGGATCTACTATACTCATTTCCTTTTGCACTTCAACTTATTCTTGCTTCTACAAGTATTTTATCTTAGCATTGCCTGTGTAAACCATCTAAATACCAATACCTAGAAATAAAATTGGTGTCAAACTCTTCTTCTAAAATGCCTATCACCTTGGGAAACAATTCTCAAATACTTTTTCAGGATATGTGTACTACTTGTTTTGCACCACGGCTGTAATAAGAAAAAAATAAAAAGAAAATTATGTACTTCCTGACTTTTTTCCTTAAAAAATGGTGTTTTCCTTAATTGTTCATTATCAGCATTATATGGCCCTATTTTCTAGGTGAGGGAGACAAAAGATAGAACCCTTTCTCTTAGATGTGAATGACGAAGCAAACATCTGTGACTCTTGTTCTTTCAGATGATCATCTAGCACAGTATTGACCCTCAGACACAAATAGCACATTTATGGAACAAGTCACTTAATTTTTCTGTTCTCTGTGTGATTAAATAGTTCTTCTTCTGAAGTCGAGAAAATGCTTTCTCCTCAACATTCCATAAGGCCTTTGAAGCTAAAAGCTTATTCCCATAGAATAAGAAGTTAACACAGGGCAATGGCCTGGCTAAGTTTTTTGCATTTTTAGTAAAGACAAGGTCTCACTGTGTTGCCTGGACTGGACTGGTTTTGAACTGCTGGGCTCAAGTGATCCTCCTGCCTTGACTTCCCATAGTGCTGGGATTACAGGTGGGAGACACCGTACCCTGCCACACACCAGCAGTCTGTTTTAACAAGCCATAATAGGTGACTCGGATACACATGCATGATTGAGAAACACTAATCCATGGAAAAGGGCCTAAGTGACAACTATTAATAGATACTGCAGAATTTCTCCTTAATACACTGGTATTTCTTTTGCAGAAAATTGCAACCAGCTTAATTGGCCAGTAGAGGGCAGTGTTGGCATGGGTCTGACAGCACCAGAGGGTTCCCTTGCATTGAGACCTGGCTGTTTTGCCCAAGGCTGACTCACAGCACACATGCCTTCTCAGGTTCTTGCTACTTCTCTGCCAAGCTGATTTGCCTGCTGTGGGAATCTGACATCTCCTGGGGAGAGGGAATCAACAAAATAAAGTAAATTTGAATATCTTTATATCTCAGAGAATGTGATTAGTTTCTAAAAAAAAAAAGTGTGCTATTTTCGATGCTGTGTGTATTTCACTGAGAAAGTTTTCATTTCATGAAATGGGGGTTCTCTGGGGAAGTCAGTCAGTGAGAAAACACATTATAGCATCTTTTGAATTAGGACTTTTCCAGTAATGTGCAGTATGATTAGGGTCCAGTATGTCTTATCTGGCAGGGAAATATACAAGCCTTTTTTCTACTTGTCAACCTTATTGTTTTTAGTGTTGTTACGTTGTTTTTATTCTCTCCTGGGCTTATATTTTTAGATTGTGAGGTGTTGTATGTATAGTAGAATCCAGCTTCTCTTCTTCCTTTCTAACCTCTTCTTGCTTTCATTTTATTTTATTCTAGTAAAGTTTCTTGATCAGCCTACAGTTATTCTATAGGTGGTTGATAGATAAATTTACAGTTGGTCAACATATAGTTAATAACAGTGAGAATAACAATAGCTAATAACAGTGAGAATAACAATTACTATTTAGCACTGTACAGTTGACATCCTGTATTACTGCATTTAGTCCCACTTCCCAGGTGAAGCTTAAGTATTAGAAATGAGAAGGTTGCATTTGATCATTTAGTTAATAATGACAGCACAACCTGAACCCAGATCTTCTAATCTCACTTTTATTTTTATTAAACAATTAAAACAATATTTTTTAAATAGAGATGTGGTCTTGCTATATTGCCCAGGTTGGTCTCAAACTCCTGGCCTCAAGCAGCCCTTCCGCCTAGGCCTCCCAAAGTGCTGGGATTACAGACATGAGCTACTGGATCTTCTCATTTTAAACCCCTGTTCTGGCTGGGCATGGTGGCTCATGCCTGTAATCCCCAGCACTTTGAGAGGCTGAAGCAGGCAGATCACGAAGTCAGGAGTTCGAGACCAGCCTGATCAACATGGTGAAATCTCATCTCTACTAAAAATACAAAAAATTAGCCAGGCGTGGTGGTGCTCACCAGTAATCCCAGCTACTCAGGGGGCTGGGGCAAGAGAGTCTTGAACCCAGAAGGTGGAGGTTGCAGTGAGCCAAGATCGTGCCACTGCATTCAAGCCTGGGCGACAGCGAGACTCCGTCTCAAAAAATAAATAAATAAAATAAACCCCTGTTCTTTCTGTGAAACTATACCTTTTTCATGAACACATACTTTCTACTTGATCTAGTATCTCACTGATAGTTTTTAAAAACTAAAAATCCATTTTTTAAATTCAAATAGAATTATTAGATGTATGTTCAGGAAATGTAAAAGAATCTTGCTTCATTTCAATACAGAGCACAAACTGAGGGACTCTGCCACTAATTCACATGAGTTTGTAAAATATTTCACTTTCCTAGACAACTGTTTCACATCTACTCTCTGAAACTTCTGGCACTTGCTCTCCTGTTCATATTCATAAGTCATATTCATAAATTAATTGGCTTAATCAGAACAGAACTTCCACATGGTCCCACCACATATTTCCTCCTCACCTATGTTCATCTATGCCCTTATTGTCTGCTCTTTTTCTGTTATGGGTGAACTGTTCATGCTGTCACTCAGGCCACTGCTGTCACAGTTACCTCTTCTGTCTCCTGCATCATCAGTTCTTTTCTTTCAATTGGGTCATTCACCAGCATCAAACATACTATAATTTTTTTATCATTAAAAAAAAAATCCTGTCTGAATCTCACATCCATCTCATCTATCTTTTTGCTTTGCTTTCTTTTTTTTTTTTTTTGAGACGGAGTCTTGCTATGTCACCCAGGCTGGAGTGCAGTGGCGCGATCTTGGCTCACTGCAAGCTCCGCCTCCCGGGTTCACGCCATTCTCCTGCCTCAGCCTCCTGAGTAGCTGGGACTACAGGCGTGTGCCGCCACGCCCGGCTAATTTTTTGTATTTTTAGTAGAGACGGGGTTTCACCGTGTTAGCCAGGATGGTCTCAATCTCCTGACCTCGTGATCCGCCCACCGTAGCCTCCCAAAGTGCTGGGATTACAGGCGTGAGCCACCGTGCCCGGCCTGCCTTCTTTTAAAGAGACGTTTCTACTACCTGTCACCAATTCCTTTCCTTCCATTTCCTCTTGAATTCACTCTCATCAGACTTTAACATATGCATGACCCCAAAACTTCTCTTACCTAAAGTATAAGGCCTTGATGTTGCCAAGGACAAATCCAGTATTACTCCAGGGGTTTTGCCTGAGCAACTGAAAGGAAAGAATTGCCATCATCTGAGATGGGGAAAGCTACAGAAGGAGTAGGATTTGAAGGGAAGAGAAGAAATTTAGCTTGGGATATGTTCACATTTAGTTACCTGCTAGTCATCGAAATGGAGAAGATGGATACACAGATAAGGAGTCCGGAGTTTGGAGGACGGTTCTGGGCTGGAGGTTGATGTTATATAAAGCTTTTGCTAGAGTTGTTGTTCTAAAATCCTTTAAGATTGGATTTAGATGTAACTTTCCAGAACATTCCCTGACTTCTGTTCCCTTTCCCTTCTAGACCTCCCACTACCCCCACACCCTGCCAGCCTTTCTTTTCATCTTCCTCTTGGTAAGTGCTTTTCTTCCCTGAACTTTCCTCTTTCCTCTGTGGTACTTGTAAGATCATAATTAAGCTATTTGTTATCTTACACTTATTAACATGCTCTAGCACAGGAATAATATTTTGTTTACTGCCATATTTCATGGAGAATGACACATTTAGCGAAAGCAGGATGGCACAGCATAATCAAAGTTTACTAGCGACCTCAAGTTTCTCAGGGTTAAGAAATCAAAGGTTACAGTGACAAGTGACCGGAGAGAATCATGGAGAAGCAGATCAAGTGAAATTATGAAGAATCTCATGGTTTGTGAGAAACTGAGGGCGCAGGGGTACTGAGAAACCTGGCCAGATCTGCATTAGAGACCACTGCTCTTGGCACATGATAGATGTGTAATCATTGCTTATTACACTGAATTGAAATGGTTTTTGTTTGTCAGTTTATTCAGGTTTGGGTTGTGTTAATGTACAGACTAACAAACAATTGTGTCTCCAAAATGGTAGATATTTATTTAGGGTAGGTGTACTTGGTCTAATCCTAAACCCTCTTAATAGTCTCATGATCATATTTAGGGAAGTTTATATATATGCATAAAAAATTAGTGTGACATTTTTGCAAAAATAGTTATTTTCTGACTTTGATTTGAAAACAGACTTTTATCTCATAACTAATAGTTCTTTTTGGGGAAAAAAAATATCGTACCAAAATGTATAGTTCATAATAATAGTACCCTAGTCTGAAAGAAGAGCAGGGGACCGGGACCCGGGGGCTCAAGCCTGTAATCTCAGCACTTGGGAGGCCGAGGCAGATGGATCACCTGAGGTCAGGAGTTTGAGACCAGCCTGGCCAACATGGCAAAACCCCGCCTCTACTAAAAATACAAAAATTAGCCAGGTGTGGTGGCATGCGCCTGTAATCCCGGCTGCTCAGGAGGCTGAGAAACGAGAATTGCTTGAACCCAGGAGGTGGAGGTTGCAGTGAGCTGAGATTGTGCCACTGCACTCCAGCCTGGGCGACAGAGTGACTCCATCTCAAAAAAAATACAAAAAAACCCCCCAAAAAACAAAAAACAAAGCAACAAAAAAACCACTTCATTGCTAAAAATATTCTGCAAGCAAGCCAGGATGGTGGTATGTACCTGTAGCCCTGCCCGAGCTACTTAATAGGAAGGAGGATTGCTTAAGCCTAGGAGTTTGAGTCCAGCCTGGGTAACATAGCAAGACCCCAAAGACCCCACCTCTTAAATAATATTCTGCAAGCAAATGACTTTGTTAAACTTCACACTGCAAGAACAGAGCCAAGAACCTACCATGTACCCTTTACTTGGATTTATCATTACTGTTTTGCACATTTGCTTTATCATTCTTGTTATATTTACATATAGTTCCTTCCCCTTGGATTATTTGAGAACAAACTGCAGAACTCACACCTCTTTCCCCGAAGAACTAGGCATTAGCACATTACAAGAATACGATGATAGAGATCAGAAGTTAAATGCTGATGAGATATTCCTGTCTAATCCACGAACCTTATTTCATTGTCATCAGTTGTCCCAACAGATTCAACACATTCCTTTCTCATTTTTTTCTTCTTGTCTGCAATTAAATCTGGAATCACGTTAGTTTTCATGTCTCTTCAGTCTTCTTTAATTGGAACAGTTCCTCAACTCTTCTTTGTCTTTCATGACCTTAATATTTTGAATAGTATGGGCAAGTTATTTTTTAGAAGTCCCCTAATTTGGGTTTGCCTGGCATTTCCTCATAATTAGATTCAAGTTCCACATTTTTGGCAGTAGTACTATGTAAATATGATGTGTCCTAAGTGCACCACATCAGGAAGCACATGATGTCACTAAATCACATTATTGGTGATAATAACTTTCATCACTTGTTAGTGTCTGCCTGTTTTCTTTACTGTAATTTTTTTCCAATTAAAAAAAAGCATTTATTTATTTAGAGACAGGGCCTTACTCTGTCACCCTAGCTGGAGTGCAGTGGCACAATCTTGGCTCCCTGCAGCCTTGACCTCCCCAGGCTCAAGCAGTCTTCCAGCCTCAGCCTCCCAAGTAGCTGGGACTGCAGGCATGCACCACCATGCCTGGTTAATTTTTTTTTTTGACAAAGTCTTGCTCTGTTGCCCAGACTGGAGTGCAGTGGCACCATCTTGGCTCACTGCAACCTCCGCCTCCCAGGTTCAGGTGATCCTCCTGCCTCAGCCTCCCGAGTAGCTGGGATTACAGGCATGCACCACCATGCCTGGCTAATTTTTGTATTTTTGGTAGAGATGGGGTTTCACCACGTTGGCCAGGCTGGTCTCAAACTCCTGACCTCAGGTGATTCACCCACCTCTGCCTCCCAAAGTGCTGGGATTACAGGCATGAGCCACCCCCCAGCCTAATTTTTATTTTTATTTTTTAATTTTTTTTAAGACGGGGTCTCACTTTGTCTCCCAGTCTGGAGGGCAGTGGCATGATCTCGGCTCACTGCAACCTCCGCCTTCTGGGTTCAAGTGATTCTCCTGCCTCAGCCTCCTGAGTAGCTGGGATTACAGGTGCGTGCCACCACACCTGGCTAATTTTTGTATCTTTATTAGAGACAGGTTTTCACCATATTGGCCAGGCTAGTCTCGAACTCCTGACCTCATGTGATCTGCCTGCCTCGGTCTCCCAAAGTGCTGAGCCACCACCCCTGGCCACCTGGTTAATTTGTGTATTTTTTTTTTTTTAATAGAGACAGGGTTTTGTGATGTTACCCAGGCTGGTCTTGAACTCCTGGGCTCAAGCCATCTGCTCTCCCCACCCTCCCAAAGTGCTAGGATTACAGGCATGAGCCACCACGCCCAGCCTCTTTACTGTAAAATTTATATTTTTCTCCTTGTAATGAATAAGTAATTTGTGAGGAGATATTTTGAGGCTATGTATGTATCCTGTATCTAATCCAACTTTCACCTACTATTTTAGTATCTAAGCAAATAGCTTTTGAATAATTTTCTGGTTTCCAAGCCAGTTGAAATGTGTTCTGCTGCATCTTATATGAAAGTCACATTTTATGAATCAGAAATTCCCTTTTGCACATTTTAGGTCAAAAATACCAGGGAGGCCGGGCATGGTGACTCACACTTGTAATCCTAGCTCTTTGGGAGGCAGAGGCGGGAAGAGTACTTGAAGCCAGGAGTTTGATACCAGCCCCAGCAACACAGCAAGACTGCATCTCTACAAAGAAAAAAAAAATAAAAAATTAACTGGGTGTGGTGGTAGTCTTAACTACTCAGGAGGCTGAGGCAGGAGGAAAGGCAGGGAGAAAGTAAACAGATATGTGCAAATGAGACTTCCATTATGCATATTATTCGCAATTAAATCTCATTATTTATGCCCTTCACTGGAAAAAAAAATTACCTTTAATTGCACAGATCATTTATAAAAAGACTGTTGGAGTTATGCTCCAAAGCCCACAATGACAGAGATAGTGTGTCAGAGGGACACAGGAGTCAACTGAAAGAGTTCCCAATAGCCAACACTGGAAAAATTTGAGCAACAAAATAAATAAAGTAGCATTGAATTAAAGCTCAGTGGACGAGGCTGATCATGGTGGCTCACGCCTGTAGTCCCAGCTACTTGGGAGACTGAGGCAGGAGTACCACTTGAGCCCAGGAGTTTGAGACCAGCCTGAGCAACTTAGTGAGACCCTGTCTTTATACAAATAGAATTGTCTGGGCGTGGTGGCTCACTCCTGTAATCCCAGCACTTTGGGAGGCCGAAGCAGGTGGATCACCTGAGGTCAGGAGTTAGAGACCAGCCTGGCCAACACGGTGAAATCCTGTTTCTACTAAAAATACAAAAAATTAGCCGGGCATGGTGGCACATGCCTGTAGCCCCAGCTACTCAGGAGGCTGAGGCATGAGAATCGCTTGAACCTGGGAGGCAGAGGTTGCAGTGAGCTGAGATTGTGCCACTGCACTCCAGCCTGGGTGACAGAGGGAGACTCAGTCTCAAATTAAATAAATAAATAAATAAATAAATAAGCCAACTGTGGCGGTGCACACCTGTTGTCACCATATACTTGGGAGGCTGAGGGAGGAGGATCATTTGAACCCAGCATTTTGAGGTTACAGTGAGGTGTGATTATACCACTGCATTCCAGCCTGGGCAACAGAGCAAAACCCTCTCTCTTAAAAATTAAGTCAAAATCTTTGCCGGGTGCCATGGCTCATGCCTGTAATTCTATCACTTTGGGAGGCTGAGGCAGGCAGATCACTTGAGGTCGGGAGTTTGACATCAGCCTGGCCAATATGGTGAAAACCTGTCTCTAATGAAGATAAAAAAATTAGCTGAGAGTGGTGGCGCACGCCTGTAGTCCCAGCTACCAGCTACTTGGGATGTTGAGACAGGAGAATTGCTTGAACCCGGGAGACAGAGGTTGCAGTGAGCCAAGATTGCGCCACTGCACTCCAGTCTTGGCGATAGAGCTAGACTCTGTCTCAAACAAAAAACAAAGAAAACTCCCTTCATTTTCATGTAATCTTATTTATTTCCTCAAGAAGGGTAGATCTTTTAAGACTTTATTCTTTGCAGTTACAAACATACAATAAAAAATTTAGTGGCTTTACTTTCATTTGATTCCATTTTACAAATGGAATCAAATCGTATGAATTTTAACTTGCTTTTTTTAGTTTATTATCTTAGAAAACTTTCTGTCAGTATATATCAAGCTTTCTTTTTAACTTGGTCTAAAGTAGTGGTCTTAACTTTTGGTCACATACTCAGAATTCTGATAAATTCTGTCTCTTTGTACATTAAGTTTACATCTAAAATTTTGTAGCAAAAGTTTAGTTGTAAAACATGTAATTTTGAGAATGTTTTACTTTTGCCACATAAAAATAAGTTACCTCATTCTGCTAAATGTATCCAAATGCTTCTAAATATATAGCATTTTGGTTTCCATCATCTAGTTTAAAAATATACGAACAAGCTGTTCTTTATCATTGGAAATTTAAATTCTTCTTTTGAGTCCTTGAACTTTTATTTCCATAACATGTCTCAGACTTTTATCCTAATGTAATATATTTTTATGCTTAAAAGTTTTTTCTTGATTGTGCTAATATGTTTCTGCTACTAAATATGTATGTAAACTTAAATTTTAATTTTTAAAGTTCCTGTGACAAAGGTTCTGTGTTTTAACTTGGTCCAGAGGAAATTTATCAGTCTATTGCATGTATTATGTTTTTTTTAAATCTCCCTTCATTTTCACTTAATCCTATTTGTTTCCTCAAGAAGAGTAGAGATGGGCTTTACTGTGTTGACCAGGCTGGTCTCGAATTCCTGGCCTCAAGTGATCTGCTCACCTTGGCTTCCCAAATTGCTGGGATTACAGGCATGAGCCACTGTGCCCGGCCAACATAGGTTGTAATTTTTGATGTTATTACTATACAAGTTGAATTTTATTGGAAATGCTTTTCTTATGAGATGATGGGGTCTGTTATTTTTCTCAATTAAATCATGGGTCTGTGGATCAATATTTCTTTCTCTGATGAAATAGGATTGGCAATTTTTCCTGTTTTTGTAGCTATCATAGTGAAGAAACCCTAATCACATAGGTAAATATATGGGAATAAAGCTTTTTTTTTTTTTTGGGAGATGGAGTCTTGCTCTGTCGCCCAGACTGGAGTGCAGTGGCACGATCTCAGCTCACTGCAACCTCTGCCTCCCAGGTTCAAGCTATTCTTGTGCTTCAGCCTCTAGAGTAGTTGTGATTCACACGCCACTATGCCTGGCTAATTTTTTGTATTTTAGTAGATATGGGGTTTCACCGCATTGGCCAGGCAGGTCTCGAACTCCTGACCTCAAGTGATCCACCTGCCTCAGCCTCCCAAAGTGCTGGGATTATAGGCTTGAGCCACTGCACCTGGCCAGGTTCTTTTTTATTATTATTATTTTTTATTACGAGATAAGGACTATAGGCGTGTGCCACCACACCCAGCTAATTTATTTATTTATTTATTTATTTTTAGAGATGGGGTCACACTATGTTGCCCAGGCTGGTCTCAAATTCCTGGACTCAAGACACCCCTCTGCCTTAGCCTCCCTAATAGCTGGGACTATAGGCATACCCTAGGGTGTCTTGGCCTTTATCTATATTTAGCTATTAGATACCTGTTATCTTCCTGTATCGGTAACACGAAGTGCTCTCATTTCTTTTATTACTGTGTACTATTTTACAATATTATAATCTGTTGGTGGACATTTGTTGTTTTTAAGCAGTGCCATCATAAACATTCTGTTTATATTCACTTTTTTATACTTTTATGTCTCTTTTTGAACTAAATACCTAAAACTGATTGTTGAGTTGAGTATTGCAGAATTTGATAGGCTGCCAAATTGTCTCATAAAAAGGTTATTCCTATTTACATTCCCCCAAATGATGTAATGAAATTACCCTTGTCAATGCTGGTTATCAAATTTTAAAAGGTTTTATCACTGTAATAGCTGCTCTTATACCACTCGCTGGATATCAGTTTTTGTAATTTCCATTTTCTTATAATATGCATTCTTTAATGAAGCAAGTTTTTAAAAATATGCATTCTTTCTTGAGCGAGGAAGAATAAATCTTATAAGCTTATTGTGTGAATGTGAAAGGGAATTTACTTATGCCAAATGTGGGATGGAGCATATTTATGGCATCTCTCTGGATAAGTAAAATGCAGTTTGTGAAGACTTAGCAGGGTATATGTTACATAGCGGCTATTTAATAGAATTCTGTTGTCTTTCCTTCCTTATTTCTTTCTTTTATTTAAATTATATTCTGGTTTTGGACTGCCTTGTTCTTTTAGATTGTTCTCTTTGGCTGTTCCTCTTAAGTAACAGAATGAATGATCTTTTCAACAAGAAGCTTGTGTGAAAGATTTCTGCCTTGTATTTATGAGGACTAAGGGGTTGGACAGCATGTTTGTGGTCTTCCAAAGTAAAATCTTGCATTTTTTATTTTAGTAGCATATATTGTAGATATTCACTTATTGTCTTAGGAATAATATCTCTGAATTCTTCGGTCAGCAAGGTGACTGCAGAGCTAGGCTGGTTGCTAAAATGTTAGATATAGTCAGAGACTTTCAGAAAAAGTTGTACATCCCCAAATTGATCTATATAGTCAATCCCCAAATTGATCTATATAGTCTTATATGCAATTGCATATAAGATCCCATCAAGAATTTTAGTATAAATCAAAAACTGATTCTAAAATTTATATGGAAAAGCAAAGAAACAAAACAAGGCCAGGCGCAGTGACTCACACCTGTAATACCAACACTTTGGGAGGCCAAGGTGGGAGGATTGCTTGAGGTCAGGAGTTTGAGAGCAGTCTGGGAAACATAGGGAGACCCCGTTTTTCCAAAAAATAATAATAATGAAAAATTAGGCAGGCGTGGTAGCATGCACCTGTGGTCCCAGCTACTTGGGAGGCTGAGGCGGGAGGATTGCTTGAGCCTGAGCAGTCGAGGCTCCAGTGAGCCACGATTGCACTACTGCACTCCAGCCTGAGTGACAGAATGAGACCCTGTCTCGAAAAAACAAAACAAAACAAACAAAAACATTTTTGGAAAAGACTCAAGTTGGAGGGCTCATATTACCTTATTTAAGACTTATGGCTGGGCACAGTGGCTCATGCCTGTAATCCCAGCACTTTGGGAGGCCGAAGCAGGCGGATCACCTGAGGTCAAGAGTTTGAGACCAGCTTGGCCAACATAGTGAAACCTCGTCTCTACTAAAAATACAAAAAAAAATTAGCTGGACGTGGTGGCACGTGCCTGTAGTCCCAGCTACTTGGGGAGGCTGAGCCTGGAGAATCTCTTGAACCCAGGAGGTGGAGGTTGCAGAGCGTCAAGATTGCGCCACTGCACTCCAGCCTGGGCGACAGAGAGAGACTCCCTGTCAAGAAGACTTACTGTACAAATACAGTAATCAAGACAGGATGGTATTGGCAAAATGGATAGCCTTACAAATTGATGGAACATAACAGCCCAGAAATAAACCCAATGTAATATGGTCAGTTGATTTTTTTACAAAGGTGCAAAGGCAATTCAATAGAATGCAGATGACTTTTTCCACAAATGACTCTGTAATAATTACCTAATTACCTAATTATTAGGTGATTAGGTAACTACCTAATCACCTAATTATTAGGTACAGGAATAGAAACTTAGGAATGTACAGGAATAGAAACTTAGACCCACATCATTACACCATATACAAAATTTAACTCAAAATGTACCGTAGGCCTCAATATGAAATGTAAATATGAAAACTATAAGACTTCTAGAAGAAAACATGGGGAAAAAAATCCTGTGACCTACTTCATAAAAATTAAAAACTATTTGAAAGGCACAGTTAAGTAAATGAAAATACAGTATAAGTTAGAAACAGGGAAGAAATTTTTACAAAATTTATCTGATAAAGGAGTGATATTTGGAATACATAAAGAATTTTCAAAACTCAATAATAAGAAAATAAACAGTTCAGTTTTAAAATAGTCAAAAAATTTGACCATTCAAGTCACCAAAGAAGACAAAGGGATGGCAGAGAAACACATGAAAAGATGCTCAACATCCTTAGTCATTAGGGAATAAGATACAACTAATTTCCTTAAAAAAAAAAAAAAGAGGGAAAAAAAAAAAGGAGTCCTCTGCTTCCAGAAATACAGCTGGTTACCTCCATGCAATCTTCATCCAGAAGCAATGATGGTACCCTGGATTTCCTGTGTGGGAATTAATAAGTAATTAATAAATGGCCTCCGCTGGGCATGGTGGCTCACATCTGTAATCTCAGCACTTTGGGAGGCCAAGGCGGTGAATCACCTGAGGTCAGGAGTTTGAGCCCGCCTGGCCAACATGGTGAAATCCCATTTCTACTAAAAATACAAAAATTAGCTGGTCATGGGGGCGGGTGCCTGCAATCCCAACTACTCGGGAGGCTGAGGCAGGAGAATCACTCGAACCCAGAAGGCGGAGGTTGCAGTGAGCCGAGGTTGCACCATGGCACTCCAGTCTGGGTGACAAGAGCAAAACCCCATCTCAAAAATAATAATAATAATAAAACAAATGCCCTCGTGTTCTTGGAGCGTTTGATTTGGATTTGAATTGCTGATACCAAACCTGTGTTGCTCCATGATGGTTTTACTGAATTTAATGGTAATCTTTGATAATTTACAGAATGAAAAAGATTTAGACTTGCTATTATGAGGGGCTCTCCTATGGAACTGGTACTTTACAGAGCTTGGGTGCCCTAGGAATTAATGATTCTGTTCAGTTCTGTTTCTGGGTTTCCTTTTGTTAAATGTTTAAATTTTGAACAGTTTTTAATTGCTTTAACCTAATGCTACAAAGAGTGAGAAAAACTCCATTAATAAGACAGTGGTTGGATCTGTTTTTCATTTTTCTGTCTGTCACAATGGGTAATTATTTGTCATTGTTGCAGATACTCCATCTTCTAAACCAACACTCCTAGCCAATGGTGGTCATGGAGTAGAAGGGAGCGATACTACAGGTAAGTGATTCCCAGGATTCCCCAAATGTGTAGGTGATGCACTTACAATGAACACCTTGATAATCTCCTTTGAAGAGCATTATTAATGGAAGCATATGAATTATTTCTGAGGGTGGTAGTGTTCTTGTTGGAGGTATTTAAACCCAGGACATTGCCATGTAAAATCTCCAACAATGGAAGGAGAATAATGAGTTTGCTTTGATATTTTTTGAATATTTATTGGAGCTGTACCACACAAGAACTGGATCAACCTTAAAATACTTTTGTAGATGCAGAATAATGATCACCAAAATATGTTACATGGGAGGAATTTGGCCACTACAACTCTTAAAACAGCAGGTCTGTTCCCTGAATCACATTGCGTTTAGCTTTCTACAGTTCAATGTTAGGAAGCCAGTGAACAACAAATTAGGAGTTATTTATTTTGCCCCCAGTGTGTTTCCTTTATCTTTCCCTTAACTGTTGCTTTTGAAATTTACTTCTAATTAAACTCTTAGCTCTTTACTAGGGTTTTGATATTCTTTCAGTTAGCATTGAGTTTCTGTGGGTTCCTGTCTCATAACCAGCACCAACCCCCTGCCCCAATGTCTTTGTAGTGAGCAAAATTCTCAAAGCAGTAGCAGGAGTCCCAGGGATATACTATATAAATATTTTCTTAAGTAGCTGATGTGAGAGTTGCGTGTTTTATTTTCATAAATACCTGCATTTACTTTGCAGTTGTGATCAGGCCAACACTGCTAACCCAAATGAGTTGACTTCTAATGATCAATCCCATTGTTTCCTGCAAGTGTGCTCTTAACTGGGCCATACATTTGATTCATATTATTGCAGTGGAGGTAGTTACTAGATTTGTCATATTTCTGTATTTCTCTTATATGCATACCTCAGCTATGAGAAGCCCTTCTGTGAGGCACCACAGTATTTCTCTTTTTCTAAGGCTTCCAGAAAGCCTTCTGTTAGCAATAGCAGCTATTCTAGGATTTATTCTTTATTCTATGACCATAGGAAAGTTGTATATATCTTTATACATCAGATTTTTTGATGACCAAGTTCTTTTTGTTGTGAATGTTTACCAAGTGACATATACATCCTTATTAGCAACTTAATAAATTAGGAACTCTTTACTTTAGAAGCTAGAAACAACCAGAAATGCCACTTTATCTTCCAGTTTTGTGAATTGATGTTTTTGTATTTCTTTGATAATCTCAGTCAAATGTAGTATTGACTTTCTGTGTCTGCTTTGAAAGCAGTCATCTATGTGATGTGGTTTTTAAGAAAACATTTATGCAAATATCCCTGTGATTAAAGGAGAAGTTTGAACATGAACTTTTAAAAAATGAGTAAATTCAGCTTTCTTTAAGCAGGAACCAGTTAACCAGGGTAAGGAAAGGCTGGAGGGGATTGACTTGATTAGGCAGTTGAAAGAGTGGATGCCATTTTCATCCAGGAAGGAAACAACTACAAAAACGAGTAGATTTCTTCTCCAGTAGGAAGTCATGCCTGACCAGAAGAGACTCAAACTCTGTGTAGCAGGTGCTTACCGCTGCCAGGCCTTAGTAGTACAGAATAGAAGGGTAAAAACTGTATCCTGGCCCTCACTGTTTCAGGATTCCCTTGTGACAAAAAAGAACCTGGCTCTTTATGAACTACCCAGTGGCATTATGAGAGTAGGTCGTTCTGTTCTTGGATACCTCTCTGCCCTTAGGTAGCATATAGTTTGCACACCTGGATTGAGTTTTGAATTGAACCACTTAACTGTATTAAAATAGATACTAGGCCGGGCGCGGTGGCTCACGCCTGTAATCCCAGCACTTTGGGAGACCGAGGCGGGCGGATCACCTGAGGTTGGGAGTTTGAGACCAGCCTAGCCAATATGGTGAAACCCCATCTCTGCTAAAAATACAAAAATTAGCTGGACGTGGTGGCACGTGCCTGTAGTCCCAGCTACTTGGGAGGCTGAGGCAGAAGAATCGCTTGAACCCAGGAGGCGGAGGTTTCAGTGAGCCGAGATCGCACCACTGCACTCCAGCCTGGTCAACAGAGCAAGACTCCGTCTCAAAAAAAAAAAAAAAGATACTTTACTGAAAATATGCATGTTTTATTTGGGGAGGGAAGGTGGAGGGAGGGGATGGCAGTGCATGTTTTTGGAGCATGTGGTGACTTCATTCTAATTTGGCCATCACTACCTGGAGCATCTAACTCAATGCCATTTTGAAAATTCCCATTTCTGTTTCCTTCAGAATGTTATCTATAGTCCCGAGAGCAAACCAGCTTCATTAATAGCTTTGGTTTATGAGCATCTTGTGATATTGAACTTGCTGTTTACTAATGACCTGTGCTTTTCCACCCTTTTCTTCCCCTTCCTACTTCTTCCTCCCTCTCTATTTTTCTCCTCCTAGAAGCCTAGCGTGTCTCTCAACACTGGGGCTGCTGCAACACCAGACCAGTGATCTTTCCTAAGCATCGTTATACTTCTAAAACCTTCAGCATTTTGCAGAGCTTTGCTTTTCATTCCTGGACATGATGTAGAAGAAACTGAGGGTAGTTCTTCGGGGCCTATTTCTGCTGATGCCTGAGCAAACAACCTGCTTCCTCTTGTGCTCTGCAGGGTTTGATGGAGCCTCATTTCCCTTTGTGAACACAAAGTGCAAAATGAATTCTTTTTAATTTTAGTAATTTTTACAAAGGTTATCTAATGTCTTTTATTTCTTGTTTTCTTTATGATTTTATCATTTGATTCATTCTCACATTTTTTTCCTTTAAATATTTTTAGTTGACCTTTTTCCTTTGGTTTTCAAATGTTCAACATGAATCAGAATAGTGTAACACCAAATGAGAACATGTGTTTTCATAAAGGGGTTGAGGCCACCAGTACTGCAGCGAATTTCCTTTTCTTCTCCCTCCTCCTTCCTTCTCTGAGCTTGCTTTTAGGGAAGGTTAATCTTACAGGCTACCTATGTTTCTCTCCACCTTACTAAAATCTAAATAATGATAGATATTTTAAGTTTTTAAATTGAGTAGTTCTGAGTAATCCTAGAATATTTTTCCAAATTAAATAATCCTTTATTATTTGCAAGTTGGGCCAAATTTTTTTTTTTTTGGAGACGGACTCTTAACAATCTAAGATTGTTTCAACAGGACTTTCTTATTCCCATTCCTAATTTTTTCAAACTAATTGCTTAAATCTAGAACCAGTTGAGATTAGTACTGTACAATGGTATGCTTTGATTGTATTTATAGAAATATAACATAAAACATGGACCATGTTTTGAAATCTTAGAGGAATTCTGGTTTAAAATCTGAAATACTTTAAAGTTTTCTATCCTTTTACTGATTATGCAGCTTCTTATAACCCCCAAGGTACAGATTATTTCAGCTTAAAAGAAATAATTGGCACCATGTTCTGAGAAAGATTTTGAGATATACATTGTTTTTTGTTTTTGAGACAGGGTCTCACTCTTGCCTAGGCTGGAGTGCGGTGGCGCGATCTTGGCTTACTGCACCCTCTGCCTCCCAGGTTCAAGTGGTTCTCCTGCCTCAGCCTCCCAAGTAGCTGGGATTATAGGTGTGCGCCACCACACCAGCTAATTTTTGTATTTTTAGTAGAGACGGGGTTTTACTTTGTTGGCCAGGCTGGTCTCGAACTCCTGATCTCAAGTGATCCACCCGCCTTGGCCACCCAAAGTGCTGGGATTACAGGTGTGAGACACTGTGCCTGGCCAGATATACATTGTTTTAGATCCCCTGATACAGAACTACTTTTGAGATGGTAAGATTAGAATATCATGAAAGTTTAAACTGAATCCTTGCAGCGACTTCCGGAATTTAGGAAGCATTCCCTCTTCTACAGGGGTCTGGTCACAAGGGCTGGATTCTCTGACAAAAATTTCTTCTATGGATTCTGGACAGAAGACACTTGAGGGTGATATGTTTTAAAGGAAAGAGGTTATGCTTATCTTCTTAGCAGTTGATAAAATATTAAAACTCTCTTGCCATAGAGAATACACCATCAAAGAAAACACAACCCTTTCCCTTTGGTGTACAGTTATTTATTAAGTTGATTTTGGGGTTTCTTTCGCCAGGGATCTTTTCAAAACTGGTAGTAGTTATTTTTAAAAATCATGTTTGACATCTTTCTATTGCTCGTAACCAGTCCCTGTAGCTGTCTAAGTTATGGGTGGAGAAGCCTGGGTATGACTTTCCGTTGTGTACACTCACACTTCATGATTGACATTTATTTATTCTTTTATTTCCATTTGGTTATGCTTATTTTTGTTTGAAATTTGTTTTTTTCAAATATGTTTCCTTTTTGAACTTACAGAATTGTTGAAATTTTCTACTAACAGCCAGCTAAAATTTGGTATATGTTAGCTCTATCTGTTTCACTTGGACGTTTCATTTTGAAAGAAAGAAATTTTATGTTTCACATATAGTTTTATACAAAGTAGCCAGTCCCATAATGAAATGCTGTATTGCCATAGTGGTCACACCCAAGTGGTCCAGTATCTCAATGGTGAGGCAGCCAGACTGGTCAGGGCTGCTTTGTTGAAATGTGATGATTTTCATATGCCTTCTTTCTCTTTCTCTCTCTCTTTTTTTTTCCTTTTTTGGCCCAATGTTGAAGATGTAGAACTTTGTTTTTAAATAATGTTTTTATAATTTCATTCGTATACCTAAGTTTGTATTTTTTGTGACTTTGGACTTCAACAGTTTGTATATTGGGACTTCTAATGTGATTACTGTACTAAATAAATTCCACTAATAAACATCTTACATTAACACCTTATGGACTGGATTTGGTTGGGGTCATAATTGTTGAAATATAATGTTACTAAAACACAAGTTGGGTAAAGACTTGAGGCCCAAGTTCTAGGTCTAATATAGCTTCTAATCCCACCCGGATTAATTGTATGGACTTTTAAGTTTTTGTCAAGCATTTTCACTTATGAATTTTTTTTTCTTTTTTCTTTTTTTTTTTTGAGACGGAGTCTCGCTCTGTCGCCCAGGCTGGAGTGCAGTGGCATGATCTCGGCTCATTGCAAGCTCCGCTTCCCGGGTTCACGCCATTCTCCTGCCTCAGCCTCCTGAGTAGCTGGGACTACAGGCGCCCGCCACCACGCCCAGCTAATTTTTTGTATTTTTAGTAGAGGCGGGGTTTCACCATGTTAGCCAGGATGGTCTCGATCTCCTGACCTCATGATCCGGCCACCTTAGCCTCCCAAAGTGCTGGGATTACAGGCGTGAGCCACCGCGCCCAGCCCACTTATGATTTTTGATAGTTATTGTAAACTCTCTTTTATCCAGAATTATAAAAGTTAAGAAGTTCAAATGACTACTGATATTTAATGTCATTTGGTGAGAAAGTCACTTGACAGAAAGGTGTGAAGAAGTTATTCCAAAAGGAGGTTTCCATGGTATATCAATTGTTGTTAGATGCTTTCTAATACTACATTTATTAATTTCTAACACTACATTTAGTTTAGTGCAGTTAAAATTCACATTCAAAGTCTTCCTAAAGTGCCTCCTGAATTATCAGATAAAATTTACTACATTCAGTAACATTTAATTTGATAACTTTGTTATTTGATAACCCAGTATGCAGTATCTGGGAAGAATTCAACAAAATGCGCAGTTCCCTAGCCATTCTGGGTTAGTGTTTGTTTACAGTAGGGTTGCAAGTACAATATGTTGACTGAATTAAGACATTAAAAATATTTTATATCTAAGTAATTTGCATAGCATAAGGAACTTTTTAAGCTTGGCAGACATTTTAGTTAAGAACACTTAATTTAATGTTTTTAGATTTCCTTTTTATTAAAACAGCTCAGTAATCTGTTCTCAGGTTTAAAGCACAGATTTTAAATACTATAAGGAATAATTGACCATTAACTTTCTTATACATACCCTAGGTTTAAAGCTTTTGGTAATTGAAGCAATTCTTGAATTTTGTTATTGTCCTCATCCCTGATGCGAAGTGAAACCTGGCTTCATTTGGATTCTTCCTCCTTATTGACTTGATAATATGGTGGGAGGCTAGAGGGTGTTCTAGGCAAAGACACAGGACTGGTCCAGCAGGCACAGAATGTTAGTTTCATTCCTAAATCATGTGTAATACTGTATTATCCTCAATTTTATGTTGATGCCGTTTCCATTACAGTGAAGGTTTAACAAGACTTAACTACAAATTATTTGTGGGATAAAGCTCTGTGCGACCATGGAGGTAAATTACTCTTATTTATAGTGTTTGGGGCTAGACACATTGCACTAAGTGCTGTACAAATGGCAGTGTTACTGGTTGTTTCCATCGTAATTAGAGTAGGTAAACAGTTTACTATTGTGATAACTGTTTGCATGTGTAAAGTCATGCCAGCAGTGAAACAGTAAATCTACTTTTTTAGAATATCATGACACAGAAGGTATTCTGTGTGCTTCATCACTATCTCATCTGGTAGGATGCAAAGGATTTAGCATCAGAAAAATGCAAAAGCACCAAAAATGTGAAATATTAACAGATAAATAAATCTGTGGTGTGTTAGAGTTTCTGAACAGCTATTGGAGCCACGCTGTAAATTGGCATCATAACTCACAAGTGGAGCCCAGACATAAGCTGCACATTATGTTGCTATGTATAGACAGCAAGACATCCATCCGAACTCCACCAAATTCCTGGAACAAAGTTTTATTTCTTTTCTTTCATTTTCCAGTTAATGAGTTGCATGCTGGAGACACATCAGCAAATTAACAGCACGTAATGTTTCTTAAAGTTTTTTTGGTTCATGGTTTTCTAATAAAAATACAGAATTTCTCTTCAGAAAAGTCCACATATACCCATATACAAGATGTTACATTTACGTTTAGAGTGTTTAGGACTCCATTGAAACCAGCTCATGGACTACAATCCTTTTCTAAGCCAAGCATTTAATTAATACTCTAAGCCACGTTATTTCAGTTTCTTTTGGGGCTTTGTATTGAATAAGACAAAATAGCTTCTTCTTGAGCTTTAAGTGAAAATATAATTCTGATTTTTTTTTGTTTGTTTTTGTTTTTGAGACGAAGTTTCGCCCTTGTTGCCCAGGCTTGAATGCAATGGCACGATCTTAGGTCACTGCAACCTCCGTCTCCCAGGTTCGAGCGATTCTCCTGCCTCAGCCTCCCAAGTTGCTGTAGCTGGGATTACAGGTGCCCGCCACCATGCCCAGCTAATTTTTTGTATTTTTAGTACAGATGGAGTTTCACCATGTTGGCCAGGCTGGTCTCGAACTCCTGACCTCAGGTGATCCACCTGCCTCTGCCTCCCAAAGTGCTGGGATTGTAGGTGTGAGCCACCACGCCCAGCCTTCTGATGTTTTTTGGGTTTTTTTGTTCTTGTTTTTTGAGATGGAGTTTTGCTCTTGTTCCCCAGGCTGGAGCGCAGTGCAATGGCACAATCTCAGCTCACCACAACCTCCACCTCCTGGGTTCAAGCAATTCTCCTGCCTCAGCCTCCCAAGTAGCTGGGATTACAGGCACACGCCACCATACCTGGCTAATTTTGTATTTTTAGTAGAGACGGGGTTTCTCCATGTTGGTCAGGCTGGTCTCGAACTCCCAACCTCAGGTGATCCACCCACCTCGGCCTCCCAAAGTGCTGGGATTACAGGCATGAGCCACCATGCCCAGCTTTTAAAGACTTTTTAAAAAACCTATCTTAAGTTCTAGTTACTGAGAGAAAATCCATATTGAGGCAAGGGCTTTGCATGTAGGTAGTTTATTTTGGGAAGTGGCCCCAGGGCACAAGAGTGGGATACTGGGAAAAGTGAAATTAGAGGAAAAGAATACAGTGAAGTATGACTACTGACCTAGTCACTGCTGTGGGCAAAGTGGGCTTAAGTCTTTTGGGGTCTTTTGAGGACCTGTATAGAATGCCTCTCAGTGTTCACTACCTGAGTATCTTGGTTATAGAAGTGGATAACATTTATTCACCATTTACCATCTCTCATTGCTTAAGACTCTTTTTTTTTTTTTTGAGACAGAGTCTTGCTCTGTCGCCCAGGCTGGAGTGCAGTGGTGCGATCTCGGCCCACTGCAAGCTCTGCCTCCTGGGCCTAACACTCTTGTACTTCTGGATTTGCACATGTGTGGTGCCAGGATGCAGATGTCTTGTCTCTTGGTGTCAGAGAAGTTGTAGGGCAGAAAACTCTGGTTTGGTTGATACAAAGTGCTGTCAAATCACACCTATGTGCAGCTGGATGCTGTAGCAATAGCTAGAATAAATAGTGAACTTAACAGAGTGTGAGGTGGGGGCACAAGAAGTGTCTAACCAAGAGGTTACTTCAAAGCAAGATTCTCTTAACATAAGATTTGTCTGCTTATGCCTTACCATAGAGGATGAGATCCTTCAACTCTGTAGAGGAAATTTGAAGGAACTCCATCTATTATGGTACTAATCCTTTTTTTTTTTTCTCTCCCCGCGCCCCGCGAGACAGAGTTTTGCTCTTATTGCCCAGGCTGGAGTGCAATGGCGTGATCTTGGCTCACTGCAACCTCTGCCTCCAGGGCTTGTGATTCTCTTGCCTCAGCCTCCCGAGTAGCTGGGGTTACAGGCTCCCACCACCATGTCTGGCTAATTTTTGTGTTTTTAGTAGAGATGGGGTTTCAGCATGTTGGCCAGGCTGTTCTTGAGCTCCTGACCTCAGGTGATCCACCCATGTTCGCCTCCCAAAGTGCTGGGATTACAGGCGTGAGCCACTGCACCTAGCCAGGTGCTAATTCTTGAGCTGCATTGTTAGAAACTATAGAGATAGCCACAGATGTTAGTTTTGGAATTTTCCACCCAAACGTTTTTTTCTTTAGTTAGTTTTAGTAGTTTTTATGTTTCTAGAAATTTGTTCATTTCATCTAGGTTATATAATTTGTTTGCCTACAGTTCTTAGTATTCCCTTATAAACCTTTTTTATTCCTGTAAGATTCATAGTGATATCTCCTTTTCATTTCTGGTTTTAGTAGTTTGAATCCTCTCTCCTTTTTTCTTCATAAATGTAGTTAAAAGTTTGTCAATTTTTTTCATCTTTTGAAAGAACCAACTTTCAGTTTTGGTGAGTTTTCTCTATTTTCTCTCCTCTGTTTCCTTTATTTCCACTTTAATCTTTTTTATTTCCTTCCTTCTGCCTCATTTGAGTTTAGTTTGCTATTTTTCTAGTTTCTTTTGGTAGAAGGTTATGTTAGTGATTGGTGATTTTTATTTTATTTTATTCTTTTAATATAGGTGTTTATGGCTATAAATTTCCCTCTTACCACTGTTTTAGCTGTACCTCTTAAGATTTGATATGTTGTGTTTTCATTTTCATTCATCTGAAAGTATTTTCTAATTTCTTTTGGGATTTCTTTGACGTGTTGATTATTTAGGAGTGTGTTAATTTCTGCATATTTGTGCATTCCCCAATCTTCTGTTTACTTTCTAATTTCATCCCATTGTGGTTGGAGAACATAATTGGTATTCTTTCAATCCCTTTCAATATATGGAGGCTTGTTTTCTGGCCTAACATATGGTCTGTCCTGAAGAAGAATGTATATTCGGCTCTTGATGCGGGTGGAATGTTCTGTAAGATGTCCATTAGATGTAGTTGGTGTATAGTGTTATATAGGTCTTCTCTTTCCTCGTTGGTATTCTGTCTTGTTGTTCTATCCATTAGTGAAAGTGAGGTATTGCAGTATCCAACAATTATTATTGAGTAGTCTATTGTTTGCTCAAGTTCTGTTAGCTTTAAATTTTACATGCTTTTTACATTTCTCAAGGATAAATTCCTTGTGAAAAATGCTACGGTTGTGGATAAGAAAGATACACACAAATGATCGCTACAACTATGAGCCTCAGAAGCAGCAGTTGAAATGTCGGTCGCTGGTAGGACGATTTAAAGTGTTTTTTTGTTTTGAGGCAGGGTCTTACTCTGTCACCCAGGCTGGAGTGCAGTGGTGTGATCATAGCAGCCTGGAACTCTGGGTTCAAGTAATCCTCCCGCCTCAGTTTCCCAAGTAGCTAGGACTACAGGTGCACACCACCATGCCTGGCTAATTTTTAAAATCTTTTGTAGAGACAGGGTCTTGCTTTTTTGCACAGGATGGGCTTGAACTCTTTGCTTCAAGTGTTCTTCCCACCTCGGCCTCCCAAAGTACTGGGATTACAGGTGTGAGTCACTGTGCCCGGCCTAAATGTGTATTTTATTTTATTATTTTTGAGAAGGAGTCTTGCTTTGTTGCACAGGCTGGAATGCAGTGGCATGATCTTGGCTCACTGCAGCCTCCACCTTCCAGGTTCAGGTGATTCTCTTGCCTCACCCTGCCGAGTAGCCGAGATTACAGGCGCCTGCCGCCATGCCCAGCTAATTTTTGTATTTTCAGTAGAAACAGCATTTTACCATGTTGGCCAGGCTGGTCTCAAACTCCTGACCTCAGTGATCTGCCCATCTCAGCCTCCCAAAGTGTTGGGATTGCAGGCGTAAGCCACTGCACCCAGCCTAAATGTGTTTTTTGTTTTGTTTTGTTTTGTTTTTTGTGACGGAGTCTCGCTCTGTCGCCCAGGCTGGAGTGCAGTGACCCGTTCATGGCTCACTGCAACCTCCGCCTCCGGGTTCAAGCAATTCTCCTGCCTCAGCCTTCCAAGTAGATGGGATTACAGGCATGTGCCACCACGCCCAGCTAATTTTGTATTTTTAGTAGAGATGGGGTTTCTCCATGTTGGTCAGGCTGGTCTCAAACTCCTGACCTCAGGTCATCTGCCCGCCTCGGCCTCCCAAAGTGCTGGGATTACAGGCATGAGCCACTGCACCCGGCCCTAAATGTGTTTTTAAAAGATGATATTTTTTCCTCAAAATCTGAACAATGTTTTTTGCAGAAATAGAAAAATCCATTCGGAATCTCAAGGAGCCCTCCTGAATAGACAAAACAATCTTGAAAAAGAACAAAGTTGGAAGTCTCATTTGTTGATTTTCAAAACTTACTGAAATGCTATAATAATCAAAACTGTGTGGTATTGACTTAAAGGGAGACATATAGATCAAGGAACGGAATGGAAAGCCCAGAAATAAACTCTTTTATACATGGTAAGATGATTTTAGACAACGGTACCAGGACCATTCAATGGGAAAGGATGGTGTTTTCAATAAATGATGAGGGGAAAACTGGATATCCACATAAAAAAGTTGGATCCTGCTGGGAACAGTGGTTTATGCCAATAATCCCAGCGCTTTGGGAGGCCAAGTGAGAGGATTGCTTGAGGCAAGGAGTTCAAGACCAGCCTAGGCACTATAGGAAGACCTCATCTCTTAAAAGAAAAAAAAATTGGCCAGGTGCGGTGGCTCACACCTGTAATCCCAACACTTTGGGAGTCCCAGGAGGGCAGATCATGAGGTCAGGAGATCGAGACCATCCTGGCTAACATGGTGAAACCCCGTCTCTACTAAAAAATACAAAAAATTAGCCGGGCATGGTGGCAGGCGCCTGTAGTCCCAGCTACTCAGGAGGCTGAGGCAGGAGAATGGCATGAACCTAGGAGGCAGAGCTTACATAAGCCAAGATTGCGCCACTGCACTTCAGCCTGGGCAACAGAGCAAGACTCTGTCTCAAAAAAAAAAAAAAAAAAAAAAAAAAAAAAAAAAAAAGGTAGTGTGGGCCTGTAGTCCCAGCTACTCAGGAAACTGAGGCAGGAGGATCCTTTGAGCTGAGGAGTTCAAGGCTGCAGTGAGCTATGGTAAAGTACACCGCTGCATTCACCCTGGGAGACAGAGAGAAATCCTGTCTCTCCCTCTCTTTTTTTTAAGTTGGGACCATTATCTTATATTCAAAAATTAACTTAAAATGGATCAAAGACCTAAACAAAGCACCAAGGCTATACATTTCTTAGAAGAAAACATAGAGGGAAATCTTCATGACATTGGATTTGGCAGTGTTTTCTTGGATATACACCAAAAACACAGACGACAAAAGAAAAAACAGATAAATTAGGCTATATGAAAATTGAAAATTTTTGTCTATCTCTGTAGAGTGAAAAGGCAACCCATGGAGGCAAAATATTTGCAAATCTTATATCTTCTCAGGAGTTAATATCCAGAATATGTAAATAACTTCTAGAGCTCAACAAAAAAAAATTAAAAATATGGGCAAAGGACTTGAAGAAACATTTCTTCATAAAAGATACAAAAATTGCCAAGAAATACATGAAAAGATGCTCAGCATCATTAATCATTAGAGAAATGCAAATCAAAACCACAATGAAATATCACTTCATACTCATTAGGATGGCTAGTATGAAAACAAGAACAGAAATTAACAAGTGTTTACGAGGATGTGGAAAAATTAGAACCCTTGTGTACTGCTGATAGGAATGTAAAATGAAAGTGCTATGGAAAATAGTATGGTGGCTCCTCAAAAAATTAAAAACAGAATTATTGTAAGATCCAGCAACCCAACTTCTGGATATATGCCCAAAGGAATTGGAATCAGGGACTTGAACAGATATTTGTACACTCATGTTTGTAGCAGCATTATTCACAGTGGCCAAAAGATGGAAGCAACCCAGATGTCCCATCAACACATGGAATGAATAAACAAAAATGTGGTACATTCATATAATGGAACGTTATTTAGCCTTAAAAAGGAAGGAAATTCTGATATGGTACAACATGAATAAACCTTGAAGACACTATGCTAAGTGAAAAAAGCCAGTCACAAAAATACAAATTTATATGCGGTACCTAAAGTAGTCAAATTTACAGAAACAAATATAAATATACTCCATTTATATAAATTACCTTAAGTAGTCAAATTTACAGAAACAAAGTAGAATGGTGGTTCCCAGGGGCTGGGAGAGGCGGGGAATGGATGTGTTTGGTGTTGCTTAATGGGTACAAAGTTTCTGATTTGCAAGATGAAAAAGTTCTGGAGATGGATGGTGGTGATGATTGCACAACAGTGTGAATGTACTTAATACCACTGAACTGTACACTTAAAAATCGTTAAAATCGTAGAAATAAACAAATGCAGCTCATATTTAAAGGGAAAAAAATTTCAAATTAACCATCATATCACAGATCTCTTCAGAATTAAAGGGATGCTTTATATGTTAGGTATTTTGTACGTTTGTTCTGGTTTGTCCAGTTGCAGAGAGAAATACACAAATATGTCAACATTGCTTAAATGCTAAGCAGTTATGGGGAACATTTTGTAAGAACAGATACAATATTGGTTAAATTCCATGAGGGGGTTGAGTGAGAACTAAGGAAATTTGAAATTCGAGCTTGAAATCTCCATTTGGATGTAGAATTGATATCTCAAATTTGAAATGTTCTAAACTGAATTCATGATTGCCCCACCCCAAAATCAAAACAGAGAAGAAAAAGAAGAAAAAAACCACCTGCCTCCCCATCTCCTTAAATGGAAATTCTGTCCTGGTTGTTAAGGCTAAACATTTGGTTTCCCTATCCTCTTCTGCTCCTCTCACACCCCACACCCAGTTTGTCAGAAAAAGATATTTGGAACCTGACCACATCTCACCACCTCCACTGCTCTCTCCCTGATTGGACCACCATCATTAACCTTGGCTACTGTAATAACTTCCCAAATTAGTCTCTCTGCTTCCATTTGCTTGCTCCCTGCAGCATATTCTTAAAAACATCTACAGTGGTCCTGTACATTGATCATGCTGTTCTTTTGCACAGAACCCTCCAGTGGTTGCCCATCTCAAAGTAAAAGCCAAAGTCCTTATGAAATACCACAAGGCCCTATGATGTCGTTGTCATCTTTCTGACCAGATCTTTTCTTAGTTACCCCTTTACTTACTTTGCTTCATGGTGTTCTTGCTACTGTTCCTTGAACAAGCCAGGTGGGCATCTGCCTTGAGCTCTGAGCACTAGCAGTTTTCTCTGCCTGGAATGTTCTTCCCTTTGATATATTCATGATTGACTCTTCACTTTCTCAATGAGTACTTCTCGACTATCTTTTTAAAAATTGCACCCCTTCTATTTTTTCGTCCCACTGTTCTACTTGAATTTTCTTCGTGGCTTTTGTCATGTCACTTTCTAATAATTTGTATAGTTTACTTATCTCATCTGCCTTTCCCCACCAGAAGAAGATATTATAGAAACAAATTTTATGAGAGGGACAGGGCTTTTGTTTTGGTCACTGCTGTGGCCCAGCACCTAGAACACTGTCTGGTGGATAGTAGATCCTCTGTAGCTATTGAATGAATAATCTTTAATATCTATTTGTTTCTGGCCTCACATGGGAAAAGAAACTTAAAAACAAGACCAGATACAATCGTAATAATTCTTGCCAGGTTATTGGTACGCATCTTTCTGGAAATATGTTATCTGTCATGAATTTGTTTAAATTTTGAGGAAGCTGTGGATAGAGCACCTACTAGCTTTGATTTCTTAGGCAAGTTGTTTGCCCTCTTTGAGGCTAAGATTCCTGCTGTGTAAAAGGAGAGCTCTATAAAAATAGTTGTTTGCCTGAAGTGACAGAAATTATTTTCAGTGCTTTGAAACCTCGTTGAAGGGGTTAATATTTAAATGTAAGATGATATTAGAATGATGATTAATGTCCACATAGAAAGTTCTTACAGTTCAACCCATTATATACTTTTGTTAAATCATTCTGTTTGACCATCAGCCCCTTTTCCTACTTAATTGGTTGTGTAACAGTATTTTAATCGGATGTAACTGGAGCATATTGGTCCATTGTGAAGCAGAAATGCTCTGTTTCTAGAGGACAAAACTGGAGGTGAAACTTCAAAAGTGAGCTCCAGGCAGACTGAAAGAAGAGTTTTTTTGTTTTGTTTCTTGTGAAAAAATTAACTTAGGACTCTCACTGCAAAAAACTGGCAAGCCTGGCCCTCCAGTGGGTTTTCAGCAATTTAAAATGAAATGAGAAGATGCAAAACTATGTCAACTGTAAACTTAAGTATTAACATTAGACTCCTTAGAGGTCTTCATTGAAGGATTTTGCTTTCTATTTAACAAATTAATATTTCTGGTCTTCAGTTTTTCTGTGTAAAACGAACAGGCATTCTGCTGTTTCTGCTGCTGCTGTTAGTGCTGAGCAACAGAGATACAGTATGTTCTGCGGTAGGTGATAGCTTTTTAGACATTTAGAGATTAACATTTGCCTTCTGATTTATTTTCTTTGGGTTAAACATCTTTCATTTTTTCTTCCACTCTTTCCTATTATGTAGATTTATGCTGTTTTTAATGGCCAATATTTGGATCAGAGTCTATTCAGGAGACAGAAGCTACACCATAAATTGAACAGAGAATTTACTATAGGGGTAAAGAGAACTCTAAAGAATACAGGAATGACAGATATAGGGAATAGTCACTACCCTTAGGGCTGGGGCAGAGTACACAAAGAAATAACAAATTTGGAAAAGTATGCGCCCCTCCCCCACCCTGCCCCCAAAGCTGATTGCATATCTTGGAGGAAGTCTCCATTTGGTAGTAAAGATGTTTGCTGAGTTGCTGCAGGTCAGGGTGATGTGGGGCAAACAAGCCCCCAGACTGGGGCTTAACCCAGGAGGGTTCTTGGCTTTGCCAGGAAAGAATTTAAGGGTGAGCCAGTAGTGAGAGAAAGAAACTTTTATTGAACCAGTGCTGCTTCTTGCTGAGCAGGGCTAACCCATAGGCAGTGTGCCCAGAATCGGTGTCTGTGAGCTGCTAGCTAGCTGTTTATATCTGTTATTAATTACATGCTAATTAAGAGGCAGGTTATTTAGAACTTTCTGGAAAAGGGGCTGGAAGTTTCTGGGAATCAGATAAGGTAACTTCTAGGCTGTTGCCATGGCATTTGTAAACTGCCATGGCACTGGTAGGAGTGTCTTTATGCTAATAAACCCTGAGGGCAACTCGAGGTTACTTTTGTCAGCATCTGCTGGTTTCAGCCAGATCTTGTTCCAATCAGCAGGGTGCGACAGGAAATTAAGTCCTGCTGGTCTTCTACCTCAAAGGTAGTTAAGCAGGAAGCTGTACTTGGGGGTGCTGCGGCATCACCAGCAAGCCTGTTTGAGGCACTGGTGGAACTTGCCTGGGAAGATGTCCATGAGAATGCCCACTAAAGCTTGTTGGGATGAGCACCATGGGGTGTTCTGCACACCAGCAGAGCACCATGGAAGTAAGAAGATGCAAAAGCACACTAGAACCAGGAAGAGAAACCCTTTCCTTCCATGCCCTCTACTAAGCTTAGTGTCATCATGCCCGCTCTCTAGGAAGAAATGTTTACATTATTACAGGCAGGGCAATGAAAGGTAGATTTGGAATTGAGAGGCAATATATTGATTACTTGCATAGCCTATTATTTTGGCTACTTAGCTTCCATATGCACTTTACACACATTTGAGCTCCCATATAACAATGAAACTCTTATGTTTCTACCTAACAAGATACAGCTATGTCAGAGGGTGAAACTCTCACCCTTGTTCTAAAATGAGGAATGAGGACATGCTCAGCCCCATAGTCATTGTATCCATTGCTGGCTATATTTTTGTTTGTTTGTTTGTTTTAATAGAATCAGGGTTTTGCTGTGTTGCCCAGGCTAGTCTCAAACTCCTGAGCTCAAGCAATCCTCCGGCCTCAGCCTCCCAATGTCCTGGGATTATAGGTGTGAGCCACTGTGCTTGGCCTGCTGGCTGTTTATCAGTCCTCAAATAGAAGTTCCAGCTTCAGAGGGCCAAGGTCATGTGATGGGAGCCAGGGGCTTGGAGTTCTGAGGGAAGAGGAGTGAAGTATTGGGGGATGTGGCAGTATCACTGACAGTGAGGTTTTTTGGAGGCTTTTTTGGTCTGATTTGTGAGATTGATATTGTCCTTAATGATAAGGAAACAAAGAAAATGGCAGAAGTGAAAACTGAAAATGGCGAAGTAGAAAAACACCATCTCCTCTATGATGGAGAATCTGTTTCAGGAAAGGTGAAAGAGTCTAGAAAGAGCTAGAGCACCACAACATTAGAATTGAATTTGTACGTCAAATTGAACTTTTCTATGATAAGAGTAATATTCAAGAGTTTGTAAACCTAGTGAAAGAACTAGCCTTACCTGGAGAGCTGACTCAGAAGTTGTCATTTGGAATTTATACATGTTGAAAAGTCATGAGAATCTTACATTGGTGCTAATGTCCTCTTGATGTATTGAAGTGTTAGTAGTAAGAAGACTGACAGACTTGGTAAAAAGAATGTGATCTTACTGTTCACCAACTTGCCAGCTATCCTGATGGAAGTGGGCATTGAAGATTGTCTACATATAGAATTTGAATATAATGAAGTATCATTTAAAGGATGTGACTGTTACAAAAATTTACCTCTTATAAGTAAGAATAAAAACACAACATATGGGGTTACAACTGATCAATAAGACTGTTGTTAGCAGGATATGACCTAACTCCAACAATGAAAGTTATGAACAAAAAAGTTTCAGTAAGGTACTTTTTGAATTTAGCGCCTGTTGATGAGGAAGACAGAGGGTACTTTAGGCAGCAGATCATTTAATGGAGAAAAGCTCCTGAAAAACTGAGGAAACAGAATAAACTTTTACCAGTGATTTGAACCTCCAGAATCACAAGCATCTGCTGAATAGCCTGAAATATACTGAATAAGATGAAAAAAGAAAAACAAAACTATAATCATTAAGTTAAACAGGTTAAAGATGGCTGCAGCATGTGGAGGGGCAAAATGGGCATAACTCTGCCCGGGCATGGTGGCTCACACCTGTAATCCCAGCACTTTGGGAGGCGAGGCAGGCGGATCACTTGAGATCCCAAGTTCAAGACCAGCCCGGCCAACATGATGAAACCCTGTCTCTACTAAAAATACAAAAAGTTAGCTGGGCATGGTGGTGAGTGCCTGTAATCCCAGTTACTTGGGAGGCTGAGGCAGGAGAATTGCTTGAACCCAGGAGGCAGAGGTTTCATTGAACCAAGATTGCACCACTGCACTCCAGCCTGGGCAACAGAACAAGACTTCATCTCAAAAAAAAATAAAAATGGCCAAAACTCCATTTATATTCATCTTCCTTTATCTTACAGCGCTACATTTATTTCATGATATAGCAAAATGTTCTTCATGTATATACATTTTTTTTTTTTTTTTTGAGATGGAGTCTCGCTCTGTCGCCCAGGGTGGAGTGCAGCGGCGCGATCTTGGCTCACTGCATGCTCCACCTCCCGGGTTCACGCCATGCTCCTGCCTCAGCCTCCTGAGTAGCTGGGACTACAGGCTCCCGCCACCACGTCCGGCTAATTTCTTTTTGTATTTTTAGTAGAGACGGGGTTTCACCGTGTTAGCCAGGATGGTCTCGATCTCCTGACCTTGTGATCTGCCCACCTCGGCCTCCCAAAGTGCTGGGATTACAGACGTGAGCCACTGCGCCCAGCCACATTTTTTTTTTTTTCCCTTGAAAATCGCTCTTTTGCCCAGGCTGGAGTGCAGTGGCACAATCTTGGCTCACTGCAACCACCGCCTCCCAGATTCAAGCGATTCTCCTGCCTCTCAGCCTCCCAAGTAGCTGGGACCACAGGTGTGTGCTACCACGCTCGGCTGATTTTTATATTTTTAGTAGAGACGGGGGTTCTCCAGGCTAGTCTCGAACTCCTGACCTCAGGTGATCCACCCGCTTGGCCTCCAAAAGTGCTGGGATTACAGGTGTGTGAGTTACCACACCCGGCCACCTTCATGTATATACATTTTTAAAAGTGCTTTCTTTGAAATGCTCAAATTTTCTTAAACTGCCTTTTTTTTTTTTACTGCACACTTTGATGACAAGCATTCAGATATGCGTCAGCATAAGCTTTAAAGATTTTCATGTGGCAGAAAACAAAGTTCCACTGACTAGTTTGTTACCAAAAGTTGTATTATAAATCTAATTTCAAGGCGGGTGCGGTGGCTCATGCCTGTAATTTCAGCACTTTGGGAGGCCGAGTTGGGTGGATCACGAGGTCAAGAGATCAAGACCATCCTGGCCAACATGGTGAAACCCCGTCTCTACTAAAAATACAAAAATTAGCCAGGTGTGGTGGTGCACGCCTATAGACCCAGCTACTTGGGAGGCTGAGGCAGGAGAATTGCTTGAACCTGGGAGGCGGAGGTTGCAGTGAGCCGAGATCTTGCCGCTGCACTCCATCCTGATGACAGAGTGAGACTTGGTCTCAAAAAAAAAAAAAAAAAAAATTAGCCGGGTGTGGTGCACACCCCTGGAATCCCAGCTACTCAGGAGGCTGAGGCAAGAGAATCACTTGAAGCTGGGAGGCGGAGGTTGCAGTGAGTCAAGATCGCACCACTGCACTCCAGCCTGGGCAACAGAGTGAGACTCGGTCTCAAAAAAACAAAACTAAACTGAACTAATTCCAACTTATAATAATGGGAAGAAGGAAAGAAGAAAATGGTTAGAATATACAAACAAATACCAAATATAACAAAGAGAAAGTTCATCCTCATTTCTGTGATTAGTAATGAGGCCACAGTTGATATCTAGGCTTCTTTCTTCAGTTACCTATTTCATGTTTCCCTTGCCTTCAGCACGAACCTCAGCTGGTTGAGGTTCTTTACCTGGTGAAATGACTCAAACATTTATTCCCTCATTAGTCCAGTCCTTTTTTGGTTGCTGTAGTTTTCCATTAATCTTTATTTTTGGCATGGAAGTATTAAGAGGTGCCTTAGATAATCCCTTGGGTTTCAGACATAGTCCTCCTTGCTTTCACTGTGTAGCAGCAACCGTTTCCCCTTGACAATTGGGCTCAATCTTTCCCAACCAGTAGGTTCAGCCTGTTGGTTCAGTGGTGTAAGGAGTCCCAAGTAGCCAAGTGGCAGTCTCATCTTCTAATGCAATTGAACCATTGTTGTGTATGCTAGTAGATATATTTCCTGCTTAGGGACTAGCACTTCCAAGCCAGCAGAACTCAGTTGTTAGGAGTGAAAGCAAAAATTCAGTGATTGCTAGATATAATAGTGAGTGGAGCCGCACATACTTCTACCCTTTGATTCCCAGACCTGTATATTCTGATTGAGGGAGGAGACAGCACCATGTAAGGTGTCTCTGATTGAAATCATTACCCCATCCTTTCAGGGTGTTGTCTCCCTGAAACTGTAACTTAGTCTTCAGTAATCAATTCCCTATTTTAATTAGGCCAACCATTCTGTGTGATAGGATGTGACAACACCAGTTAAGTCCATGGACATGAGCCCATTTCTGCATTTCTTTACTATGAAATGACTTTCTTGGTCAGGAGCAATGCTGTGTGGGCTTGGCATGGTGGCATATGCCTGTAACCCCAGCATTTTGGGAGGCCAAGGCAGGAGGATCACTTGAGCCAAGGAGTTTGAGACCAGCCTGGGTAACATAGTGAGACCTTGTCTCTATTTTAAAAATACATCTTTTTTTTTGGCCAAGCATGGTGGCTCACACCTGTAATCCCAGCACTTTGGGAGGCTGAGGCGGGCAGATTGCCTGAGGTTAGGAGTTCGAGACCAGCCTGGCTAACATGGTGAAACCCCATCTCTACTAAAAATTCAAAAAAAATTAGCCGGGCATGGTGGCACATGCCTGTAGTCCCAGCTACTTGGGAGGCTGAGGCGGGAGAATCACTTGAACCCAGAAGGCAGAGGTTTCAGTGAGACAAGATCGTGCCACTGCACTCCAGACTGGGCGACAGAGGGAGACCTCATCTCAAAAAAAGAAGCAGCCGCAACACTGTGTGGAATGTCATGGTGGTAGATTGGGCACTTATATATAAGTTCATGGGTGGTGGAACTGCCAAAAACATTATAGGCAGAGAAGGCAAATCTGTATCCAGAATACATGTCTATTCTAGTGAGGACAAATCTCTTCCCTCACCCCTGCCCTTATTCCCCATAATAGAAGTCCAGCGTAATCAACTTGCCACCAGGTGGTTAGCTAGTTTTTGGGAAATGGTGCATATTCAGGGCTCAGAGTTAGTCTGTGCCATTAACAGATTAGACATTTAGCAGTAGCTTTAGTCAGGTCAGCCCTGTTTAGGGGAAGATCATGTTGTTGAGTCCATGCACAGCCTTCATGATGATTTTTTCCATGGGTTTTATTGAGCAAGCACTCTTGTAGCTATGGAAAGTGTCTAACATTTATATTCATGAAGTACGTCATTTTGTCAACTTGCTTATTAAGAGCCTCCTCTACAGTGAATGCAAATGATTATTCACATGGGACACAAATATCTTCACAGTCTGTGCCTGTTCTGAGAGTTTCATCTGCATATCTTTCCCCCAGATTTCCTTGTCACCATTTCCTTCCAAGTTCCTAACTAGCCAACAAAATCCTTAATAATTGTTCATAAATGAGTATAAATCTCTGCTTCTGGCCATGTCTTACCTCAGGCAAAAGGGAAAACCAAATGTACCCCTCAACGTTCTGCCCTCTGAAGGAAAGATTTTTCTTCATCACTGCCCTTCAGTCCTACCTCTTTAAATGGGGCTGTAGTGCTGCAGCTCCCCACTTTTGGGTGATACTGGCATGTTGTGCAGAGCTATGTGTAAACCAGACTTGAGTTTTTTCTTTCCCCAGTCAGCTGGTCATATGGAGCTCTCAGGAGGCCATTGACTTGGATTGAGGGAGAGGAAGCAATGCAACAGAACTCAATGCTGAAGTCTGAGCTACCTCCTATGTAACTTACTCATATTTCTGGACCTGCTTGAATTTTTTTTTTTACGTGTTTTTCACTTGATGATAGATCGTGCTGCACATGCCAAGCTAGACTACATAGGTTGGATAACATCTAGTTCCTGATGAGAAGCTCAGGACACGTGGTTGCATTATGTCCCATGGTTAGGCATTTGGTCTCTGCCAAGACCCAATAGCAAGCCTGAAACTATTTTTTGAAAGGTGAATAATTTTCTGCAAAAGAGGGCATAGATTTTCTCAAAATTCTAGAAGTCTGGGCAGTGATTCTCTTATTCTTGCTTGCTAAAGGCTCCATTCAGCATCCCTATTTGCCATGGACACTTCAAGTATCATTGGATCTGCCAGATCATAAGGCCCAAATGGCAGAGCAGCTTGAACCACAGCTTGAACTTGCTATAGAATCTTTTCTTGCTCTGAAACCCACTCTAAACTGTCAACCTTGTAGGTAACTTTGTAGCTGGGTTGAAGCCTACCAAACATTGTACCCTCTTTTTCATTGTTGGTGATGTTAATTAGAGCAACTTAATCACCTTGGAAGGGAAATTTTGACATGTTTTGAGCAATTGAATCCTGACATTTCATTGCTGCAGTGGGTCTCTGAATTTTTGTAGGGTTTATCTCGCATCAACTACTTTGTATATGTCTTACTAAAGCATCTAACGTATTTGCTACTTGCTATTTATCAGACCCAATTAGCATAATGTCAGTATAGTTGACTAGTGTGTGTGTGTGTGTGTGTGTGTGTGTGTGTGTGTGTGTGTGTGTACGTGCTTATTTATTTATTTTTTTGGAATGTCACGCGATCAAGATCTCTGTGGGCTACATTATGGTAGGAGAATGGCATAGCCCTGAGGCTAGATTCATAGGCACGTAAAAGGCAGGTAAAAGCAATGTGCTTCTGGTGGTTCTTGCAGATTTGTATGAAGAAAAAGGCATTATTCAGGTTAATAGCAGTATACCAAGTGCCGTGACCCATGTTGATTTGCTCCAGTAAAGATGCTATATCTGGGGCATCAGCTGCAATTGGAATCATCACCAGATTAAGTTTATGATAGTCCACGAGTTTATGATAGTCACTAAGATCCATCTGACTTCTGCACAGGACAAACTGGCGAGTTAAATCAAGATATAATAGGTATCACTACCCTGTTTCTTTCAAGTCTTTTGATGGTGACATTAAGCTCTTTAATTCTTGAGATGTGGTATTGCTTCTGGCTTAATATCTTAGTAGGGAGGGTAAGTTCTAGGGGCTTCCATTTAGCCCTTACTATTAAAATGACTCTTATCAGTTGGGTCAGAAAGCCAATATGGGAGCTCTGCCAATAGTCAAGTATGTCTGTTCCAAGTATTTATTCAGGAACTGAGGAGATAACAACAAAGTAGGCCCATTGTACTATGGGGTCCACTGTGAGGTGGACTTGAGCTAAGCATTTCATCTATTACCTGACCACTGTCAGCACTCACTTTGACTGATAGGCCACAGTAGCATTTTGAGTCCCCAGGAATTAGTAATCCCTGAAAGGTCTGGGTATTTCCTTTTCTCTAATCCGTAGTCACTCTAGTAAATGGCCTTTGGGGAAGCTTGGATGAGGATTTACAGTATGTACTTGTACTTGTGGGAACACTACAGGTTTTTCCTCAGGGGACCTGGGCTTGTTAATTGACTTGGGTCTAGAAATTAGATGAGAGGTCAAAACTTTTCTAGTCAGGTTTTTACTACCAGAGCTGGAGTTTTTTTCAGTTGTACAGATGAATCTGTTTTGGTAGGCTGCTTGTGGAATACTGTGTGATCAATTACTGCCAAAGATCCTGGTGGGCCAAGGTGTTCTGATTACCAGTACAACTTTACTGTATTTATAGTAGATTTCCCACCTTGTCTTTGGTGATTACATGCTGCTACTTGGCCTCTGTTATTTTAGGATCCCGTTACCCCTTTAAATCAGGGAACCCACTTAGTGGTGGCATTTCCCATGGCCATACCTAGGGGTTGTGACAGAGACCTTAGGGACTGTAAAACCTAAAATGTTTATCTGTGGCCCTTTATAAATAAAGTTTGCCAACCCATGTCTAGGGGAACAGGGACACACTGCAAAGGGGAGCAACCACAGAGCTTTTCAAGGATGAAGGTGATCCCCTCACTAATGCATTTCTTTTTTTGTTGTTGTTTGTTTTTTTTTTTGTTTTTTTGAGACAGAGTCTCACTCTGTCACCCAGGCTGGAGTACAGTGGCACGATCTTGGCTAACTGCAACCTCTGCCTCCTGGGTTCAAGCAATTCTCATGCCTCAGCCTCCCAAGTAGCTGGGATTACAGTTGTGCACCACCACACCTGGCTAATTTTTGTATTTTTAGTACAGTCGGGGTTTCACCATGTTGGCCAGGCTGGTCTTGAACTCCTGGCCTCAAGTGATCCACCTGGCTCGGCCTCCCAAAGTACTGGGATTACAGGTGTGAACCACCATGCCCACCTCACTAATGGATTTCTCAATGCCTGAGTGAAAGGATTATCTTCCGAGCTTTTTTTTGCAACATAGGTTACACATGAAAAATCCATTCCAACATTTCTATCTCCCTAAGTTTTTGAATTGCCTCTTCTACATCTTGCTAGGGAAACTTTGGCATCTCCACCTCATTAAACATAGTGGACTCTTTTTTAAAGAAAGTTTTATTTATTTATTTAGAGACAGGCTCTCACTCGGTCACTCAGGCTGGAGTGCAGTGGCGTGATCATAGCTCACTGTAATTTCGAACTCCTAGGCTCAAGTAGTCCTCCTTCCTCAGCCTCCTGAGTAGCTGGGATTACAGGCATGTGACACTGTGCCTGGTTAATTTTTTATTTTTTGTGGAGATGGGGTCTCTGTGTGTTGCTCATTCTAGGCTTGAACTCCTGGGCTCAAGCCTCCTACCTTGGCCCCCCTGCTGAGATTACAGGTGTGAACTGCACCCAGTCCTTTTGTTGTTGTTTTGTGTTTTTTTTTGTAAGTTTTTAAAGTCCTGTTTATTGAAGCATGAATTTACATTCAGTAAAGTTCACCCTAAGATTTGACAAATGCATAGTCATACCATACTCAAGATGCAGAACCATTGTAAAATCACTCTATCAATTCCCTCCTGCCCCTTTGCAATCAACCCCTTTTTGATCCCAAGGAACTAATTGACCTGTTTTTCTGTCAAAAGTGTCAAATTTAATCACTAAAATGACCTACAGTACCATGGAAAAATATGTAAGCATATAAAATACACAAACCAATTTTTTTTTTGTATTTTATTTATTTTTTGAGATGGAGTCTTGCTCTGTCACTCAGGCTAGAGTGTAATGGTGCGATCTCGGCTCACTACAACCTCTGCCTCCAAAGTTCAAGCAATTTTTCTGCCTCAGCCTCCCGAGTAGTTGGGACTACAGGCTCATGCCACCACACCCGACCAATTTTTGTATTTTTTAGTAGAGACAGAGTTTCACCATATTGGCCAGGCTGGTCTCGAACTCCTGATCTCGCGATCTGACCAATTTTTTATTTTTATTTTTATTTTTATTTTTTTTTTAATTTATTTATTTATTTTTTCCATTTAACCCTGAGTGGACACAGCACATGTTTCAGAGAGCACAGGGTTGGGGGTAAGGTCATAGATCAACAGGATCCCAAGGCAGAAGAATTTTTCTTAGTACAGAACAAAATGAAGTCTCCCATGTCTACTTCTTTCTACACAGACACAGCAACCATCCGATTTCTCAATCTTTTCCCCACCTTTCCCCCTTTTCTATTCCACAAAACCGCCATTGTCATCATGGCCCGTTCTCAATGAGCTGTTGGGTACACCTCCCAGACTGGGTGGTGGCCGGGCAGAGGGGCTCCTCACTTCCCAGTAGGGGCGGCCGGGCAGAGGCGCCCCTCACCTCCCTCCCGGATGGGGCGGCTGGCCGGGCGGGGGGGCTGACCCCCCCACCTCCCTCCCGGACGGGGCGGCTGCCGGGTGGAGATGCTCCTCACTTCCCAGACGGGGTGGCTGCTGGGCGGAGGGGCTCCTCACTTCCCAGACGGGGTGGCTGCCGGGCGGAGGGGCTCCTCACTTCTCAGACGGGGCAGCTGCCGGGCGGAGGGTCTCCTCACTTCTCAGACGGGGCGGCCGGGCAGAGACGCTCCTCACCTCCCAGACGGGGTCGCGGCCGGGCAGAGGCGCTCCTCACATCCCAGACGGGGTGGCGGGGCAGAGGCGCTCCCCACATCTCAGACAGTGGGCGGCCGGGCAGAGACGCTCCACACTTCCTAGTTGGGATGGCGGCCGGGAAGAGGCGCTCCTCACTTCCTAGATGGGATGGCGGGCGGGCAGAGACGCTCCTCACTTTCCAGACTGGGCAGCCAGGCAGAGGGGCTCCTCACATCCCAGACGATGGGCGGCCAGGCAGAGACGCTCCTCACTTCCCAGACGGGGTGGCTGCCGGGCAGAGGCTGCAATCTCGGCACTTTGGGAGGCCAAGGCAGGTGGCTGGGAGGTGGAGGTTGTAGCGAGCCGAGATCACGCCACTGCACTCCAGCCTGGGCAACATTGAGCACTGAGTGAACGAGACTCCGTCTGCAATCCCGGCACCTCGGGAGGCCAAGGCTGGCGGATCACTCGCGGTTAGGAGCTGGAGACCAGCCCGGCCAACACAGCGAAACCCTGTCTCCACCAAAAAAATACGAAAACCAGTCAGGCGTGGCGGCGCGCGTCTGCAATCGCAGGCACTAGGCAGGCTGAGACAGGAGAATCAGGCAGGGAGGTTGCAGTGAGCCGAGATGGCAGCAGTACAGCCCAGCTTCGGCTCGGCATCAGAGGGAGACCGTGGAAAGAGAGGGAGAGGGAGACCGTGGGGAGAGGGAGAGGAGGGAGAGGAGGGAGAGGGAGAGGGTCTGACCAATTTTTTAAAAAGTGAGATACTTTAAAAAGTTTCTTCAGCATACCAACAAAAAAATGAAGGTAGCATTGCATTTTACTACAGATGTGCAGATATTCATTAAAGTTCACCATTGTCATATATATGGCTCAACAGTAGTATTTAAGAATATGCTGTAAAACAACAATCTTTAGAGTCAAAAGAATGTAATTTTAAAACCTTTATAAATTAAAGCAGTTTATAAAGTTGTCTTAATTGTAAAATAGCTAATCTAGTTACAATTAATGTGTTCCAAAACTGACCTACTTGAAAAACTAGTCTTATATATTTGTTGAGTATGTGAACCATGATTAGGTCTTGCTATTTGGTATTAACACTGTCAAGTTACAGACCACAGCTGGTTCATAGAAAAGCTACTTTAAATAATGGAATTGAATTCCGTAGAAATTTTCTACAAGACCAACTCAGCTATGGGGAGAAACACGAAACTGTCAGGTGAATATTCCTACAGATGATTGGGGCCACCTCAGAATTCACCCCTGCTACCCCTATGAAAGGGACCAAAAAAACAAAAAAAGCAACCTCTATTCTGTAGTTACTAAAGGTTACATATTCAAATATATCTCATCTACTTGAAAAGCTTCACTGATTCTTTCAAGCGCCAGACCTTAAATTCATCAGCATCTTGAAACTCCACCAAGCCCAGTCATGTGCCACAGCTGAAATTTGTTTTTGGTTTTTTTTTTTAAACATAATTTACTCGAGTCTAAAATTTCAGTCAACCAATGAGGTGAACTGTTAGAGCCACCTCCAGCTATATGATCTACTCCTACACATGTTCTGAAGGTTTTTGCCAGTATATTATTGCCACGATCTTGCATGTCCTGGATTACTAGCATCCCCTTTCCCATTGGCAAGGTGCTTAGCACTGCACTTAAACCCAAGAGTGCCACCAAACCAATTTCTAAATCCCATGTTTTTAAGTCCGTCCTCTGAGATCACCCTACTTTTTGTACCAGTTCTGGATCAGGGTTCAGTCTGGAAACAGAAATATTGCAATTTGAACAAGGGAAAGTTAACATAAAGAATTATTAACTAGTAATAGATTAACCATTAAAGGGTAAAGAGAACTCTGAAAGATGTAGGTGTATCAGCTATAGGAGCAGCTACTCCCTCTGTGCCTGAGGCAGAGTATGAAAGAAAGAGACAGATTGGAGAGAGAGCCTACCCAAGGCGGAGATTCAGACCTTTTGAGGAGGTAAAGCTGTAGTCTGTTGCAGTTTTAAGTTCCTGAGGATGGCACCAGCCGAGGGTTAAAAGCAAGAGTATTGTTTGCTGGAGTGCCAACAAAACTGTCTAGGAAGCTGCTCTGGGTGGTGCTGTCGAAAATCACTGGGAAGTTAGCTGGGGTGACTGGAACTCACCTGAAGCCACTCATTGTGGTATCCCTAAAACTGGTGGGTGAGCACCGCTGGGTGTCCCACGCATCACATGAGGCCACGGGAGAAAGAAGAGGAAAACACAGTGGAACCAGGAGGAAATCCTCTTCCTCCTGTAGTATTCCTCCAGTGCTTGCTATTGGCATAAGAAAAACATTTGAAGAGTCCAGCTTCATTATTGCAAAGCAGAGCAGTAAAGTATAGATTTGGAACTGAAAGGCAATAAATTGATAACTAATATATCATACCTCTTAACCTATGCCTAGAATGGAATACAATTTCCAGATGTAGTTTAGCCAGCATAAGTAGAGCAGGATACCTACCCCACTCCGCATCATTCCTGGTACTATGTTGTTGATGTTGCTTGCCAAGAATGTAAGCTCTCTATGGGTGGTGATTCTTTTTTTTTTTTTTTTTTTTTTTTGGGACGCAGTCTTGCTCTGTTGCCCAGGTTGGAGTGCAGTGGGACAATCTCGGCTCACTGCAACCCCCGCCTCCTGGGTTCAAGCAATTCTCCTGTCTCAGCCTTCTGAGTAGCTGGGACTACAGATGCACACCACCACACTGGGCTAGTTTTTGTATTCTTAGTAGAGACGGGGTTTCACCATGTTGGCCAGGCTGGTGTTGAACTCCTGACCTCAGGTGATCTGCCCGCCTCAGGCTCCCAAAGTGCTGGGATTACAGGCGTGAGCCACCGTGCCCAGCTGGGTGGTGATTTTTTATTGCTTTATCCCTAGAACCTAAATGGAACCTGGCACGTAGTATATGTACTTAAGGGATAGTTGAATGAATAAGTGATTACAGCTCAAGATAGCGTTAAATTGTTGTCTTTTTTATGTTAGATTCATCCAAATTAGTGAAAGAAAAACTGCAGTTTGACCTAGTCAACCAACTGAAATGGATTAATGTAGAATTCTGAGTGGCTGAGTTAAAGGACACCTTATTTGATTTGGTTTAAGAAAATTGATCGGCCGGGCGCAGTGGCTCACGCCTATAATCTCAGCACTTTGGGAGGCCAAGGCAGGTGGATAATGAGGTCAGGAGTTCAAGACCAGCCTGGCCAACATGGTGAAACCCTGTCTCTACTAAAAATACAAAAAAATTAGTTGGGTATGGTGGCGGGCACCTGTAATCCCAGGTACTAGGGAGGCTGAGGCAGAGAACTGATTGAACCTGGGAGGCGGGGGTTGCAGTGAGCCGAGATTGCGCCACTGCACTCCAGCCTGGGCAACAGAGCGAGACTCTGTCTCAAAAAAAAGAAAATTGATCACCTGCCAGAGCATGGATTGACCCCTCTTCTGATGACTTGGTATGTGTTTGTACACACTGTTAACACCCCTTTCTATAGAATAGGTCACAATTATGGGTTGGGCGTGGTGACTCAACGCTTGTAATCCCAAGACTTTGGGAGGCTGAGGCAGAAAGATTGCTTGAGCCCAGGAGTTCGAGACCAGCCTGGGCAACATAGTGAGACCTGTCTCTACAAAAATTAGCCTGGCATGGTGGCACATGCCCACAGTCCCAGCTACTCCATATGTTGAGGCAGGAGGATCGCTTGAGCCCAGGAGGTTGAGACTGCAGTGAATTATGATCACAACACTGCACTCCATCCTGGGCAACAGAGCTGAGACCCTACCTATCTCAAGAAAAAAAAAAAAAAAAAAGAATAGGTCAACCAGCCTTCCCAACATGGCGAAATCCCATCTCTACTAAAAATACAAAAAATTAGCCGGGCGTGGTGGCGGGCACCTGTAGTCCCAGCTACTTGGGAGCCTGAGTCAGGAGAATCGCTTGAACCCAGGAGGCAGAGGTTGCAGTGAGCCAAGATTGTGCCACTGCACTCCAGCCTGGGCAACAAGAGTGAAACTCCATGACAAAAAAAAAAAGAAAGAATAGGTCATGGTTATGACCAGTGGGTACAAAAGACATAGACTTGTGTATTTATTGCATGTTTCAAGGTAGAAAGCAAATTGCTGCATCAAGTATTGTTGTCATAGCCTTTAATTACCTATTAGTAATGCAAAGAAGCAGAGATTTTTGTTTTCTTTTCTTTTTTTCTTTTTTCTTTTCTTTTTTTTTTTTTTTGAGACTCTCTCTGTCGCCCAGGCTGGAGTGCAGTGGTGCGATCTTGGCTCACTGCAACCTCTGCCTCCCGGGTTCAAGCAATTCTCTTGCCTCAGCCTCCCGAGTAACTGGGACTACAGGCGCCCACCACCACGCCTGGCTAACTTTTTTGTATTTTAGTAGAAATGCAGTTTCATTGTGCCCAGGCTGGTCTCGAACTCGTGAGCTCAGGCAGTTTGCCCTCCTCGGCCTCCCAAAGTGGTGGGATTACAGGCATGAGCCACCACACCCGGCTTGAGATTTCTCTCTTCTAGGAGAGTTCTGGCAGATGATTTGGCCTTTCCTCCCTTGTTGTACACTAAGAGGAAATGAGGCAGAGTAGGAAAGAAAGGTACCCAAGGTTGAGTGTTGAATGAGAGGACCAGGGATTAAAATCAAAATCCCTACCTGGCTGAATGTGGCTCTGCTGCCTTGGGGTAGGAGATTGGGCCACAAGTCCAGCTGGGTGCCAGGAGGAGGAAGGGGTAAAAAGGGAGTGGAAAACCCCTCCAAGGACCCACTGACCCTGCTGGCAGACTTCTTATTCAAGTGTGAAGAAATCTGTCAGAATCTGAGGGAACCAAAGACAAGAAAAAAGTACAATGTTTGGACATAAATTTCCTTAATTCTTGTAATGTTTTAGGATTCTAATAATCTTCTATAAGGAGGATATTAAATATCCTTAAATAATTTGCTGTACTTGGGAAAGTGGTTTTTCTTCTTCAGTTTAGAGCTAGAATCTCAGTTACCTATAGTTGCCTGGAGTCAATTGGTAGAATGGGTTTGAAGCCATTGAAAATTGAGCGTGGATATGAATACAGTTTAATGTTTACATGTGATTTCTGCCACAGTTGATTTTGATTATGGCTACTTGTAAATCATTTTTCTGGCTTTAAACCAAAAACTTTTAAATTTCTGGCATAATTTAAATACTTTCATAAATATAACCTGCTTAACCTGTTTAACAGAATGTGAAAATAGAAATAGGGTTCATTATAAGTTATTGACATTTAAAGGGAATTCCTGTTTTGTATATCACATCATAGATATATGATAGCCCTGGTTTATTATGTCTATTATCCTGACATAATTGTTAATAGTTGCTTCTTTTTTTTTTTTTTTTTTTTTTTTTGAGACGGAGTTTCACCTTTGTCACCCAGACAGGAGTGCAATGGCACAATCTTGGCTCACTGCAACCTCTGCCTCCTGGGTTCAAGCGATTCTCCTGTCTCAGCCTCATGAGTAGCTGGGATTATAGGTTTGTGCCACAACACCCGGCTAATTTTTGTATTTTTAGTAGAGATGGGGTTTCACCATGTTGGCCAGGCTGGTCTTGAACTCCTGACCTCAGGTGATCTGCCCACCTCAGCCTCCCAAAATGCTGGGATTACAGGCGTGAGCCATCATGCCCAGCCAATAGTTGTTTATTTTACTCTTGTTTTGGCCTACTCTGACCAGGCAAATTTATTTCTTAGAATGTGTTGATTTAGTTTAGTATAAATTAAACTAAATTAGTGTAATAGTCCTGAGCATTTAAGTTATGGGGCCGGGTGTGGTGGCTCACACCTGTAATCCCAGCACTTTGGGAGGCAGAGGTGGGCAGATGACAAGGTCAGTAGATCGAGACCATCCTGGCTAACATGGTGAAACCCCATCTCTACTAAAACTACAAAAAAAAAAAAAAATTAGCCAAGCATGGTGGCGGGCGCCTGTAGTCCCAGCTACTCAGGAGGCTGAGGCAGGAGAATGGCATGAACCTGGGAGGCAGAGCTTGCAGTGAGCCGAAATTGTGCCACTGCACTCCAGCCTGGGCGACAGAGCAAGACTCCATCTCAAAAAAAATAAAATAAAATAAAACCAGTCTTGGCAACACGGCGAAGCCCTGTCTCTACAGAAAAATACAAAAAATTAGCTGGGTGTGGTGATGTGTGCCTGTAGTCCCAGATACTTGGGAGACTGAGGTCACTTGAGCCCAGGAGGTTGAGGCTGCAGTGAGCCAAGATCGCTCCACTGCACTCCAGCCTGGGTGACAGAGTGAGACCCTGCCTCCAAAAAAATAAAAAATATTAAATTATAATATTTTAATATTCAGCAAAAAAAGTAAATAAAATTCAGTAGAACAAAGGTGTTGCAAAAAGAAGAATCTTAATTTGTAGATTGCATCTTTTAAGAAAAACTCATAAGAATACCAGCCAGTATTTTTATCTCCAGATGAATTTTTTCCCCTCCAAATTACAATCATTTCTCCATTCAACATCCTTTATTAGGCACCACCTAGGTATCAGGCCAGATACATGGTGCTGGGAATAGTGAAGAGAAAGACACAGTCCTTGTTCTCAAAGGACTAAACAGAGAATGGAGGAACCGTATCTTGTATTCAGATGTTTAAATGTATGCATAGGTTGCTTATGCATACATTATGAGAACCTATGCTACATGTTTTAAATGTATGCATAGGTTCTCATGACATACATTTATGAGATCTCAGCTCACTGCAACCTCTGCTTCCTGGATTCAAGCAATTCTCCTGTCTCAGCCTCCCGAGTAGCTGGGACTGCAGTCGCATGCCACCATGCCTGGCTAATTTTTGTATTTTTAGTAGAGAGGGGTTTCACCCTGTGGGTCAGGCTGGTCTCGAACTCCTGACCTCAGGTGATTCACCCGCCTCAGCCTCCCAAAGTGCTAGGATTACAGGTGTGAGCCACCGCGCCTGGCCAGCAATCTGATTTCATCTGTTCCCAATCACTCCCTCCATTTAACCCTAGGTGTTTTTTGGAAGCAAACCCCAGATCATTTGATCTTTATATTAGCATGTATCTCAAAAAAAAAAAAAAAAAGGTTCCTTTTTAGAGCATAATTGCAATACCATTAACAAACACACACCGGTTCCCTAGTACCAAATATCCAGTCAGTATTCAATTCACCAGTTATCTCATAATTAAAAAAAAAAAACTAGCTCGTTAGAATTAGAATCTAAATTTATTTTAATCCATAGATTCTTCTATAGGGGATATATATATAAACAGTTTGGATTTTACTTGTGTTTTAAAGATGCCAGAGATTTAACTGTGCTCATAGCCAGAGGGGGAGAAATGAGGAGAGAAGGAATGAAAAATTAAGTCTAGAAGGTTGGAGGACTGGGTGGCAAGAAGGTGATAAAGGGCATATTTGCTGTCCTTGGAAAGGAGAATCACGTGTATTTTGCATATTCTCTGGTTTAGCATTTTCCCCAAATTAAAAAGAAATAAAAATGGGGGATTATATTTTTCTCATAAATAGGAAGGAAAGAAGTAATGATGGACTCTGATGTAGATAAATTTATGGTAGAGGAAACAGCAGTCATATAATATCATTTTCTATAAAGTAAAATACTATATTTTGGATGGAGTGAGCTGGAAAAGAAAGTATGTATAACAGACTGTGGAGAATGAGAAAGGAAGTTGCATGGGGACACATTTTGTTTTTGTTTTTGTTTTTGAGACAGAGTTTTGCTCTCTCGCCCAGGCTGGAGTGCAGTGACGTGATCTTGGCTCACTGCAACCTCCGCCTCCCAGGTTCAAGCCATTCTTCTGCCTCAGCCTCCTGATTAGCTGGGATTACAGGCGTGTGCCACCACACCCAGCTAATTTTTGTATTTTTAGTAGAGACAGGGTTTCACCATGTTGATCAGGCTGTTCTTGATCTCCTGACCTTGTGATCCACCTGCCTCAGCCTCCCAAAGTGCTGAGATTACAGGCGTGAGCCACCACGCCTTGCCAGGGACACATGTTTTTATAGGAAGTTGTGTAGAGAGGTGTGTTTATAGGAACAAGTACATTCAGTATGATAATAAATCAAGTGTTGTAGGAGGTAGAATACTGAAACTATTCAGTATTCTGAGTTGACAGCTCAGCTACTGCCAACTTAGCCTGTATTGTGGTCTCAGGGTAGCATCCTTCACCTGTGGCCACTCTGAGACACATCCAGCAGAATTTCTGGTTGAAGCAAAACAAGTGTGCTATGTGATCTTAAAGTTATCTCCTTCCTGCTGGAGATTTCCTTCAAATGCCTTGGTGTTTTCAAATATTGCTAGAGGGCTAAACTCAGAGTCTTCCAACCATTGTAGGGATGTCAAATATCATTAATTTATTTTTGTTTTTTTAATTGAGATGGGTTTGAAGCCTTTTTTGGGGAGAGTGGGGGAAAGAGTCCTGTTTTGTCACCTAGGCTGGAATGCAGTACGGGATCTGGGCTCACTGCACCCTCTGCCTCCCGAGTTCAAGCAATTCTTCTGCCTCAGTCTCAGTGGCTGTGATTACAGACATGCACCATCACGCCTGGCTAATTTTTGTATTTTTAGTAGAGATGGGGTTTCACCACATGGGTCAGACTGGTCTTGAACTCTTGACCTCATGTCATCTGTGGGCCTCAGCCTCCCAAAGTGCTGGGATTACAGGCATGAGCCACCGCATCTGGCCTAAAATATTATTTTAAATCAAGAAAGGTTAGTGGGCTTTTTGCTAGTTTAATACAGTGGAGAAGGACGCTAATATAGTTGGATATGAACATTTGGATCTATTTAATTATAAAAAATGGAGTCGGCTGAAAATCTGAGAAAGGAGTAGGCTTTCTCCTGTCACTTTTTTTATTGAAATACTTTTATTTTTATTTTGAAAGTTTTTTTTCTTTTGTGTTTTTGGAGACAGGGTCTTGGTCTGTTGCCCAGGAATACAGTGGTTCTATCATAGCTCACTGCAATCTTGAAATCCTGGCTCAAGCAATCCTCCCACCTCAGCCTCCAAAGTAACTGGGACGACAGGTGTGCACTACCGTGCCTGGCTAATTTTTTAAATTTTTTTTGTAGAGGTTGGGGTCTTGCTACATTGCCCAAGCTGGTCTCCAATGCCTGGGCTCAGGCGATCCTCCTGCCTCCACCTCCCAAATTGCGATGATTACAGGTGTGAGCCGCCATGCCCAGCTTATTTTGAAATAATTTCAAATTTATAGAAAAGTTGAAAGAACTTTATACATTTTTCCAGATTCAACAATCAATACGATTTTACCACAACTATTTTAGCATTCTGTAAGATATGTATGTATATGAATATACACGTATTTTCCTTGTCACCTTTGTTTGATCTAATAATCTAAGATGTTCTCACATGTGTTACTTACAATGTCAACAGTAACTGGTATCCCTGTGTGCATGAAAAAAGCAAAAAACAAAAAACAAAAACAGTGGTGATTGTCAGGGCACAGTGGCATGTACCTGTAGTCCCTGCTACATGGGAAGCTGATGTGGGAGAATCACTTGGGGCCAGGAGCTCAGTCAAGGCTGCAGTGAGCTATAATTATGCCTGTGAATAGCTACTGCACTCCAGCCTAGGCAACAAAGTGAGACCCCATCTCTAAAAATAAATAGAAAAAAAAGTTTTTAATTTAAAAAAAACTGTCAGTAGTAAATGAAAATACCACATTCAGACATTTTCCCCTTTCTTTTCTGTGAAGCACCTTTGCCAGCATTAATTTTTCTTAATTTTTATTGTTATGCCATTTTAACGTCTTTATGATTAAGTTTAGCTCTTAATGAGATACTGTGTTGTGTATTTTTTCATTTCTCACATGGCTAAGCTTCTATCCCAAAAGCATAATGAAGCCTGAACTTTGTCTTGGATTTCTTGACTTTCTGCAGGGAATGGGGAGAGGGAAGAACGGGGCTGTAGGAGGCTAGAAGTGTGAGCTTGCACTGGAGTATATAGGGATTTGGACTAACAGACTTCTAAAACTGTAAAGGAGTTTAGAGACCAAATACTAGCACAGCCCTTAGTAAAGACCCCCAAAGAGCTTGTGTTTGTGAGGGTTATATCTATTTATCAAACTAAAACTGGAGAAACCTGAAAAATACTTATCTCATTTTAAAAAGTAATAATAAACAATATTTTTATTGAGAAGTATAGTTTCAAAAATGAAGGAGATTAGTAAGAACAGTGGTAGCGTTTTCGCCTTTTTTTTTTTTTTTTTGAGACGGAGTCTTGCCCTGTTGCCCAGGCTGGAGTGCAATGGCACGATCTCAGCTCATTGCAACCTCTGCCTCCCGGGTTCAAACAGTCCTCCTGCCTCAACCTCCTGAGTAGCTGGGATTACAGGCACACGCCACCATGCCCAGTTTTTTTTTTTTTTGTTTTTGTTTTTTTAGTAGAGACTGTGTTTTACTATGTTAGCCAGGCTGGTCTCGAACTCCTGACCTCTTGATCCGCCCACCTCGGCCTCCCAAAGTGCTGGGATTACAGGCGTGAGCCACCGAGCCCAGCCATGGTTTCGCTTTTAAAAATCTTTTTAATGTCTGTCTTAATAGAACACAGCTGTATTTTTATATCTGCCTCTGCATTCAGTCTGTCACAATATGTTGTTTGGGTTGCAGTATATGAAGAAAATCCATTTCACACAAATATGTAGTTAGGAGGAGGAATATTTTGACAGTTTTTTTTCCAGGTAACTATGGGTATTTGATTTGACATCAAAACTTCACAAATGGTAGTTTCTTTTCTTCTTCTTCTTCCTTTTTTTTTTTTTTTTTTTTTTTTTTTGGTAGAGATAGGGTCTCATTATGTTGCCCAGGCTGATCTCAAATTCCTGGGCTCTGGCCAGGCGCTGTAATCCCAGGACTTTGGGAGGCCGAGGTGGGTGGATCACCTGAGATCAGGAGTTTGAGACCAGCTTGGCCAGCATGGTAAAACCCCGTCTCTACTAAAAATACAAAAAATTAGCCAAGTGTGGTGGTGGCTGCCTGTAATCCCAGCTACCTGGGAGGCTGAGGCAGGAGAGTTGCTTGAACCCGGGAGGTAGAGGTTACAGTGAGCCGAGATTGCACCATTGCACTCCAGCCTGGGCAGCAAGAGCAAAACTCTGTCTCCAAAAATGAAAAAAATATTCCTGGTCTCAAGCAGTTCTCCCACCTCAGCCTCCCAAAGTGCTGTGGTTTACAGGGGTGAACTACTGCACCTAGCCAAGTGGTAGTTTCTTAAAGGTTGTTTGCAATGGGGAATCTGAAACCATATCAATGAACTTTTTGTACTGTTATTTAAAATCCATTAGTCTATCTTGCACTTGGAATGGATCATATGTGACAGAATTAGTCTAGTTTTGATATGTAGATATGCTACTTGTTTAATTAGTACTTTAAGTGTTTAGCCATATGCCTTTTCTGTTAAATGCCTTCAATTTCACAGAGATAGAAAACTGTCCCCTGTCCTTCCCCATTCTACTTTTATAGGAGAATCAAAGTCTCTAGGGATGGCCAGTGGTAGTGGTAAGTATTTTTTCTACTGCATTATGTAAATTGCTTCTTGTTTAGAATTTCATTTTCCATAGTTTTACTGAAATAGACTCTCTGAGTAGATTGCAAGTATGCTAAAAAATTTATTCTGAAGGCTGTTGTTTCTACAGGGGAGTTTGCCTGCTTCTGCTGTGTAGTTTTAAGAACAAAATCTAGGTCAGCAGTATTGAATAAAGATGTGGGAGTGAGCCTCTGGTCAAACATGCTCCTTAATAATAATGGTGGCGGGGGACTGGTGATTCTGAACTTTGCTGTTGAGATAGCTGCTCCAGGCTGTGCTGCACCCTGTGGAAGGGAATAACCAGCAAAATTCTGCATCTTAAAACCAGATTTGGGCCAGGTGTGGTGGCTCACACCTATAATTGCAGCATTTTGGGAGGCCAAGGCGGGTGGCTCACCTGAGGTCAGGAGTTTGAGACCAGCCTGACCAACATGGTGAAACCTCGTCTCCACTAAAAGTACAAAAATTAGCCAGGCATGGTGGTGCACATCTGTAATCCCAGCTACTCGAGAGGCTGAGGCAGGAGAATTGCTTGAACCTGGGAGGTTGCAGTGAGTGGAGATCATGCCACTGCACTCCAGCCTAGGCAACAGAGTGAGACTCCACCTCAAAAAAATTTTTAAAAAAATGAAAAAAACAACAACAACAAAAAACAGACTTTCATGCTCCTTCTCCAGGAGGGGTGAGGAAAATGTACCCATTTCTCTGATTAAAAACTTATTTTTTGATCAAGAGGTGGTTGTTTAAAAAAAAAAAAAAAACTATTTCTTTACAGTTTCTTACCATGAGTAAGAAATATAAGCAGAATCAGAGTTTTTAATGTCTATCTTAGAAATGATAGGCTATTGTTTAAATTATTTTGGAATTCCTTATGCTTTTTTAAAAAAAAACATTATGTCACCAACCTTATGCTCTTTATAATAAATGCAAATCACTTTCCAAGAAGTTTGGTGTATAATGTGAATTTAACTTACATCATTTAGCCCAAATAATGATCTTGTGATAATTTGATAGCAACTTATTTATTGAATACTATTCTGTCTCATGCAGTTAGCTAGGCATTGTGAGGAAATAAAAGTAGTAAAAGCACAGTATTTTCTTTTTAAACATTAATGAGTTCACTTACTAACATGTAAAATAATGAAAATTTTAATGATAAATAGAATACTTAAAGGCTTTTTAATTTTTTAAAAAAAGACTAACAGGAAAACATGTGCTTAAGGACTAAATTCTTTCCTAGTAACAGTGAATGGTAAAAGAGCTAAGTAGTGGAAAATGAGCATTAAAGTCATCAGAGAGGTTCTGTGGAAGCTATGAGGCCCAAGTGGTGGCTTTGGAATTGGATCAGGGAGGAGACATTTCAAGCAGGGGATCAGTGATCTCATGAGCAAAGGCACAGGGGCAGAGTGGAGCACAGGCTCTAGCAGGAGCCATGAGGGGACAGCATACTTACTGCATGACTTTCCTGTTGGAGTAGTAGGGAACAAGCCTGGGATGGGTTCATTTGATGGGTAAGGAAGGCTTTAGATTAGCATCTAACATTTGCCGTAATAATGTTTTGTGTTGTTGAAGCCCTAAACACATCGTCTTTATAAGCTTTGAAATAGATGGATAGGTGCACCTTCTCTAAATAGGATGTGACTTGAAGAATGTTTTTTACTTAACCATAATTTTAGAACTGAACAAGTATCCTTAGAGGTCATTACTGTGACTAAGAGAGATGAAAGGGCTGTCCCAAATTTACATGGTTAGCCTGTGGCAAAGCCAGGGTTAAGAACTCAAATATGGGCCTGGTATAGAGGCTCATGCATGTAATCCTAGCACTTTGGGAGGTCAAATCCGGAGGATTGCTTGAGCCCAGTTGTTCAACGCCAGCCTGGGCAATGTATGGAGACCCTGTCTCTACCCCCAAAATAATAACAATAATAAATTAGAAGGGCATAGTGGCACACATCTGTGTCCTTAGCTACTGGAGAAGCTGAGAGGGGAGGATTGCTTGAGCCCAGGAAGTTGAGGCCGCAGTGAGCTGTGATTGCGCCACTATACCTGGGAGACAGTCAGACCTTGTCTCAATTAACAATTCCCTTTTTTCTTTTTTTCCTTTGAGACAGAATCTCGCTCTGTCGCCCAGGCTGGGTGCAGTGGCACAGTCTCGGTTCACTGCAACCTCCACCTCCCAGGTTCAAACAATTCTCCTGTCTCAGCCTCCCGAGTAGGATTACAGGTGTGCGCCACCATGCGTGGCTAATTTTTGTATTTTTAGTAGAGACAGCGTTTCATCATGTTGGCCAGGCTGGTCTCTAACTCCTGACCTCAAGTGATCTGCCTGCCTCTGCCTTCCCAAAGTGCTGGGATTACAGGCATGAGCCACCACACCCAGCAGAGATCTTGTCTCAATAAAATAAAAGTAAGAACTCAAATATGTCTGCTGGTGCCCAGCTGTTCTCTCCCTCCTTTCCCTCTATAGATTTTTTAGAATATTTAATAATAATAATAAAAGAAGAAAAATGGCTGGGTGCAGTGGTTCATGCCTGTAATCCCAGCACTTTGGGAGACTGAGGCGGGCGGATCACCTGAGGTCAGGAGTTCGAGACCATCCTGGCCAACATGGTGAAACCTCGTCTCTACTAAAAATACAAAAATTAGCCGGGCATGGTGGCAGGCGCCTGTAATCCCAGCTACTCAGGAGGCTGAGGCAGGAGAATCGCTTGAACCCGGGAGGCAGAGGTTGCAGTGAGCTGAGATTGTGCTATCGCGCTCCAGCCTGGGGGACAAGAGTGAGACTTCGTCTCAAAAAAAAAAAAAAAAAAAAAAGAAGAAGAAAAAGGAAAAGCTGTTCTTGAAGGTAGCCAAAGGTTCTGAGATTGATTCCTACCTTCAACCTGAGAACATCAGAAACATCTTTCTCCTATAATTTTCTGATTAATTTCACTGCAGTAATCCAGAATGGGGTTGTTTTATTACATTTGTGTTTTGTGATTCAAGAACTAAGACAAATATATTAATCCTATGAAAAAACATATTGCTTTTAATATTTTTACTAATTTAAAAAGGCGTTTATCCAAGTTTCATCACCTTTTCTTCCCCTCTGCTCAGTGTATATGCCACTTGTGAACCTTCCCGAGGATGCTGTGGTTTGTTCTTTAATTCATCGTCATTTTTCTGGCTTAGACAAGTAATGAGTACTTTCATCTACTTAAATGACCAAGTATTTCATCTGTCTAATAACTGCTGAGTCTTATTTGTAAGTTATGTTTTACCAGATTTTTGAGAATTATAAAGATGAATGGATAAGTCAAAAGTCTCAGAATTAATTTTAAAATTAAAATGGGCTTCAGAAATTATGTAGCACAATTTTTTTTTTTAATTCTGGATGAGTAGTGTAGCTCTAACAGTCTTAAGGTCACACCCAAAGTTAAGTGGCAGAGTCAAGATTAGAACCTGGGTCTCCTGATTCTGTTTTCTTTCTTTTCTTTTTTTTTTTTTTTTTGAGACGGAGTTTCGCTCTTGTCACCCAAGCCGGAGTGCAGTGGCGCGATCTTGGCTCACTGCAACCTCCACCTCCCGGGTTCAAGCAGTTCTCTTGCCTCAGCCTCCCGAGTAGCTGGGATTACAGGAGCCCGCTACCATGCCTGGCTAATTTTATATTTTTAGTTGAGACGGGGTTTCTCCATGTTGGCCAGGCTGGTCTTGAACTCTTGACCTCAGGTGATCTGCCTACCTTGGCTTCCCAAAGTGTTGGGATTACAGGCGCCAGCCACCGTGCCTGGGCTCCTGATTCTGTTTTCTAGTTCTGTTTTCCTTCTTTAGCATATCTCTTTTTGGTTTAGATTGCTTTTCTGTCCTGTGAAGAAGCTTTGTTTTTAGAGATTTCCTCAATGTTACGTGTGCCATTATAAGAACTAGGCATTGTATATTTGTATATTTTGTTGCGTGCTTGTAGCTAGATTTTTTTTTTTTAACATATAAGGGTTTTAGAATAATACCTGATCCATAAGTCTCTCCTTTCTCCTCCCCCTTTTTTCTTTTCTTTTTTTTTAAGACAGAGTTTTGCTCTGTTGCCCAGGCTAGAGTACAGTGATGTGATCTCGGGTCACTGCAACCTCTGCCTCCCAGGTTCAAGCAATTCTGCCTCAGCCTCCCGAGTAGCTGGGATTACAGGTGCCTACCACCACACCCGGCTAATTTTTTGTTTTCTTAGTAGAGACGGGTTTTCACCACGTTGGTCGGGCTGGTGCCAAACTTCTGGCCTCAAGTGATCCACCACCTCAGCCTCTCAAAGTGCTAGGATTACAGGTGTGAGCCACCATGCCTGGCCTCTTTCTCTCCTTCTTCTCCTTCTTTGTCTCTCTCCCACCCTCCTCTTTCTCCCCTTCTTTCCTCCCTACACCTTCTTTGGCTTCATTCTTAGGCAGTGTCTTTCAGGGTTGAGAAAGATGGCCACTGGCAGCTATATTCTTAATTTTATATTCTTATATAAAATTCTTAATTTTTTTGAGGTATATTCCTAATATTTTTTTTTTTTTTTTTTGGAGACTAAGTCTCACTACGTCACTGCAGCTGGAGTGCAGTTGTGTGATCTCGGCTCACTGCAGCCTCTGCCTCCCGGGTTCAAGCAATTCTCCTGTCTCAGCCTCCTGAGTAGCTGGGACTACAGACATACGTCACCACACCCCCGGCTAATTTTTGTATTTTTAGTAGAGATGGGGTTTCACCATATTGATCAGGCTGGTCTCGAACTCCTGACCTTAGGTGATCCACCCGTCTCAGCCTCTCAAAGTGCTGGGATTACAGGTGTGAGCCACCACGCCTGGCCAGCTCAGGTATATTATTATGGTTCAATATCTTAAAATGTCTGTATATCAGGTTTCTCCAAAAGGGCTTTGGGCCTGCTTGAATCACAAGTCTACTTCTTCGGTGGGGAAAGCAAAACACCAGGACCAAATAGAGGAATGGGATGGTTCCTAGGGGTGGGTTTCCCTTTAGAAGGCATTCAGGCAGACAAATCTTAAGTTTCTATTTGGCCTTTGAAACTCTAGCTGCCGTTTATGAAGAACTGCTGTCCTTCATAAATGTGTTTCATCCAAAGTGATATGCTCTTGGTTTTCCCATTCTTGCCCATGGCCCTAACTTCTATTTTGCTTGCTGTGTGTCTTCCCCACTTTGTCTCTTTCTCTGTTTCCCAGCTTCATTTAATTACATCCTTCTATCTTCCTAGATTCAATTAAGTTCTAGTCTCCTACAGGAAGATCCTAGATCATCCCACGACTGTGTTATGTGACTGTTCTTTAAACTCCTATAAGTAGCACTTACTGCATTGTAGACACTTGTCCTACATAAACCATAATGGTTATTATAGGATTAGCAATAATTTAGCATGTTTCTCATAATTTTCTAAGCACTTCACATATCTTAGCCTTATGAAGTAGGTATTAGTTATGAAAACTAAAGCTTGCAGAGGTTTGCATCATTGGGCATGTCTTAAACTCTCAACTAGGCTAATACTTGCTTCTGTGTTTTCGTAGTGCCTAAGCATAGGGTGGTGATGGTGGTGATCTAAGTTCCATGAGAGCAGGACATTTCACCATTTGGTTTACTGCTGAATCACTAATGCCTGGAGTAGCGATTGACAGTATGTGCTTAAATTGGTAAATGAATTATCTGGACAAATGTGGCATGGTTTAAACTTCAGAGGTTTGGATTAGGTGATCCTCTAGGTTCCTTTCACTTTAAAGTTCTGAGGTTACCACTGGGGGAAAAAAACAAAAAAACAAGGAAAGAGCTGAGGGTGTGAAATAGAAGGAGTCACTGATTCGTTTGTTAGTAATATGTAAATTATGAGCCGCACTAATATTGTTTATAAGAAAGCAGACTGGGCCAGGCACGGTGGCCTGTAATCCCAGCACTTTGGGAGGCCAAGATGGGTGGACTCCTTGAGCCCAGAAGTTCAAGACCAGCCTAGGTAACATGGTGAAATCCTGTCTCTACCAAAAATACAATAATTAGCCGAGCGTGATGGCACGTGCTTGTAGTCCCAGTACTCAAGAAGCTGAGGTGAGAGGATAATTTGAGCCTGGGAGACGGAGTTTAGGGTGAGCTGAGATCAAGTCACTGGATTCCAGCCTGGGAGACAAAAGGAGACGCTGTCTCAAAACTATGCCATCAGTATACAGCAGATACTAAAAGGTATTGAAAGGGTAGAAATTTGACTGGGGAAAAGTAGGGTTCAAAACCCTAATCACTTTTTTAAAAAAATTATTTAATATGTTGTGGTGCTGTTGATTCAGTGCTGCCTGGTCACCACCAGTAGATTAGCTCTTGATGTCCTGTCCCTCTCTTTACCCAGTGCCTGAGTCTGTTGCTTCGGTCAGCCTTGAGATTTCTTCTCCAGCAGTGTTTAAAAACAAGTATGTGTGACCTATGTAAAATTGGCCTTACATATCTACTGAAATGGTGATGAATACATACATAGAGTACAGAAAATTAAACTACATAATTAACCCAATTTCACCACATTCAGCTCTGGGGAACCTACTTGTGTTGAAATGCCATTTAAAGTTGGCTTTTGGGGCCAGGTGCAGTGACACATGCCTGTCATCCCAGCACTTTGGGAGGCTGAGGCAGGCAGATCACTTGGGTTGAGGAGTTTGAGACCAGCCTGGCCAACATGGTGAAACCCTGTCTCTACTAAAAATACAAAAAATTAGCCGGGCGTGGTGGCAGGCGCCTGTAGTCCCAGCTGCTTGGGAGGCTGAGGCAGGAGAATGGCGTGAATCTGGGAGGCGGATCTTGCAGTGAGCCCAGATCGCGCCACTGCACTCCAGCCTGGGTGACAGAGCAAGACTCTGTCTCAAAAAAAAAAAAAAAAAGCTGGGCAGGATGGCATATGCCAGTAGTCCCAGCTACTTGGCAGGCTGAGGTGAGAGGATTGCTTGAGTCAGGGAGGTCGAGGCTGCAGTGAGCTATGATCGTACTACCGCACTCCAGCTTGGGTGACAGAGTGAGACCCTGTCTCAAAAAAAAGAAAGAAAAAAACTTTATTGAGGTGTAATTTACATACCCAAAAATTTACCTGTTGTAAGTGTGGAAGTAAATGATTCTTAGTAAAATTACGGAGTCGAAATGATTCTTAGTAATATTATGGAGTTGTGCAACCATCAGTGTAATCCATCGTTAGAACATTTTTTTATTACCCTAAAAGTTCCCTTGAGCCCATTTACAAAGCCAGTCCCTTTTCTGACCTACAGTTTCAGGTGACCATTGATCTGCTTCCTGTTATAGTTCTGTATGTTCTAGAAATTTCATATAAATGGAATCATACAATATATATTCTTTGGTATCTTGATTTCCTCACTTAGCATAATGCTTTTGAGATTCTTCTCTACAAAAATTAAAAAAAAATTAGCCAGGTGTGGTGGCATGCACCTGTAGTCCCAGCTACTCTTGAGGCTGAGGCAGGAAGATCTCTTGAGCCCAGGAGTTTAAGGTTGCAGTGAGCTGTGATCGTGCCACTGCACTCCAGCCTGAGCAACAGAGCAGGACTGTCTCAAAAATAAAAACAAAAAAAGATAGCCAAGCATGGTGGTGTACACCTGTGGTCTCAGCTGTAGGTGTCTCTTGCAGAGGCAAGAGGATTACTTGAGCCCAGGAGTTTGAGGCTGCAAGGCAGTATGATTGCACCTGTGAACAGCCGCTGCACCCGAATAGTCTGGGCAACATAATGAGACCCCACTCATTTCACGTCTCCAAAGAAAACATACAAATGCCAGATGAACACATGAAAAAATGCTCAACATCATTAGTCATTAGAGCAGTCCAAATCAAAACCACAATAAGATGCTACTTCTTACCACATCTAGGGTGACTACGATAAAAAAAGATAACAACATGTTGGTGAAGATGTGAAGAAACTGGAGTCCTCATGTATTGTTATTGGGATTGTAAAATGACGCAGCCATTTTGGAAACAGTTTGGCAGTGTCTCAAAATATTAAACATAAAGTTGCTTTATGACCCAGCAGTTCTACTCCTAGGGATATATCAAAGATAATTGAAACACGTTCCCACAAAAACCTGTACGTGAATGTTCATAGCAGCATTATTCACAATATCCAAAAAGTAGAAACAACCAAATGTCAGCTGATTAATGGATAAACAAAGTGTGGTGGATCTACACAGTGGAATGTTATTTGGCTATAAAAAGGAATAAAGTTCAGTTACCATACTACAGCATGGATGAACCTTGAAAACATTGTGCTAAATGAAAGAGGTCAGTCACAAAAGATGACATATTGTGTGACTTCATTTATATGAAATATCTAGATTAGGCAAATCCTTAGGAACAAAAAGTAGACGAGTGGTTACCGAGGGGTAGGGGAAAGTGGGAAAGGAGAAAAGATATGGGATTTCTTTTTTGGAGTGAAGAAAATGTTCTGAAGTTAGATAGTGGTGATGGTTGTATAACTGTGTATATGCTAAAAAACCTTTGAACTCGACTTTAAAAGAGTGAATTTTGTGAATTATACTCGATAAAACTGTTATTTAAAAAATAAAAAGAGGCTGGTCCAAAGGTAGTGAGTTATCTCAATTGTTCAGTCAGTTACAGATTGAACTCCACGTTCCACTCTTTCCCTGCTTCTCACTGTTGTACTTGACTAGTCTTTAAAAATACAGATGGAGCCAGGCACAGTGGCTCAAACCTGTAATCCTAGGACTTGAGGAGGTTGAGATCAGAGAACTGCTTGAGCCCAGAAGTTGGAGACCAGCTTGGGCAACATAATGAGACCCTGTCTCTACAAAAAAAAAAAAAAAAAAATTTTGTTTAAATTAGGCAGGTGTGGTGGCAAGTGCCTATATTTGTAGCTACTTGGGAGGCCGAGGTGAGAGGATTGCTTGAGCTTGGGAAGTTGAGGCTGCAGTCAGCCATGATCCACACCGCTGCATTCCAGCCTGGATGACAGAGCAAGACCCTGTCTCAACAACAAAAAAAGAGCAACTTTGAGAAAAACAAAAATAAGTAAATAAAAGGAAACCACCAAACTACCATTTTACACATTCTCAAAATTGCTCCTGTCAGTCTTTTTGTACAGCCTTTTTTAAAAAATAGGGCCTTTTTCTGTCACCAAGGCAGTAGTGTGATCACAGGTGACTGCAGCCTCGACTTCCCAGGCTCAAGCAATCTTCCTGCTTTAGCATCCTGAGTAGCTGAAACTAAAGGCACTCGTCACCATGCTTGGCTAATTTTTTTTTTGTATGTTTTTGTAGAGACAGGGTCTCACTATGTTGCCCAGGCTGGTCTCAAACTCCTGGGCTCAGGTGACCTTCTTGCCTCAGCTTCCCGAAGTACTGGGATTACAGGCATGAACCATTGTGCCTGGCCTGATAACAGCCATTTTAGTGGTTTTGTAGTAGGAGTTCATTGTAGTTTTAATTTGCATTTCCCTAAGGACTGATGAGCTTCATTCATGTGCATATTACGCATTATATATTTTCTTTGGTAAAATGTCTATTGAAATATTTAGCCAATTTTTTTTTTTTTTTTTTTAGACAGAGTCTCGCTCTGTCACCCAGGCCGGAGTGCAGTGGCGTGATCTCCGCTCACTGCAAGCTCTGCCTACCAGGTTCACGCCATTCTCCTGCCTCAGCCTCCTGAGTAGCTGGGACTACAGGCATCCTCCACCATGCCCGGCTAATTTTTTTTTGTATTTGTAGTAGACAGGGTTTCACTGTGTTAGCCAGGATGGTCTCGATTTCCTGACCTTGTGATCCGCCCACCTTGGCCTCCCAAAGTGCTGGGATTACAGGCATGAGCCGCTGCAGCTGGCCATCAAGTTTTAAATTGAGTTGTTTATCTTATAATTGTATTGTAAGAGATTATAATCTCTTCTACATACAAATCTTTTATCAGATTTATGATTTGCAGATATTTCTCGAAGTCTATGACTTCTCTTTTCATTTTCTTTAATAGTACCTTTGTTGTTGTCTTTTGTTTTTTTTGTTTGTTTGTTTGTTTTTTTTTTTGAGACGGAGTCTCGCTCTGTCGCCCAGGCCGGACTGCGGACTGCAGTGGCGCAATCTCGGCTCACTGCAAGCTCCGCTTCCCGGGTTCACGCCATTCTCCTGCCTCAGCCTCCCGAGTAGCTGGGACTACAGGCGCCCGCCACCGCGCCCGGCTAATTTTTTGTATTTTTAGTAGAGACGGGGTTTCACCTTGTTAGCCAGGATGGTCTCGATCTCCTGACCTCATGATCCACCCGCCTCGGCCTCCCAAAGTGCTGGGATTACAGGCGTGAGCCACCGCGCCCGGCCTGTCTTTTGTTTTTTTGTTTGGTTTTGTTTTTTGAGACGCAGTCTCACTCTGTTGCCCCAGGCTGCAGTACAGTGGCACAATGTCAGCTCACTGCAACCTTCGCCTCCCAGGCTCAGGTGATTATCCTGCCTCAGCCTCCTGAGTAGCTGGGACTGCAGGCACAGGCCACCAGGCCCAGCTAATTTTTGTATTTTTTAGTAGAGATGGGGTGTCACCCAGTTGGCCAGGCTGGTCTTGAATTCCTAACTTCAGGTGATCCGCCTGCCTCGGCCTCCCAAAGTGCAGGGATTACAGGCATGAGCCACCATGCCTGGCCGTTTAATAGCATCTTTGAAAAGCAAAAGTTTTAAATTTTCATGGTGTCCCATTTATATATTTTGTCTCTTACAGATAGTGCTTTTGGTGACATGTCTAAGAAATCTTTGCCTAATCCAAAGTCACAAAGATTTTTTCCTGTTTATAAGTTTTTTTAGTTTTAACTCTTACATTAGGTCTTTGTCTTGTCTTTTTTTTTTTTTTTTTTTTTTTTTTTTTTGCATAATAAGTTAGCAAGTGAGCTACGTTAGGTCTTTGATCTGTTTGGAGTTAACTTTTGCATATGGTATGTGGTCAGTGTCCAATTGTTTCTGTATCATTTGTTGAAAAAAAATTTGTTTCTGGGTTGAATATAATTATGTTGAATTATATTATGTTTGTAGATAGCCAGTTGACCCTAACTTTGTATGTTTCTTTCTGAACCTGTTCTGTTCCAGTACCACGTTCTGAACCTGTTCTGTTCCAATACCACGTTGTCAATACCATGCTGAGTTGGTACAGTCTTGCTCTGTCACCCAGGCTGTAGTGCAGTGGCGCAATCTTGGCTCACTGCAACCTTCCCACTCCCAGGTTCAAGTGATTCTCGTGCCTCAGCCTCCTGAGTAGCCAGAATTACAGGCATGCATCACCATGCCCAGCTAATTTTTGTATTTTTGCTAGAGACAGGGTTTCACCATGTTGGTCAGGCTGGTCTCGAACTCCTGACCTCAAAGTGAGCTGCCTGCCTCAGCCTCCCAAAGTGTTGGGATTACAGGTGGTGAGCCACTTCTCCCAGCCTGAGTTGGTACATTTATAATAACTTTTGAAATCAGGTTATGTAAGCCCTTCAACTGTTTTTCTTCAAAATTGTTTTGGCTTTTCTAGGTTTTTTGCATTTTTATATAAATTATGGAATGAGCTTATTTTGTACTTTCTTCAATATATTGGTCATTTTCAGGATTGCCATCTTAACAGTATTGAATCTTTCATTCCTGAGCATGTTATACCTTTCCACTTATTTAGGCTGGCTTTTTTTTTTTTTAATTCCAGCTCCCTGAAATTGTTGCTTTTGACAGTTTTATCCTTGTTCTTTCATGTGGAGAAATCACTACCCTCTTCGTGCCTGCATAACCTAGAAGTCACTCTGTAGTGTTTTTTTAACCTTAATGACCTACTTTATTTCCTTCTATCTAAAATTTTTTTTAGTGACAGAGTCTTGCTATGTTGCCCAGGTTGGAGTGCAGTAGCTGTTCACAGGTGTGATCATAGTGCACTACAGCCTCAAACTCCTGGGTTCAGGTAATCCTCTCTCAGTCTCCCAAGTAAATGGGGCTACAGACGCACCATTGCACCCAGCTCCTTTTATCTTTCAATTAAAAGAAAAAAGTTTTCTTGTAAGACACTAGCTAGATAGGATTTTTTATATTGTACTAGCTGTAATACTTTGTAGAAATTCCACTGTAGTGGAGGAGAAAACTGTAATATCTTGTAACTTTTGTTTTGTGTCTCTATTTTAAGGGTCTCCAACTGAATTCCTTGAAGAGAAAATGGCCTACCAGGAATACCCAAATAGCCAGAACTGGCCAGAAGATACCAACTTTTGTTTCCAACCTGAGCAAGTGGTCGATCCTATCCAGACTGGTAAGTGTTGGCTTGCTCGTGACTACTAAATGTGTGCTATGACATAAATGTGAAAAAGCTACAACCACCATTCAGATGAAAATGCTTTAGCTTAAGTATAGATCACAAAGTACAACCTTAGCATTGGTTTGTCCCTTTCTCTTCTTCATTTATCCTTTCCTTTGAGACACTTAATGCCCTCTAGTTCCCTGCTCTTCAAAACCTATTTTAAATACATTATGTGAAATTCATATACACTGAAGATTAGAGGATCCATAGTACCTTAGAACCTTAATTCTTCCAGAAGGAATTATTATGGTAATGTTAAACCAGTGCTGTTCTGTGCCAGGCACAGTGCTAGAGCCTTTATATACACATTATCGGTATTTCTTACCTAACTCTGCCAAATATATGTATCCTCTTTTGACAGAAGAGAAAGCTGATTCATACCCACTTTCTATAAAATTAAAAACAGACCAGGTGCGGTGGGTTATGCCTGTAATCCCAGCACTTTGGGAGGCCAAAGTGGGCGGATCACCTGAGTTCGAGAGTTCGAGACAAGCCTGACCAACATGGAGAAACGCTGTCTCTACTAAAAATACAAAATTAGGCAGGTGTAGTGGCATATGTCTGTAATCCCAGCTACTCGGGAGGCTGAGGCAGGAGAATTGCTTGAACCTGCGAGGCGGAGGTTGCAGTGAGCCGAGATCGCGCCACTGCACCCCAGCCTGGGCAACAAGAGCGAAACTCCATCTCAAAAACAAACAAACAAACAAACAAACAAACAAAAGCCTATCTGTAGTAGCCCAGAGCTAGAGTTGGTAGGAAGAATGAGTTCCAAAAGAGCCTTAAAGGAATAGCTTTGGTACTTCCCTGTTAGCCAGATTGAGAGCTCAAGTTATGTTTCCACTTAAATATGGCTTCTTTTTTGACATCTAACTTATAAGATGCTCATCGTTTGTTTCAAATAACCTAGTATGTGATGTTCTGTACCATTTGTCAGTTATCGGCTTTCCTAGGTACAAAGTAATTATGGGGGGAGGGTGAAGAAAAAGCTGTATTGAGATACAATTCTTTTTTTTTTTTTTTTGAGACAGAGTCTTGCTCTGTCACCCTGGCTGGAGTGCAGTGGCGCAATCTCAGCTTACTGCAACCTCTGCCTCCTGAGTTCAAGCGATTCTCCTGCCTCAGCCTCCCATATAGCTGGAATTACAGGTGCCCACTACACCCAACTAATTGTATTTTTAGTAGAGACCAGGTTTCACCATGTTGGCCAGGCTGATCTCAAACTCCTGACCTCAGATGATCTGCCCACCTCAGCCTCCCAAAGTGCTGGGATTACAGGTGTGAGCCACTGCGCCTGGCCAATAATTCACAGTACCATACAGTTTACCCATTTAAAGTATATAGTTCGGCCAGATTCAGTGACTTGTGCCTGTAATCCCAGCACTTTGTGAGGCATAGGTGGGATGATCACTTGAGGCCAAGAGTTTGAGACCAGCCTGAACAACATAATGGGATTCTGTCTCTACAAAACATTTTAAAAGTTAGCTGGTTGTGGCAGCACATGCCTGTAGTCCTAGCTACTCGGGAGGCTGGGGTGGGGGAATCACTTGAGTCTGCCACTTCAAAGCTGCAGTTACCTAGGATCGTGCTTCTGTACTCTAGCGTGGGCAATACAGCAAGACCCTGTCCCTGATAGATGTGTAGACAGACAGACAGACAGATAGGTAGAGTAGATAGAGTAGATAAATGGAGTAACTTAGGCCAGGCGTGGTGGCTCACACTTGTAATCCCAGCACTTTGGGAGGCCGAGGCAGGCGGATCACCTGAGGTCAGGAGTTCGAGGCCAGCCCAGCCAACATGGTGAAACCTCGTCTCTACTAAAAATAAAAAAATCAGCCGGGCATGGTGGCGGGCGCCTGTAATGCCAGCTACTTGGGAGGCTGAGGTTGGAGGATCGTTTGAGCCCGGGAGGCAGAGGTTGCAGTGAGCCGAGACTGTCCCACTGAACTCCAGCTTGGGTGACAGAGCCAGACCCTGTCTCAATAAAATAAAATAAATAAAATAGAGTAACTTAATTCCACTGAATTGGCCGGGCGTGGTGGCTCACGCCTGTAATCCCAGCACTTTGGGAGGCTGAGGTGGGCAGATCACCTGAGGTCAGGAGTTCGAGACCAGCCTGGCCAACATGGTGAAACCCCATCTCTACTAAAAATATAAAAAAATAGCCAGGCATGGTGGTGCACGCCTGTAATTCCAGCTACTTGGGAGGCTGAGGCAGGAGAATCACTTGAGCCCGGGAGGCAGAGGTTGCAGTGAGCCAAGATCGTGCCATTGTACTCCAGCTTGGGCAACGAGCGAAACTCTGTCTCCAAAAAAATTCCGCTGAATTGTACTCTATCTACTTACCTATCTATTTATCTATTTATGGTTATAACCATAACCAGATTCAATTTTAGAACACTTTTATTACCACAAAAAGAAACTCTGTACCTTTTAAATATCACCCCCATCTCCCTATCCACTGCAACCCTAAGCAACTACCAATTTGCTTTTTGTCTCTATAAATTTGCTTAGATTGGACATTTTATATAAAGGGAATCATATAAAGTGGTTTCTTTGTGACTGCTTTTTTTCACTTAGCATACTGTTTTGAGGAGTCCTGCATTTTGTGGCATGTATCAGTACTTTCTTTATGGACACGTAATACTCCATTATATGGCTATACCATATTTTGTTCATTATTTTATTTTTTTGAGACAGAATCTCCCTCTGTCGCCCAGGCTGGAGTGCAGTGGCACAGTCTGGGCTCACTGCAGCCTTGACCGCCCAAGCTCAAATGATAAGTACATAAATAATTTAAATCAGGAAGAAGAGGAGCCAGCAAGGGTAACAAAGGAATGACCAATTTTGAGTAGGAAAAAAAATTCAGTGGAGTTTAATTTCCTCAGCGGAAAGTTGAGTGTGGTAGTCAACTGCCAAGATGGCGTCCAATGATCCCTGCCTCCTGGTATTGATACCCTTGTGTAGTCACCTCCCATGTGGTACTAGGTTTGGTCTGTGTGATTGTAGAATAGATGGCAGAAATAATAGTGTGTCATTTCTAAGATTAAATTACAGAAAATATCATAGCTTCAGCCGGGCACGGTGGCTCACGCCTGTAATCACAGCACTTTGGGAGGCTGAGGCAGGTGGATCACGAGGTCAAGAGATGGAGACCATCCTGGCCAACATGGTGAAACCCCGTCTCTCCTAAAAATACAAAAAATTAGCCAGGTGTGGTGGCGGATGCCTGTAGTCCCAGCTACTCGGGAAGCTGAGGCAGGAGAATTGCTTGAACCTGGGAGGCGGAGGTTGCAGTAAGCTGAGATCACGCCACTGCACTCCAGCCTGGGCGACAGAGCGAGACTCCATCTCAAAAAAAAAAAATATCGTAGCTTCCATCTTGATCACTCTGTGTTTACTAATCATGAGGAAAGCCAGCTGATATAGAGAGGCACACATGGGAGAGGAGCAGAGGCCTCCATTCAACGGCCACGTAAGCCATCTTAACAGGCAGGTTCTGCAGCCCCAGTCAGGTCTTCAGATCACCACAGCCCCTGGCCAACCGCTGGACTGCAACCTTGTGAGAAACCCTAGTCATGGAGCTGGGGGAGAAATAGGTTCTGGGGCACATTTTGAAGGTCAAGGGCAATGGATTTTCTGATGGGTTGGCTGTGGTGTGTGAAAAAGAGGAGGTCCAGGATGACTCCAAGGTTTTTTGCAAAAAACATAGAAGGATAGAATGCCATTAGAGATGGAAAGACTATATAATGAGTAGATTTGGAAACATGCTACATAAAAGTCTGAAAATAAGGTGAGAGGTCTAGAGGTCTTGAATTATAAATTCAGGTGTCATCAACCTATAGATGGAATTTTAAACTGTGGGATTAGAGGAGAGGGAATGTAGAGAGAGAAAAGGTTTGTCTTCCTCCTCATAACCACTCAGTTCTTTAGTTCTCAGCTTAAATACTTATCAAGCAAAGATCTCCCTTGACTTGAACCAAAATATATCCTGTGGGAACATATATAAATGTTCCCATCCCTGACCTTGTACATCTTTGGGTTTTTTAGAGCATACTGGGTCTGCCATGTGGTAGGCACCCAGTAAAAAATTAATGACTAAATGACAGAACTCTGTAAGAATCATCTATTTTTACAAGTAATTTAGCAAGCTCCCATCTTAAAGTGCAAACCATCCAGAATTTAGTCTGTTTGATGCTTTAAGAATCCTTTTTTCCCTCAAGGGGGAAGTGTGAGAGGCAGAGCAAGCAGCGAGCTATCCCAAACCATATAGAACTGGGAAGAATGAATGTTTATCATCTCTCTCATATTCTATCTCCCCATCTTTTCTTTTTCTTAATTTTGTTCTGTTTTTATTATTTATTTTGAGATGGGGTTTCACTTTGTCACCCAGGCTGTAGCTCAGTGGTACAACCACGGCTCACCACAGACTCAACCTCCCCAGGCTCAAGTGATCCTCCCACCTCAGCCTTCCGAGTAGCTGGGACTGCAGGCATGCGCTACCATGCCTGGCTAATTTTTCCGTTTTTTGAAAATAAGGGTTTGTTTTTTTTTTTTTTAAACAAAAAGCAGGCTGTGTTTTTTGTTTTTAAAGATGGGCGGTCTCGGTGTGTTGCCCAGACAGGAGTGCAGTGACTATTCACAGTCGCCATATCATAGTGCACTGCAGCCTTGAACCCCTGGGCTCAAGAAGATCCTCCCACCTCAGCCTCTCAAGTAGCTGGGGTGTGTGCCACTTTTCCAGGCTCCCATGGTTTTCTGAAGAAGAAGCCTCAACAAGTTTCCCAATATTGCCTTCTGCTTGTTCACACTTCCCGATGCAGTGGTCTCCCCTAATCCTGAAATTTCTTACAAAAAGAGGGTGGTATAGCTGCCTCAGAGCCAAGAAAATGAACATTCTCTCAAGGCCTGGGCTTTTATGCGGCTGTCTCTGACAATTGAAGTGTCTTAAGGGAGTGATGTGTTAGTGTCACTCAGGAACTAGTTGGAAATGCAGATTCTCAGGAACCAGCAATCTTTATTTTTAACAAGTCTTCAGGATGATTAAGATAATAAAATAAATTCCAAGAAGGCCTCTTCAGAAAGTGGAACTCTTGTTTAGCCTGAACAGCTTTGCTTTTTTTTCTTTTTTTTTTGAGACAGTCTCACTCTATCACCCAGGCTGGAGTGCAGTGGCGCCATCTCGGCTCACTGCCACCTCTGCCTCCCGTGTTCAAGCGATTTTCCTGCCTCAGCCTCCCGGGTAGCTGGGACTACAGGCACGTGCCACCACGCCTGACTAATTTTTTTATATTTTTAGTAGAGACGGGGTTTCACTCTATTAGCCAGGATGGTCTCAATCTCCAGACCTCGTGATCCGCCCGCCTTGGCCTCCCAAAGTGCTGGGATTACAGGCATGAACCACCATGCCCGGCCCTGCTTTTTTTTCATGTACAAAAGCACAAAGAGTTTACCTGATGTTTTGAGTGCTTTTATTCATGCCAGCTCCTGAGTCAAGAGTTTATTTCTTCTGTTAGGATAACAATTGTTTATCTTGTCCCATTCAGACAGTTTTGAAATGCAGTTTTCTTCATCATGTCCACATGAGGTGAAAAATTACTTGTTGGTTTTTTTTTTTAAGCTTGTTAATGGCTCTGTCTTTTTAAAAAGTAACTTAAAATGAATGTTATATAAATATATATTGAAAATTTAGTTTATACTTTCACCTCTCAGAGTGTTTGTTATACAGCTGAGCATTAGTTGCCCTTTTTGTTTTATGCATTTGTTGGCTATCTGATGTACATAACCAAATCTTAGAGAAGGGATTATTTATTATTAACTCATAACAAATGAATTAGTGAATATTGATTCTCTACCATGTGCAGTCACATATGATTTCGGTTTACTTACTATTGACAACTCATCTATATTCATCATAGGATAATAAGAAATATTGGCCAGGCATGGTGGCTCACGCCTGTAATCCTAATACTTTGGGAGGCCGAGGTGGGCAGATCACTTGAGATCAGGAGTTTGAGACTAGCCTGGCCAACGTGGAGAAACCTTGTCTCTACAAAAAAATACAAAAATTAGCCAGGCATGGTGGCGGGCATCTGTAATCCCAGCTACTTAAGAGGCTGAGGCAGGAGAATTGCTTGAACCTGGGAGGTAGAGGTTGCAGTGAACCAAGATGGCACCACTGCACTCCAGCCTTGGCAACAGAGCAAGACTCCACCTCAAAAAAAAAAAAGAAAGAAAGAAAGAAATATTAATCTTTCTAGTTGCATTCACCAGGAATGAGTTTTGGATTTCTTCTATATTCCAGATCCCTTTAAGATGTACCATGATGATGACCTGGCAGATTTGGTCTTTCCCTCCAGTGCGACAGCTGATACTTCAATATTTGCAGGACAAAATGATCCCTTGAAAGACAGTTACGGTATGGCTTCTTCAAATGGATTTATTCTGTAGGGAAGGAAAAAAATTTTTTCTTTACTCATCTTTGGTTCACTGACTAGGGCTCTGTGACAAAAGATTAACAAGAAAAAAGAGACCAAAGTTTAAAATGTGAATTTAATATGTACATGAGAGGTACCTAGGGAATGAGTAACTCCGCAAGAGGTGGCTTTAGAATTCCACCTTATATAGCTTCTTCAATAAAGAATGACAAATTTTTTTTTTGAGAGGTGAGAAGATGAAGGAAAAGACTTTTGAGTCTCTAGGGGCCGCAAATTGTGGGAGACAGGTAAATGGTAGGTAAAAGCTAGTTAGTAAAGGTTGCTGTGTAGATTCCTATGGTGCCATCTCCAGGCTAATAATAGCCTTCAGCTTAAAAAAGTCCTTATGCCAAAGTAGCGTATTTTGGGGTGGCATATTCTGGTGTCCTTTAGTTGTTTAATGCCAAACAATCAACATGGCCTTTCACACATCACCTTTGAAGCTAACCACTAAGAAAAGTCAGATTTAGGGGCTGTGGGTGTGACAAGGCTCTCTTTGGATTAATCAAAGGAGACAATTCACAGATTCACAGTTGGGCTGTCATCTCCCCTTTTTTTTGAGACAGGGTCTCACTCTGTCACCCAGGTTGGAGTGCAGTGATGCGATCACGGCCCACTGCAGCCTTGGCCTCCTGGTCAGGTGATCCTCCCACCTCAATCTCCTGAGCAGCTGGGATTACAGGTGTGTACCACTATGCCTGGCTAATTTTTTGTAGAGATGGGGTTTTGTCACGTTGCCCAGGCTGGTCTTGAACTCCTGGGCTCAAGTGATCCACCCGCTTCAGCCTCCCAAAGTGCTGAGATTACAGGCGTGAGCCTTTGCACCCAGCCACATTTTTCTACTTCTTCATTTACAGGCAGACACAGTGGCTCATGCCTGTAACCCTAGCACTTTGGGAAGCTGAGGTGACAGGATTGCTTGAGCCCAGCAATTTGAAACCAATCTGGGCAACATAGGGAGATCCTGTCCTACAAAAAATTTTAAAATTCATCCAGGCGTGGTGGCACATGCCTGTAGTCTCAGCTACTCAAGAGGCTGAGGTGGAAGGATTGCTTGAGCCCAGAAGGTCGAGGCTGCATTGAGCCATGATCATGCCACTGTACTCCAGCCTGGACAACAGAGTTGAGACCCTGTCTTAAAAAAAAAAAAAAAAAAAAAAAACCATCTGGGTGCAGTGGCACACGCCCGTAATCCCAGCACTTTGGGAGGCCAAGGCGGATGGATCACTTGAGGCCAGGAGTTCAAGACCAGCCTGGCCAAAATGGTGAAATCCCGTCTCTACTAAAAATACAAAAATTAGGCTGGGCCTAATGGCTCATGCCTGTAATCCCAGCACTTTGGGAGGCAGAGGCGGGCAGATCACCTGAGGTCAGGAGTTTGAGACCAGCCTGGCCAACATGGTGAAACCCCATCTCTACTAAAAATAGAAAAATTAGGCCGAGTGTGGTGGCTCATGCCTGTAATCCCAGCACTTTGGGAGACGGAGGTGGGCAGATCACCTGAGGTCAGGAGTTCGAGACCAGCCTGGCCAACATGGTGAAACACTGTCTCGACTAAAAATACAAAAATTAGCTGGGAGTGGTGGCAGACACCTATAATCCCAGCTACTCAGGAGGCTGAGTCAGAAGAATCACTTGAACCTGGGAGGTGGAGGTTGCAGTGAGCTGAGATTGTGCCATTGCACTCCAGCCTGGGCAACGAGCAAGAATCCATCTCAAAAATTAATAAATAAATATAATAAAAATAAGAAAATTAGCTGGGCAAACAACAACAACAACAACAACAACAAAACTGCTACAAAGTATTTTAATAAAATTGTCTTCTAATGTTGGAAAGGGAGGTGTTAATCTCATTTTGCAGATGAAGAAATTAAGACTCGCAGTTTTTTACTATAGTATATTATGTTGGTTGTGGTGTTGGAACTAGAGTTCAATCATTAATATTTTGAATCTTTATATTACCCTTTATATATTATATAGAAAGTAGCCAGTGAATGTTGATTAATGGCACTACTGGGATATACTATACCACCTACTAACAACTAGCTAAAACCTGAAGAATGTCAGCAGTGTTTCCTTTAAAACTTGTTTGCGTTGTCGGCCGGGCGCGGTGTCTCACACCTGTAATCCCAGCACGTTGGGAGGCCAAGGCGGGTGGATCATGAGGTCAGGAGTTCGAGACCAATCTGGCCAACATAGTGACACCCCATCTCTATTAAAAATACAAAAAAATTAGCCAGGTGTGGTGGTGTGTGCTTGTAGTCCCAGCTACTTGAGAGGCTGAGGCAGGAGAATGGCGTGAACCTGGGAGGCAGAGATTGCAGCGAGCCGAGATCGTGCCATTGCACTCCAGCCCAGGCGACAGTGCGAGACTCTGTCTCAAAAAAAGAAAAAAAACTTTTTTTGCATTGTTTTTTATTAGTCTGTGTCTTCCTGGCAATATATGCAGCTGATTTTAAATATCAAATACCTCTTAGGCCGGGCGCGGTGGTTCACGCCTGTAATCCCAGCACTTTGGGAGGCCGAGGCGGTTGGATCAAGAGGTCAGGAGATCGAGACTATCCGGGCTAACATGGTGAAACCCCGCCTCTACTAAAAATACAAAAAATTAGCCGGGAGCTGTGGCAGGCGCCTGTAGTCCCAGCTACTCGGGAGACTGAGGCAGGAGAATGGCGTGAACCCGGGAAGCGGAGCTTGCAGTGAGCCGAGATCACGCCACTTCACTCTGTCTGCGTGGGCAACAGAGCGAAACTCTGTCTCAAAAAAAAAACAAACAAAACAAAACAAAACAAAAATATATCAAATACCTTTTGTTTCCAATGTTTACTAAGTTTCAAAATGTATTTGTTTGTGTTTCAATATTAGGTATGTCTCCCTGCAACACAGCTGTTGTACCTCAGGGGTGGTCTGTGGAAGCCTTAAACTCTCCACACTCAGAGTCCTTTGTTTCCCCAGAGGCTGTTGCAGAACCTCCTCAGCCAACGGCAGGTAAACTATTAGAGACTCCCTTTATCAGTTAATGGTTGCAGTATTGGTAATCAATATAAATCATCAGGTGTATTTTTTAGCAGCTTACAGCAGGTATAAAAATTTCAGAACAATCACAAATGTTTTGCTTATATTAGTGATATCACCACTGGAGGAATTAAATTGTTGAACTATAACACTTAGGGTTAACGGGCACATAAATACTTTTTTTAAATTTTTTAACATATATATATTTTTTTCATCACATTTTCATTGTATTAGGTATCAGAATTTTTTTTTTTAATTCAGTACAGATTTACGGCCTGGTGTGGTGGCTCACACTTATAATCCCAGCACTTTGGGAAGCTGAGGCAGGCAGATCACTTGAGGTCAGGAGTTCCAGACCAGCCCAGCCAACATGGTGAAACCCCATTTCTACAAAAAATACAAAAATTGGTCTAGGCACGGTGGCTCACGCCTGTAATCCCAACACTTTGGGAGGCCAAGGCGGGCAGATCACCTGAGGTCAGGAGTTCGAGACCAGCCTGGCCAACATGGTGAAACCCCGTCTCTACTAAAAATACAAAAAATTAGCTGGGCGTGGTGGCAGGTGCCTGTAATCCCAGCTACTAGGGAGGCTGAGGCAGGAGAATCACTTGAAACCGGAAGGCAGAGGTTGCTGTCAGCCGAGATTGCGCCACTGCACTCCAGCCTGGGTGAAAGAGCTAAATAAATAAATAAATAAGCTCAGCGTGGTGGCGTGTACCTATAATCCCAGCTACTAGGGAGGCTGAGACAGGAGAATTGCTTGAACCCGGGAGCCGAGATCATGCTACTGCACTCCAGCTTGGGCAACAGCGTGAGACCGTGTCTCAAAAAACAAAAACAAAAATTCAGTACAGATTTAGAACTCTGGAGTTTTTCTTGATAGGAAGCATGACTGACCTGCTGTCCCACAGATTATCTTTCTAATACTAATTCTGTGCCCGTGTTATTTTTGAAGCCTATGTTTTCTCTCTTCTTTGCCATTTCTCCTCCACTACTTGTCCTCCCAGTATTTTACATCTTATTCTTCCAAGTGTTGAGACTGTCAAAGAGTAGGCAGAATATGTTACTTGACATTAGCTTCTTCTTCTTTTTTTTTTTTTTTTTTTGAGACGGACTCTTGCCCTGTCCCCCAGGCTGGAGTGCAATGCCGTGATCTCGGTTCATTGCAAACTCCGCCTCCTGGGTTCTAGCAATTCTCCTGCTTCAGCCTCCCAAGTAGCTGGGATTACAGGCGCCTGCCACTGCATGGCTAATTTCTGTATTTTTAGTAGAGACAGGGTTTCACCATGTTTGTCAGGCTGGTCTCGAACTCCTGACCTCAGATGATCCATCCGCCTCGGCCTCCCAAAGTTCTGGGATTACAGGCGTGAGCCACTGTGCCCGGCCTAACATTAATTCTTAGTTATGTGTACAGTCTTATGGTCACAAAAGCCAAATACTCTCATGCCTGAAGAAAGTAAGCATTTTTAATGCAAAGGTATGAGTAGACAATGATGTGTCCTAAATTTCCAATTTAGTTCCCTTAGAGCTAGCCAAGGAGATAGAAATGGCATCAGAAGAGAGGCCACCAGCACAAGCATTGGAAATAATGATGGGACTGAAGACTACTGACATGGCACCATCTAAAGAAACAGAGATGGCCCTCGCCAAGGACATGGCACTAGCTACAAAAACCGAGGTGGCATTGGCTAAAGATATGGAATCACCCACCAAATTAGATGTGACACTGGCCAAGGACATGCAGCCATCCATGGAATCAGATATGGCCCTAGTCAAGGACATGGAACTACCCACAGAAAAAGAAGTGGCCCTGGTTAAGGATGTCAGATGGCCCACAGAAACAGATGTATCTTCAGCCAAGAATGTGGTACTGCCCACAGAAACAGAGGTAGCCCCAGCCAAGGATGTGACACTGTTGAAAGAAACAGAGAGGGCATCTCCTATAAAAATGGACTTAGCCCCTTCCAAGGACATGGGACCACCCAAAGAAAACAAGAAAGAAACAGAGAGGGCATCTCCTATAAAAATGGACTTGGCTCCTTCCAAGGACATGGGACCACCCAAAGAAAACAAGATAGTCCCAGCCAAGGATTTGGTATTACTCTCAGAAATAGAGGTGGCACAGGCTAATGACATTATATCATCCACAGAAATATCCTCTGCTGAGAAGGTGGCTTTGTCCTCAGAAACAGAGGTAGCCCTGGCCAGGGACATGACACTGCCCCCGGAAACCAACGTGATCTTGACCAAGGATAAAGCACTACCTTTAGAAGCAGAGGTGGCCCCAGTCAAGGACATGGCTCAACTCCCAGAAACAGAAATAGCCCCGGCCAAGGATGTGGCTCCGTCCACAGTAAAAGAAGTGGGCTTGTTGAAGGACATGTCTCCACTATCAGAAACAGAAATGGCTCTGGGCAAGGATGTGACTCCACCTCCAGAAACAGAAGTAGTTCTCATCAAGAACGTATGTCTGCCTCCAGAAATGGAGGTGGCCCTGACTGAGGATCAGGTCCCAGCCCTCAAAACAGAAGCACCCCTGGCTAAGGATGGGGTTCTGACCCTGGCCAACAATGTGACTCCAGCCAAAGATGTTCCACCACTCTCAGAAACAGAGGCAACACCAGTTCCAATTAAAGACATGGAAATTGCACAAACACAAAAAGGAATAAGTGAGGATTCCCATTTAGAATCTCTGCAGGATGTGGGGCAGTCAGCTGCACCTACTTTCATGATTTCACCAGGTACGTGCTTGTGCTTATTCTCAGTATTTCTCTCTACCAGGTTGTAGTCTCGAGAAGACTAAGGACAAACATCATGCCAGGTAAAGTACAGACAGTCACACTGTACTTTGCAAGTTTATTCATACTCCTGCTCTCCTAGACAACTCTTTCCCGCCTTTACCCTCCTCCCACCTCCAACACCTTTTCTATGTTCATTCTCTGCTGATTGTCCTGTTTTTCTTGCAGATAAGTCAAGCAATAAAATAGAACATCGACAAACTTCTATTCCATTATCTACCCAACTACTTGTATCTGTATCCATGGTCTCTGCTTATGAAAGTTCCCGTTTTTATAAGTAAACTGTTCCTGCTCCTAATTAAGACCAACCTCTCCTCATTTTGCCCTAGATTCCATCTCCTCTTTCCTACTCGATATATTGCCCCATGTATTCTTCCCTTTTTTGCCCCTCATACCAATTTAAATCTTTTTTCATTGGATCATTCCCACCCATTTAACAAACGTTTGTTATTTTTCCCATCTTAAAAAACGAAACATTGACCGGGCATGGTGGCTCACACCTGTAATCCCAGCACTTTGGGCGGCCGAGGTGGGCGGATCACCTGAGGTCGGGAATTCAAGACTAGCCTGACCAACATGGAGAAACCCCGTCTCCACTAAAAATACAAAATTAGCCGGGCATGGTGGCGCATGCCTGTAATCCCAGCTACTCGGGAGGCTGAGGCAGGAGAATCACTTGAACCTGGGAGACGGAGGTTGTGGTGAGCCGAGATCGCACCATTGCACTCCAGCCTGAGCAACAAAGAGTGAAAAACTCCATCTCAAAAAAAAAAAAAAAAGTAACATAACTAGACATACCTTCCCAACTTCAGCTTCCAACTACCACTTCACTCCTTTGCTGCCCCTTGTAGGAGAACTCCTCAGAAACTAATCCCATATCCAATTTCTGGCAGATGGAAAATAGCTGAAATCATGCTTCTCTGAAACGTGTGTGGCTTTTGTTATTACCTTTAGAAACCGTCACAGGAACGGGGAAAAAGTGCAGCTTGCCGGCCGAGGAGGATTCTGTGTTAGAAAAACTAGGGGAAAGGAAACCATGCAACAGTCAACCTTCTGAGCTTTCTTCAGAGACCTCAGGTAAGTTAGGAAAACAAAATGAACTCTTTGAAACAAATTAGGGGCGATAGAGTAGTGATGGTAGACATTGTCTCTAGTTCCCTGTTGTATGGTGGTAATCAGCAGTATAGTTTATGAAGTCAATTCTCTTAGACAGATTTTATCTGGTTTAGACAGAATGTCAGCTTGTTATATCTTTAAAAATTACTACTACAGCAAATCAGGATACCTAATTTTTTTTTTCTCCACTGTTTTTTTTGTTGTTGTTGTCGTTGTTTTTTTTTTTTTGAGACAGAGTCTCACTCTGTCGCCCAGGCTGGCGTGCAATGGCGTGATCTTGGCTCACTGCATCCTCCACCTACTGGGTTCAAGCGATTCTCCTGCCTCAGCCTCCTGAGTAGCTGGGATTACAGGCGCCTGCCACCATGCCCGGCTAATTTTTAGTAGAGATGAGGTTTCACCATGTTGGCCAGGCTGGTCTCAAACTCCTGACCTCTGGTGATCTGCCCACCTCAGCCTCCCAAAGTGTTGGGATTACAGGCGTGAGCGACCGTGCCTGGCCTTCTCCACTGTTTTCATAGTGAAGAAAGGACACCCAAATTTTGATCTGGTTCAGCTATTCACTATTCTATCCTGTGTGGTCTTAAGCAAGTTACATAACTTGCCTATATCTCAGTTTACTTAGCTATAATATAAATTAATTGGTCAAATGTTCTCTAAAGTCTTACTAGTTACAGTGTTCCATGGCCCAACAGCATCTACATTACCTGAGAGGCTGGTAGAAATGCAGAATCTTGGGCTCTACCTTAGGCCTTTGTAATTATTATCTGCATTTTAATTAGATCCCCAGATAATTCTAATTTTCATTAAACTTTGAGAGGTACTGCTCTAAGATACTTTCCAATTTAAAGTTTGATTATTCAGTGAATTTGAAGATTACCTGTTTTTAATAACCCAGAAGCATATGTATATGATTATCAACTTGATTTTCTGTTTACTTTTCTGTGACTATGATTGGAATGTGGACATCCTGACATATGGGACATAAGGGCCCATGACTTATTTCACTTAGAATCTCTAATGCTTTGCACACTACCTAGCACAAGACTAGAGCTTAAATAAATGTGTGATTTTTTTTTTAAATGTTGTTTTACTGACTCAACAAATCAGTAAAGATTTATCAAGTGCTTATGGTATACAAAATACACCATGTTAAGGCATATAGATATTTAAGTCCCCGTCCTTGCCCCCTGAATTATTATATTATAACCTGAATGAAGAGATAAGTTCTCAGGCATGAACTCTGAAACCCAAGATTTACATAATAATTGAATAAAATAGTATAAAAGATGGCACTGAATAGCTGCTGATTAATTGCTGAATTAAATGTTATAAATACTGGGGGATACTATAGCCTAGCAATTTTTTGAGCGATGCAATAATTAACCTGAGATATTAAACAAAGGCTAGGATTTAGAGGATATTGGAGGGGTAAGGACAAGAATGAAATCCACTATTTACATATTATAATATTCTTGGAAATCAATTTATTGGGTCAGACTTGACAGGAGCTGGCATATACCTGCTCTTAATGAGACTCTTGCCAGGATCTTGGATCCATATTATATTAACTGGGAGGAAGGTTAGACCAGATCACCTGCTGAAACTCTTCCAAAGGTACTCATCTTAATTGTTAAAATTAATTATCCTACTTAACATTATATATATTTCTCTGTCTTTTGGGAAGTACATTTAGGAGCAGAATGTTGAAATTTAACATATTTGTCTTTCAAAGTAGGATGCTCTGGTTCTGGAATCATGAGAATTTTTCTCTGACCAAAATGTGGATTCAGTATATTTTGTGTGTGTGCGTGAAGTGACTTAAGTCTGGCCTTCTGATCTAGTTCCCAGAATCTGTCTGGTTTGTTTGACAAGTATTAGTTTAATATTGGTGACCTAGTCTTAGAATTATAAATTTTGTCCAAAATCATGTATATTTAACTGAAGCAATTAATAAATTTCACCAAAAAGAGGCAAGCACTAAGAATGACCAATATAAATCAGATGAGATTTACAGGCAGTAAGTGCTTATTTTTAGAGGTTAAAAGATGTGAAATGTTTCATTTTTAAAAGTTCAATCCTGCTACTTCTGAAATTTCAAATATTTTATAAATGTTTGAAAACAATCTTTACCTGAGATGATGATCTGTTAAATATTTTTGCTAGCGCCAGTTAAAAGTGAGAAATGTTTTAGAAAAGACTGTTTTCCTGAGCAAATTACAGTAAGTACTATATGTATTAGTGAAAATAGCCTCCTTAAATTAGTCATTTATATGGTCTGGTTTTTTTGTTTGTTTGTTTGTTTTTTGTTGTTTTTAAGAAACAATAACGAGGAGTTTTTTGTTTGGAATTTTAGCCAACTTCATGTATTGCGGTACCCCTCCCACACAAGCCAAACAAGTTTGCAGACCCAGTGACCGCAGGTCAACCCGGCCCAAGCCTGCCAGGGTCCCTCCTGAGCTGCTGGGAGGCTCTCCTCCATGGAAGACTCTTGATCACAGGCTGGGCCACTGCTCTTTGTCTGAGTCAGGTTGGGTCTCTGGTTCATCCTCCTGTGGTGGGCCTGGGAACCAAAGAAAAAGTATTCATGTTGACTCACTTGAACCCCAGAGGGATCTTGGCAGGGAGGCCTGGGATATAGAAAGCACACCAATAATGATGAAGAAAAAGAAGAAGAAACCAAAGCAAAAGAGATATTCTCAACCACGGGCTGGAGGACCTTCGGATGATGACAATGCAGATAAGCCTAAAGGTCATCCATTTGCAGCTGACACACAAAAATCAGGTGTTCTCCCCAGCCAGCCTACCACTATGGGTACAGAATATGGACTTGTATCTGGAGAAAACTTGAAAAGGGAATGTTTAGTTAACTCCAGTGCAGCCAGACTGGTAGCTGAGAACTTTGTCTCAGAGAGTCTCAGAATTCCTTTATATCCTTCTGAAGAAGCCCCCAAAACTGCAATAAGTTCTCAGTCTAAGCTGAGAGTAGAGGAAGAGAGCAAAAGTAACAAGTCAGTACTACAAAACCAAGACAAGAAATTGCTGAAGCAACATGAATACAAACCACAGCCTGCACCCCACCTGAAGACTCCTGTAGATAAAAGCCAGTCAGTAGGCCCTCTCAATCTGAAAGGACCCCTAGCAGAAGTTTCTGCATACAATGTAGAAACCCCTTTGGATATCAGACTTAAAGAGGGTTGCTCTCCTTTCTTGGACCAAGAGGTTATGGGTGTAGTTTCAAAACCCACAGCAGCAAAAGAAATACCAAATTTGGTACCCACTTTGATAGCAAGTAATCCATTAGAATGTAATCTAAAAGAAGGGAATAATGAAAGTAAAATGACTAAACTGCAGAATGTCAAACTGAAGGAGTTTCCTGAAGGAGCTGAAGAGGATAAAGAACTAAAAAAGGAAGCTTTTCCCAACGAAAGACAAGAGATCAGCATCTTTACTTCTGAGCAGCTGCAGGGCCAAGTGTTGGTACAGGTCCCTGGGGTAGAGAATGAACCATTTAAGAGAATGGCAGGTGATGGCAAAAGCAGGAAGGGAAGGGGAAGTTCTGGGAAAATGAGAACAGATTCTGGGAAGGTAAAAGCAAAATCTGAGCTGCCATTTCTTCTGGACAGCCAGAAGGACGGAAGGGCTGTTCTCATACCGAGTGAGCCAGTCTCTAAAACTGAAGGAATGACTACTCAGGATAAGAGTGAGGAGCTGGGGCTGAATTCTTCAAAGCAACCAGGCACTAAGGCTGATCTCACGGAGGCAGTGGTGATGGGGGAGCCTAAAGAGATGACTCAGCCTAAGGTGGCAGGCACCATGCAGGCATTGATTCCTTTGGAAAGTGGATCAGGCATGACTCAGACTTCTGGTGTTAGCACAGAAACAGGAGATGTAGTCAAAGATATGGGTGTCAATAACCAGAGCAAGGAAGGAAGGTGTCCATGGAAGGATCATGAGGCAGCTCCCTGGATTTCTGAAAAGCCTAAAAAGAGAGGCAATGAAGGCAAAAGCAAAAAGTTTAAAAATAATTATTCCACACAGCCTGCTAGAATGGAGAGGAAGGAAGAAATCCTTAACCCACCTTTTGAAGGGAAGGATGGAGATACTGGTAGTATTCCCCATAAAAGCAAGGAAATAGGATTTACTTTCCCCAAAATGCATGATTCTTCGTTCTCACATACACCAGATACACCCACAGTGGAAGCAGTTGACAGGAAGGGTGGAAATTTTCAGGTTAATTTTGTTGAGCTTGGGACTCTTGGGGAAAACAAGATAAGCACAGTCAAGGCTTCTACTGTTACTGAACCACCTGCCAAGGTGACAGATGTGAGCTGCCAAGAGCAAATCCAGGGGGCAGGATTTGTTCCTTCAGTAGTATCTGAGGAGAATAAGACAGATGCAGCCAATAGATACACTGCAGTGGCTGACAAACCAAGTAAAAGGAGTAATGATGGAAAAAGTAAAAAGGTTAAAAATAGTTCTCCTGAGAAGCACATTCTGGAGAATAAGATAGATGCAACAAAAATACATGTTCCCATGGAAACCACAGGGGACCAGGGAATTGAAGGAATGGCCTATATGGACGAAAATAGAAATATTACATTTACCTGTCCCAGAACACCATCAGAGCTGATAAATAAATCATCTCCTCTAGAGGTTCTGGAATCAGCAGCCTGTGAAAAACTGCCCACTCCTACTCCTCAAGTAGTAAAGGAAGGTGATTCCTTTCCAGATACCTTGGCAAAAAATGGGCAAGAGATAGCCCCAGCCCAGATTTCCAAATCATTAATGGTAGATAACTACACCAAAGATGGAGTCCCAGGTCAAGAAAGACCCAAGGGTCCCTCTGCTGTTGTGCCCTCTACAAGCACAGGAGGAGTTGCTCTACCTATTACAACAGCCATAGAAACAGTTAACATTCATGGAGATCACTCTCTTAAGAATAAAGCTGAGCTTGCTGATTCCATGAAAAATGAAGCAGGGATCGATGAAGGGCATGTGATAGGAGAATCTGAGTCAGTGCACAGTGGTGCGTCTAAGCATTCAGTAGAGAAAGTCACAGAGCTAGCAAAAGGTCACCTCCTTCCTGGAGTGCCAGTAGAAGACCAGAGCCTACCAGGAGAGGCCAGAGCCCTAGAAGGATATGCAGATAGAGGTAATTTCCCAGCACATCCAGTGAATGAAGAGAAAGAGACTAAAGAAGGGTCTGTTGCAGTTCAGATTCCTGACTTACTGGAAGACAAAGCACAAAAGCTCAGTTTTTGTGAGGACCAAAATGCTCAAGATAGAAATTCCAAAGGTTCAGATAGTTTGAATAAGAAGGTAGATCTGACTCTTTTGTCTCCAAAAAGTGAAAATGATAAATTGAAAGAAATTAGTCTGGCTTGTAAAATCACGGAATTGGAAAGCGTTTCCTTGCCAACACCAGAAATCCAGTCAGATTTCTTACATAGCAAAGTCGAAGCTCCTCCTTCAGAGGTGGCGGATACGTTAGTAATAATGACTGCTTCCAAGGGTGTTCGACTCCCAGAACCCAAAGATAAGATTTTGGAGACACCTCAGAAAATGACAGAAAAATCTGAATCAAAGACACCAGGAGAAGGGAAAAAGGAAGATAAAAGCAGAATGGCAGAACCAATGAAAGGCTACATGAGACCCACCAAGTCCCGAGGACTTACTCCACTTTTGCCAAAGTCTACAATCCAGGAACAAGAGAGACATAAGCAACTGAAGTCCGCTGGTATGAACCTGCCATGGGGAAATGTGTGTGCTTGTGGCTTTTGAGTCAGCATCAGAAAGGCAAAGAGCTTGTGTCTTGGCTCCATCCAGACTCTAATCATCCTTGTTAATCATTGGTTTGTTGGCATGAAACCTATAACTGCTACGGTGTGTTTTCTGCAGCCAATGTGTTCCTTGTGTCCTGCTTGAGGAGGCTGGTAACTTGGTTGCATGCCTTTTTTACCCAGCACTGAACGTTGAATTTTAGGGGAAGTTGAATTTTCAATGAATTGTCTAACAAAAGACCTATCATCATCCATTTCTTAATTTTTTTAAAATTGTGCCTCCTATGTATCAAGTTTACAGCTAAATTTTAATCATTACTTGGTATAAGGATTCACAGGAGGAAAGAAAATATTTCATGTCTAGCTATGTGCATGAGATTTTTTTCAATTTATATGTAGCTTGTGCTGGTGGGACTAAATATCCAAACTGCTTTTAGGTTAAATGAAATCAGTCCACCTCCTTATGAGGAAATGGTGGCCTCAAACCAGCATTGGTAGGCACCGATTTATTTGTGTTTCTAGTAATGGGAAATGATCTCTCAATGATACAGATACATTTTTTGACCAGTTTGTTGCTTATATCCATTGCCCCACAGTTCCATGTGGGTTTGAGTTTTGGGCATAGTCTGTGTCCATCAAACATAGTCCATAAAACTTGCCCATGTTGTGTTCCTCATAATTTTACTCTTTTTTGGCTCTATTCAGTCAAGTAATTGGAATGAGATTAAGAAGATGATTCCTTTAAGATTTAGAAATGGTAGCCCCGTTTCCCCCCACCCCCAATTCCCCAAAAAAGTATACATTTAATCGTGGCTTCCCTGAATCTAGCTTTCAAAAAATGTTCCCTTGTCTTTGAGATTTTTCACAGCCTACAAGTGACACTATTTCTTAATCACTGTTTCCCAGCTTGCATGATGTAGCTACTAACTCCAGAATTTAAAAAAAACACCAATTGGTTTTAGTAGCCAGTCAGGCTTTTAGAGAGGTTTCATCATGGGATTGTGTTCTGCATGGTATGGACTTGTTCTTTTGGGTAAAGCTTGTCTATGCATGAGTATGTACCCACTAAGGAATACTGCTGTGTGAGTAAAGAATGCTAAAGGTTGTTATTTGCATAAGACATTCTCATCTTCTCTGTTTTTATCTTCTATTAGCTACCCTATTACCAAGGCAGAAAATGAAATAGTATGTAGAGGGCTTTCCAGCATTCATTGAGATTTCCAGTGTTCTATCCAGTTCTTTCGTTTTGGTTTCTAGACCCATTCTTTAGTTTCAGCAGTGATCTAAAAGTTAACATGTAATTTCTGTGAAATCCCAGCCATCTCTTTTTGCTCAGTATTTCCAAAGAAATGCAGAAAGAGGATTTGTTTTTCTTGAGGAAGCAAGACCAGTACTGCAGAACTTTTGGGGCCCTGCCTGGGTCAGGTCAGGCTCAGAGACTGTGTTAGCAGTGGCCTTACAGAGTGGGTATGGGAAGGATAATGGGTTTGGGACAAAATTTATTGTTTCTTCTATAAATTCTACCACACCTTTCCCCTAAGGACAATGTATACCTTTTTAATAGTTAAAAAAAAATTTTTAAACTAATTGTCGAATAGGTTAATACATTCACATGGTACAAAGGAGTATACAGTAAAACGTAAGTTGGCCTCCCTCCATTAACCGCCTTCCAGCTTTCCCTCTCCAGAGCAACCAGTGTTCACAATAGCTTATATATCCTTCCAGACAATTTATGTATAATAAGTAATAACATATATATTTCCTGATTTCATATAAATGAGACGTATACATACATACTGATGTGTGCTATTCTTTTTAAACTTAATTTTTAAAGAGATCTTTTAAGACTCAGTATAAAGAAGCCAGGCGCAGTGGCTCACACCTATAATCCCAGCACTTTGGGAGGCCGAGGCAGGCGGATCACCTGAGGTCAGGAGTTCGAGACCAGCCTCACCAACGTGGAGAAACCCCATCTCTACTAAAAATACAAAACTAGCTGGGTGTGGTGGTGCATGCCTGTAATCCCAGCTACTTGGGAGGATGAGGCAGGAGAATCACTTGAATCTGGGAGGTGGAGGTTGCAGTGAGCCGAGATCGCGCCACTGCACCCCAGCCTGGGCCACAAGAGGGAAACTCCATTTCAAAAAAAAAAAAGAATCAGTATAAAGAAAGAGGCCTCTTTTTTTTGTTTTTTTTTTTAATCTTTTTTCCTGGTACATGTCTCTAGATATGACTCATTCTTTTTTGATAGCTGTATACTATTTCATTACATAGGTATATACTAATGTATTATAGTACTTTTTTTTTTTTTGAGACAGAGTTTTGCTCTCATTGCCCACGAAGGAGTGCAATGGCATGATCTCAGTTCACCGCAACCTCTGCCTCCTGGGTTCAAGTGATTCTCCTGCCTCAGCCTCCCGAGTAGCTGGGATTACAGGCATGCACCACCACGCCCAGCTAATTTTGTATTTTTAATAGAGACGGGGTTTCTCCATGTTGGTCAGGCTGATCTCAAACTCCCAACCTCAGGTGATCTGTCTGCCTCAGCCTCCCCAAAGTGTTGGAATTACAGGTGTTGAGCCACCGTGCCTGGCCAGTACTTCTTTACTGATGCACATTTAGGTGTTTCCCAACTTTTTTTCATTAGAAATATGGTACATAAACTATCTTTGTATCTATAGGATGTCATCTTCATGTGTGTGCGTCTGTGTAATAAAAAGGGGCTCCGGAGTAAGAATCTCTGGTTTGAAGAATATGTATTCATAATTTTGATGGGTGTTCCATATTGCTCTCTGTAGGCCTACAGAGATGTCCCTTGTAGAGAAAGGTACATCTCTACTCCCACCCTCAACATAGACAAATACCTGTTTCCCTGCCTTTCTCTACTAGTGTGATTTTTTTTTTTTTTTTGGTTATGTGTACTGATCTAATCGGTGAAAAATTATTTCATGGCATAGATTTTGTGTGTGTGCTGTTTTTTGTTTGTTTTTTTTGTTTTTTGAGATGGAGTTTCACTCTTGTTGCCCAGGCTGGAGTGCAATGGCACGATCTTGGCTCACTGCAACCTCCACCTCCCAGGTTCAAGCGATTCTCCTACCTCAGCCTCCCTAGTAGCTAGGATTATAGGTGCCTACCACCACGCTCAGCTAATTTTTTGTATTTTTAGTAGAGCTGGGTTTCACTATGTTGGCCAGGCTGGTCTTGAACTCCTGACCTTAGGCGATCCACTTGCCTCAGCCTCCCAAAGTGCTGGGATTACAGGCATGAGCTACCATGCCTGGCTGTGTTTTATTTTTTTTTTAGTGACTTCTTCATGTATTAACAAGTTTATAAAAGCCAATCCATGCTCTGAAATTATGAAAATATTTTCTTTTCTCTTCTATTAATATTTTTCATTTTAAATTGTTGGCCAATCTAGAATTTGCTTGTTTGTGGGGTTTTTTTTTTTTGTTGTTGTTGTTGTTTTGGTATGTTTTGTTTATAAGGTTGTGAGGCAGGGTTACTTGGTCATCCCACCATCATGTTTATAATCGATCTCCCACTGAACTGCCACCTTTGTCATACCCTAAATTTCTGCATGTATTTGGTCTATTTCTGGACTTTCTTTCCTGATCCATTGATCTTTCCACCAGGCTTCCTAATATATTTTAATATCTAATAGGGCTAGCCCAACCCCTTGCCCTATTATTCTTTTTCAGAGTTGTCCTATTCTTATTTTTTAGTTTTGTAGAAGAAAAATTAATCCACTCAATATTTTTCTTGAAGTCACTGTTTCTAGCTTATCGTAGGGAGAGTTTATGTCTTGCATATCGAGTTTTTCTGTCGAACAGCATAATGTGTTCACATGTTTTGTTAGTCCATCACTGGTGTTTATCTTTGTTCCTCACTTTGAATCATTCATGTTAACTGCCCTGCCCCCATATTGCTACCAATTCTCACATATCTTGTTCTCATTCGTCTTGTGGTCAAATGGTGTCACCCATGGTTTCCATTGTTTGGACAGTAAAGATATTACAAATGGTGTTGGCTGGGCACAGTGGCTCACACCTGTAGTCCCAGCACTTTGGGAGGCTGAGGTAGGCAAATCACTTGAGGCCAGGAGTTCAAGACCAGCCTGGCCAACATGGTGAAACCCCATCTCTACTAAAAATACAAAAAGTAGCCACGCATGATGTTGCATGCCTGTAATTCCACCTACTCAGGAGACTGAGGCAGGAGAATCGCTCTCTTGAACCCAAGAGGCAGAGGTTCCAGTAAGCCAAGATCACAACACTGCCCTCCAGCCTGGGCGATAGAGTGAGTGAGACTCCATCCCCCGCCCCGCCCCTCTCTAGCCCCCCCGCCCAAAAAAAAAAAAGATATTATTAGTGGTGTTAGTAAAAATAATAGTACCTCTAACTAATCCGGGTGTTAATAATAATAGCACTGGCCAGGCGCAGCAGATCACCTGAGGTCAGGAGTTCGAGACCAGCCTGGCCAACATGGTGAAACCCCATCTCTACTAAAAATACAAAAATTAGCTGGGTATGACAGCGCACGCCTGTAATCCCAGCTACTCAGGAGGCTCAGGAGAATTTCTTGAACCTAGGAGGCAGAGGTTGCAGTGAGCCAAGATCGCACCACTGCACTCCAGCCTGGGAGACAGAGTGAGACTCCATCTCAAAAAATAATAATAATAATAATAGCACCTACCACCTATTGAGTTGATTTTATTTGCCTGGTTATCTGGAAATAGGTAAATAGATCATACACACACACATAAAATAACACTATTAAAGATTATCTCCATTTTTCAGGTGAGAAAATGGAGGCTGTCAAGGTCACATAGCTGGTGAAGTGCCAGGGTTAGAATTTGAATCCAAGTCTTTATGTTTCTAAGATCCATGCTTTTCTTAGACTTGCTTCAGAAGCTTCCGGAAGTTTCAGGTACTTAAAAAGAAAAAGATGAAGGTTGACAATTAGTAAACATAAAATAGACTTTTTTTAGTATCTAGGCACTAATTAAACACTTTTCTACTTGGAGAAATAAAGATACATCATGAAAATATAAACTGTGAATTAGAGGTTAATTTAGGATTAGAATCTAGGTCTTTTGACTCTGTCTAGCATTTTATTGTCCAGAGAGTCTGTGTTTGATTTATTTACATGTACTTTTTAACACCCAGCCTAGAGCTTTATATATACATGATGCCTAATGACATTTTTTGAATTATAAGTGAATTATCTTTTTGCTGATCTTACCCTGTTTAGAAGTAGGGAAAGTGAATATATTGCCAAAGTCTCTTCCAGCTTACTGTTTGCTCTACTGTTATTTTTTCATGCTGCTGTCAAATTTAGGGAAACTTTAACAGAAGGTTTCTTTGCATACTATGCATGTTCTTCCAGGCAGGGAAGATTAATGCAATACGTCAGGAAGTCTAAGCTCAACTTTTCAGAAAAGGACTTTTTTTTTTTTTTTTTTTGAGACGGAGTCTCGCTCTTTCGCCAAGGCGAGAGTGCAGTGGCGCGATCTCGGCTCACTGCACGCTCTGCCTCCCAGGTTCACGCCGTTCTCCTGCCTCAGCCTCCCGAGTAGCTGGGACTACAGGCGCCCACCACTATGCCTGGCTAATTTTTTGTATTTTTAGTAGAGACGGGGTTTCACCGTGTTAGCCAGGATGGTCTCGATCTCCTGACCTCGTGATCCGCCCGCCTTGGCCTCCCAAAGTGCTGGGATTACAAGGGTGAGCCACCGCACCTGGCCAGAAAAGGACTTCTTATGGGATTGTGTTTTTTGTGAAGGGAAGCACAAACTTGAAAGGATGATCCACATTAGATTCCAATACCCGCTCCATGTTAGTTGTTCCCCTGGAAACCAAGTAGAACTGTGAGTGACAGTGTACTTGCTATGCTGCTACTGTGAATGGGACAGTTTGGGATCCCTGTAAATAGGCCCTCCCTTTGCCATAGTGAAGCCTGGTCTTCTTATAATCTGGCTTTCATTTCTTTCTTCAGTTTGCTTGAGCTCATCAACTGTCTACCAGCAGCTGGGAATGTCAGTTTATGGTGAGAAACTCTCTTGGTGTGAAACTTGAAGTAATTTATAAACCCAGAATTCTAACAGTTTCAAGGCCCTTGTACATAAATAAAATATGCTCAGCAGATGAAAAAACCATTTGTTATCTTAGAACTTGCTACTATTTTACAACTGGAGAAGTACCCATTTGGTAATGTCTTTTCTTAACTGTAGTGCCATTTGTGAAGTTCCTTTCCTCATTACTCTCACCCCACTTGCCCTCTGATTCAACTGGCTTCTTTTTTTTTTTTTTTTTTTTTTTTTTTGAGACAGAGTCTCCCTCTGTCGCCCAGGCAGGAGTGCAGTGGCACAATCTCGGCTCACTGCAACCTCTGGCTCCTGGGTTCAAGCAGTTCTCCTGCCTCAGCCTCCTGAGTAGTTGGGATTATAGGCATGTGTCACCACGCCCGGCTAATTTTTGTATTTTTAGTAGAGATGGGGTTTAACCATGTTAGCCAGGCTGGTCTTGAACTCCTGACCTCGTGATCCACCCACCTCGGTCTCCCAAAGTGCTGGGACTACAGGCATGAGCCACTGCGCCTGACTCCACTGGCTTTTTTTTACTACCATGCTGATGAAATTTATTGGGACTAGTCACACAACTAAAAATAGCTACCATTTATTGAACCTTACTATATACTCATTGCCATCCTAAACTCTTAACCTCCAAAAAATACTGTGTGGTCATTACCTTGTTTGAGCCAGAACATTTAAATATTCTTTGAAATGAATCAAGCAACAATTGATTATCCTACTTTGTTTTGTTAAATTTGTATTTATTTTTTTGAGACAAGGTATCACTTTGTCACCCAGGCTGAAGTGCAGTGGCATGATCACGGCTTACTACAGCCTCGACCTCCCAGGCTCAAGTAATCCTCCTGCCTCAGCCTCCCAAGTAGTTGAGACTACAGGTGTGCACCACCATACCTGGTGAATATTTTTTGTAGAGATGGGGTCTCACTCTGTTGCCCAGGCTAGTCTCAAACTTCTGGCCTCAAGCAATCCTTCCTCCTTGGCCTCCCAAAGTGCTGAGATTCTAGGTGTGAGGCACCATGCCTGGCTTGAATATCCTACTTTAAAAGAAGCTTCTTCCCCTCATATTCCCTCACCCTTCACTTGTACCCTCTGGTTGACAAATAGCATTGGGGGATTCTGAACACACTGTTAAAATAAAAACTTAGTTTTGATTTACAGTATTGCAGATATAGTTATTTCTTTAAGATATGGAGGTGACAGTAAGGGGGCTTCCATTCTTTTTTTTTTTTTTAAATAGGGTCTTGCTCAGTTGCCCAGGCTGGGGTGCAGTGGTACAGTCTCAGCTGACTACAGCCTCCGCCTCCTGGGCTCAGGTGATACTCCCACCTCAGTTGCAAGTAGCTGGAACTACAGGTGCGTGCCTCCGTGCCCGGCTAATTTTTGTATTTTTTGTAGAGGCTGGGTTTGGCCATGTTGCACAACCTAGTCTTGAACTCCTGAGCTCAAGTGATCCGTCCACCTCGGCCTCCTGAAGTGTATAAACATTGCCTATTGCTCTGCAAATAGCGGACACACAGCATGATTTGTACTTTTTAGTATTTAGTTTATTCATTCATTCAGTAGATACCAAGTGACATTACTCCTACTCTAAAAATAGACTAATAAAACACATTCTATACTCTTCAGAGATTCCAGGGTGGAAAACAGACAGTTTTCCTCTAGTAAGAGAAGTTTACTCCTCTGAAAAAGGATAGAAGTGTGAGCTAGATCCTATGGAAATACAGAGCAGAAAGGGACTAAGTTTTCCTACAAGACCTAGAGAAATCTTCACACAGGAGACTCTGAAAGTATGGCTAAGAGTTTGCTGAGCAAATTAAGGTAAAGAATTCTAGGGGACAGCTGTGTAAAGGCATGCATAGTGAAGTGCAGGTGCATGGAATAAAGTCAAGTTTGGGGAAACAGGGACATCTGTTAAACATTTTGAGATGAAATTGGGGAAAAGAAAGTAAGCTCCTAAAGGATCCTAGGGGTATTGTGTGCCTCTAAAAGCAGAAGATCTTAGATTTTTGCTTGAAGAAATGGGTTATCTTTCTACCTAGTTTAGTTGGATGATTCTCTTTTCTTTTGGGGAGGGCTATGGGAGGGTCCATACTAGACTTAAAAGAACAAAGACTTGATATTTCCAAGTTGTAGTTTTTAGAGTTGTTGTTGTTGTTGTTGTTGTTGTTTTGAGACAGTCTCCCTCTGTAGCCCAGGCTGGAGTGCAGTGGCGCCATCTCGGCTCACTGTAATCTCCACCTCCCAGGTTCAAGCGATTCTCCTGCCTCAGCCTCCCAAGTAGCTGGGACTACAGGTGCACACCACCGCACCCAGCTAGTTTTTGTATTTTTAGTAGAGACAGGGTTTCACCATGTTGGCCAGGCTAGTCTCAAACTCCAGCAGGTGATGCGCCTGCCTCAGCCTCCCAAAGTGCTGGGATTACAGGCCTTAGCTACCATGCCCGGCCTTTAGAGGATTTCTTATCCATAAGCATTTTCATGTCTTTGGTTCACATATATCAGATTATTCGCCTCAGCTTATTCATTCTGTCTGTTTGCTTCTCATCCTTTTTTTAATCAGGGAGAATCATGATTTATTTTCTTGAGTTAAAACATGAGAAATGTTTCTAAAATGTAGAATATGGTTTCTGAAATAGTTTTACCTTTATGTATGTATGTCTAAACACTTGGAACGTTTACTTCCAGGGAAGAAACTAGATTATAACTTGACAACTTTATCTTTTATTAACAAGGAGTGAGTGTCATCAATCATTGTTAATAGTAGAATTATTGACTTTCATTGTAATGATAATTGTTTCCTGGAGGCAATAACTGGGAACAGTTGGTCAATCTGGAAAGTAGTGTTGCCTTGGTAACTGATAAGAAAGAATGCAGAGAAACTAGTTGTCTGTCATGTATAAAAACCAAGGCCCTGAACAGGTTAAATACTAACTCCAAGCACAAGGCTAAAACAGAAATATCTGCCAGTACATGTACTGGGATTAGAGACCTGCAGGCTTTGCCAAGAGTCCTGGAAACCACCTTCTGCCCAGACACACAGGAATCCATGCGCTTTCTTCAAACTCAGACAGAATGGAATAGAACTTCACAATATTTAGCTCAAAGGACATTCCAGATCACCACCGCTTGGGTTGGGTTGAAGACAGCTTTAATGATGGAACGGATCAGGTCAAATGATGCAGATGCAGTGTAAAAGGAAACTACCCATCCTTTCACTGAGCAGATCTTTTTTGAAAGCTTATTTACTGTGAGTCAAGCACTGTGCAGTGCACCCACATGGCACAAATGCACAGTTCACATTCCTACCTTCTAGAAGCTCCTGGGAAAGTCATATAAATAAAAGATTACAGTGTGGTTTCTAAATTCTAAAAAGAGATAGAGTATTATGATAATATAAAGAACTCAGGAGGGGTTCAAAGAGACTTTGCAGAGGTGAGTGAGTAGGAATAGGACCTAGAGGCAAGGGGCCGGGTGCGGTGGTTCACACTTGTAATCCCAGCACTTTGGGAGGCTGAGGCAGGAGGATCACCTGAGGTTAGGAGTTCCAGATTAGCCTGGCCAACATAGTGAAACCCTGTGTATACTAAAAATACAAAAATTAGCTGGGTGTGGTGATTAGCTGGGACACCTGTAATCCCAGCTCCTGGGGAGGAAGAACCTAGAGACAAGGAATCCCAGTGGCAGCTGAATCTAGGACTTAGTCCTTCTGGTTCTTAAGTGTGTTTCTTTTTACCTAGGCAGGCTCACCCTTTTCAAACTTCATGTATTTACCTCATCCACCAACTTGATATAATTTTACAGTGGCTGGGAGATTGGAGTTTCTTGCTGTGGCTATTTCCTGTGGATAAATCTGCATCCCTGATTGAGATTATGTCTGTAATTCTTATTTGGACTGGAGTACTGAACTGGCCATTCTCAGGGTGTTCTGTGGGTTGTTTTGTTTTGTTTTTAAACAAGGTCTCTGTCGCTCAGGCTGGAGTGCAGTGGCGTGATCATAGTTCACTCACTGCAGCCTCAGACTCTTAGGTTTAAGTGATCCTCCTTCTTCAGCCTCCCAAGTAGCTAGTACTATGGGCATGCACCACCACACCTGGCTAAAAAACATTTTTTTCTTATTTTTTTTGTATAGATGTGGGTCCTGCTATGTTGCCCAGGCTCTTGAACTCTTGGCCTCAAGTGGTCCTCCCACCTAACCCTTCTAAAGTGCTGGTGTTACAGGCGTGGGCTACTATGCCCAGTCTTTCTTGAGTTTTACTAATTATTCTATACTAGGGTTTCCCCATCATTTGTCATCCAGGTGGCATTCACCTCATTTGGGGTGCAACAAAGCCATTAATTATTCTTCCATTTAATATCTTTGTATGCCTTGCAAAAGCAATAGTGTAATCTTTTTTTTTTTTTTTTGAGGCGGAGTCTCGCCCTGTTGGCAGGCTGGAGTGCAGTGGCGCGATCTCAGCTCACTGCAACCTCTGCCTCCCGGATTCAAGCAATTCTCCTGCCTCAGCCTCCCGGGTAGCTGGGACTACAGGTGCGTGCCACCACGCCCAGCTAATTTTTGTATTTTCACTAGAGACAGGGTTTCATCACGTTGGCCAGGATGGTCTCGATCTCTTGACCTCATGATCCACCTGCCTCTGCCTCCCAAAGTGCTGGGATTACAGGGGTGAGCCACCATGCCCAGCCTAGTGTAATGAAACTAGAAGCTACTCTGTCCCTTCCCCCTCTGTAAAAGCGTCTGGTTCTCTGCTTTTTCTTAGTGAGGCTGAATCTGTCTTCCTACTCAGAAGCCACATGAAAGGAAACTTACAGTGCTAAGGCACCATAGAAAGATATTAACATAAATCTAAGTTCTCTTAAGACTGGAAATTAGAAACAGAAGTTTGCTAAGGAATAAGTCACCCACATCTTACTCTTTGCATAATTAAAGCAGGACCATTCTTTCTTTTTTTTTTTTCCCCCCCCCGATATGGAGTCTCACTCTGTTGCCTGGCCTGGAGTGCAGTGGTGGGATCTCGGCTCACTGCAGCCTCCACCTCCCAGGTTCAAGCGATTCTCCTGCCTCAGACTCCCGAGTAGCTGGGATTACAGGTACCTGCCACCACACCCAGCTAATTTTTTGTATCTTTTTTTAGTGGAGACAGGGTTTCACCATGTTGGCCAGGCTGGTCTCGAACTCCTGACCTTGTGATCCGCCCGCCTCGACCTCCCAAAGTACTGAGATTACAGGCATGAGCCACTACTCCCGGCCTCAAACAAGACCGTTCTTAAGATATAAAGTAAACACCGAAACCAAGTGCATTGCCTCTTTTTCTCCCTTACTTCAAACACGCGTTTGCTCCCCTAAACACACATACATACACACACATGTGTATGCATACTGTGTATTAATTTGGGAGTTTTGGAGTGATCACAAAAGAATTAAATTATAATTCCAAATTAAAGTTTGAAGTACTTCAATGATCACAAAAAAGATACATTGGGCCGAGCGCAATGCCCACAGCTGTAATCCCAGCACTTGGGGAGGCCGAGTTGGGCAGATCACCTGAGGTCAGAAGTTCAAGACCAGCCTGGCCAACATCGTGAAACCCTGTCTCTACTAAAAATACAAAAATTAGTCAGGTGTGGTGGTGTGGGCCTGTAATCCCAGCTACTCCGGAAGCTGAGGCAGGAGAATCGCTTGAGCCTGGGAGGCAGAGGTTGTAGTTAGCCGAGATCATGCCACTGCACTCCAGCCTGGGCAACAAAGCGAGACCCCCTCTCAAAAAAATAAAGATACATCGAAAAGGAGAGTCATCTAGTGACTAAGATTAATTTTTGCTCAGCGGTTTGGGAAGACTGGCAGTCAGAAACCTAGCATCTTCTTTGTGGCTTTTCCATTAAGTTTTCACCATGTGATCATGGGCAAACCACTTTTTTTCTCTGGACACCATTTTGTTCCTCTATAAAATGAGGGGTCTGTTAGGGAAGCCTCAGCATTCTGACTCTGTACTGTCACACATACTTTAGTGTCTTTGCAGTACTGTTGATGGATATAATGGACCCTTGTCCTAAAAGGGATTCAGGGAATAGGTTATTTACTTTCCTTAGGCAGTGCCCCAGATTTTGAAATTTAGCTTTTCTTTTTCTCTTATCTGTTAGTGATTGCAATTACGATTTATATGTTGTTTCTTGTGAGTAGTAGTGGTTGTTTTGTTTTGTTTTTGTCTGTCTTTACCAGAGTGCAGCAGTTCTCCAGTCCAGGGACTTAGGCTTTCTCACTTTTGTTGTTGTTGTTGTTATTATTACTACACATCAGATTCCCTATAGGGAGTAGGAAAACCTACTTCATATATATATATGTACAGTTTCTTGGTTGTTTTTTTGTTTGTTTGTTTGGAGATGGAGTTTCGCTCTTGTTGCCCAGGCTGGAGTGCAATGGCATGATCTCCACTCACTGCAACCTCTGCCTCCCGGGTTCAAGCGATTCTCCTGCCTCAGCCTCCCGAGTAGCTGGGATTACAGGCATGTGCCACCACGCCCGGCTAATTTTGTATTTTTAGTAGACACGGGGTTTCTCCATGTTGTTCAGGCTGGTCTCGAACTCCCAACCTCAGGTGATCCTCCCGCCTCGGCCTCCCAAAGAGCTGGGATTACAGGCGTGAGCCACCGCGCCCGGCCTTCTTGGTTGTTTTTTTAAAGCTAGCATCAGTAGATACATTATGTATTTGTGTGTTTTAACTACTTTGTCAAATGCTTTTTATATATATTCCCTCAATCCTCACGGCTATGTGTTTTGTTGTACTCAGACCCCTGGGTGACCACCAAACTTATCTGTATGCCTGAGCACCTGGCTGACATGATGTCTTGGGTACTCGCCCCTTCTATGGGCTTGAACTTCTTGTTCTGACCGCCCCCCCACCCCAGATTGCTTCTTTCAACTCTCTGTCTCCTGAGCCTTGTAACTATGAAGCCAGTGCTTGGCCCAGTTGCTAGATGTTGACCTCATAATTATATTTTTTCAGTTTGACCACATTTCTGATCTACACAGTATGAACTGTAGTCTGGAATATGCACTTCTTTGTGCCTGACTAGCTTCATTCTTCTGGTTTCTGCTCTTGGTCTTTTGGCTGGTTCACATTTTGCAGTCTGCTGTTTATGGATAGAATTACTGAGGCAGAATATGTGATATCTGAAGGTAGCAGAGACCTGTAATTTTAGTTATTGCCTTAGCTGTTGGGTAGGGATGAACTAGTGAAGTGGGTCTGGGTAGGCTGGCCAGAACTAAAAATAATTTGGCTATAAGGAACAAGTTTCTATGCTTGTTCTTTGCCTTGGTATTTTCCACTTCTTCAGAATATAAGGGCCAACTACCACTTTCTTCAGACATGCTGCAACGTCCGCCATGCCCAGTCATGCCTCTGCCAATAGGCAGCACTCCCGCATGAGACAGAAAGGTTACTGAAGATACTGCCTAGTGGAGTCCCAGGTTGAAGTCATACTTTGAGCTGGACATAGCAGTGGGCCTGTGATTACTTGAATGGCTGTTTCAACTTCAGAAGTGAAAGTGGTAAAACTGAATCCAAGAGCACCTTAAAGATTCCCCTCCTTTTATAGAGGAAGAAACTGAAGCTAAGAGCAGTTAAATGAGTTTCTAAGACTCTTAACTATTAAGTGACACAGATTTTAAAATCTGGCCTTCTGACTCAAAGTCAAATTAATTTTTTCCCCACCATGTCAGTAAATTAAGGGTGTATATGTGTGTGTCGTTTGTGGGGGGTGACTAGTTTACACAGAATGGGGTTGTTGAGGCTTACCTGATTTCTAAGGTATTTTCCAGAGTTTTCCTCTGGTATATTCAGACTGTATTACAACAATATCTTCCTCACCCCCTTTTTTTTTTTTTTGGACAGGGTTTCCTCTCACCCAGGCTGGAGTGCAGTGATGTGATCACGGCCCACTGCAGCCTTGACTTACTGGGCTCAGGCAATTCTCCCACCTCAGCCTTCTGAGTAGCTGGGACCACAATTGTGATCACCATGCCCACCTAAATTTTTGTACTCTTTGTAGAGACAGGGTTTTGCCATGTTGCCCAGGCTGGTCTCAAACTCCTGGGCTCAAGCAATCTGCCCACCTCAGCCTCCCAAAGTGCTGGGATTACAGGTGTGAGCCATGGCACCCAGCCATCTCCAGACTTTCATAATTTTCCTCACATATTGTACATACTTAATTATATTATTCAATTATATGTATAAAAAAAGAAAGCAAGAATTCAACTATGTTGTATTACCAAGGCCTTTCTGTACCCAATCTCGCCTCATATTTTTTCTTTTTTTTTTATTTTTTGAGACGGAGTCTTGCCCTGTCGCCCAGGCTGGAGTGCAGTGGCGTGATCTCAGCTCACTGCAAGCTCCGCCTCGTGGGTTCACGCCATTCTCCTGCCTCAGCCTCCTGAGTAGCTGGGACTACAGGCACCCACCACCATGCCCAGCTAATTTTTTGTATTTTTTAGTAGAGACAGGGTTTCACCATGTTAGCCAGGATGGTCTCGATCTCCTGACCTCGTGATCCACCTGCCTTGGGCTCCCAAAGTGCTGGGATTACAGGCGTGAGCCACCACACCCGGCCAATCATATTTTTTCTTGTTACTAATTAGAATCATGATTCTCCTGGCATTCTTCATTTTGTTATACCTCACTTCCTTTTCCTTAGCAAGATCTTTGCCATAGAGTATGGAAACCAGGTTCCTTGCCAGTTAATCTGTATTGTGCTTTGTCATGTATTGTTACTAAACAGCTCAAGATCAAGGGGAAGAAATGTATATGAGGCTCAGTTCATGTTCAGTTTTTTTTTTTCAGCATTGCAACATTGCCACTCATCATCATGAGTGTAGCCCTGTGTCAGGTACTGAAGGTAATGGAAAAGGTATATAAGGTTGATCCCTGTACTCTTGTTGGGAACTTGAGTGGTATGAATAGAGAAGGTGAGTTCTTGGGGACAGAGGCTACAGTTTAGCAAGCTTTCCTATGCGGACCTTGGTAATTTCTTTACATTTTATAGACCAAAGAACAATCTTAACTTGCCCTTTTTTCTAAAGGCATTGTTTAAAAACTGTCATCAAATCATTGCAGTTTATGGCAAATGGCCTTTTTTTAAAAAAAAAAAAAAAGCAATCTAAATCTTTTCTTCATCTTGGAAAAAGACTTCTCTTGGATTTCTGATAGAATATTTCCAGTATGCTATGTTATTGCAAGACAGTAACTTACAGCTAGACAAGAAAAATCAGCTTTGTTCAAAGTAAGAGTATAGCCTGTCCTTATAGTGTAATTTTTTTCTCACAGTTTTGTTTTATGGTTCCTTCAGTTTGAATATACAATATTTGAGCTCAAAGCCCAGGGCAGCAAAGGACCATGCTGAGTTAAATGGGGGCAGTAAGCTCTGGTGAGTGGGGAAAACTCCAAGCTACAATTGTTAGAGTCCCTAAGTCTGGAGGTCAGAGAAAGATGCACTGCCCCCAGTGTGTTCACATGACACCTAACAGATTATTAGGCTGGAAAGAGCAGGGCTTGGTAGTGGAGGGAGCAACCCAGCTCATCCAAGGAACCAAGTGGGGGCAGGGACAGGCGTAAATGCATAAGGGGTATGTTGTCACACAAATGTCTTATAATTAGAATATCTATCCCCAAAGCCCTGATCACTGAAGTCTTTAAATGAACCCTTTATTAAACTCTTCCATTATGCAGAGCTACAGATGGAGCTCTTACGGGTTTTGGGGACCCCACTCAAGTCAGTTTTCAAGTTAGTTTGATAAGTTGCTATGACAGCAAACCCACTCTTCCTCTGAGAATGAATGCCTGCAATCTTAATACTACGTTAAGGTGTGGTTTTTTTTTTTTTTTTTTAGTCCAATTTTGAACAATTTCCTGGATTCATTGTTCTTCAGGGTTATAGCTGGGGATTGGCAAATGAGTCTCGGTTATTTTTAAAACAGTTTTCTGAGTGGTTGAATGTGGAAGGGTGGGCATGGTATCAGATAAATGAGTGTGTGGGTATGCACGTATCTATATCAGTGAAAGCCAAAATAATTACTATCCTTAGTGCTTGGATTGGCACCATACTGTGTTTTAAATTGCAGATCTAAACAGAGTGCTAGTTCACGGGAAATTACATTCTCAGATTAAAGTAGCATTTTGTTGTGCAGAAAGCAGCAGGTTCCTTCCTTTCTTTCGCTTTCATTCATTCTTCCTTTCTTTCTTTCTTTCACATTTGTAAGTGCATTTAATACTCAACTGCTTGAGGAGAGAGGGGCATTGAGGGAGAGATGAATTTTGTCATGAATACTGGGGAATTGGTGTGATGTCACTGCAAGCTCTGTGTGATCGTAGGTGGTATTAGAGCTCCAGGAGCGAAAGCAGGGAGAGCAGTGGAGGAGAGACGATGTCGCTCTCAGACAAGCAGACAGCCTCTCTCACTGCCGCGTACGGTCAGCTCAGTAAGGGCAAGCCTGCAGAGTGCCGAATGGACTCCCCAAAAGAAATCAGTCAAGCCGGATTCGAATGGCAGAGGACAGAGGGCAAACTGAATGAAATTGGGCTGAATGTCAGCATGGACGGGCAACCAAAAGATGGGCTTGTGAAGAATGCCAGCTTCCTGGAGCAGAACAAGCTCTGCTTTTTTGAGGGGAAGCTAGACAAAGAGCTGAGCATTGAAATGCAGGACAAGGACTGTCAAGAAGCCTCAGGTCACCTTGAGAGCAGGTATGTGATTTCAGAGACCTGCCATCCCTTGGAGGGGAACTCGGTACACCAGAAGACCTCCGAGTTCCATCTGGGACTCATAGAGGGGCCAGACAAAAACAAAACCATTCCAGTTCAGGGGAAGGTGGCAGGGAAGAATGGACTAGAGACCAAGAGCCAGTCAGATCTGGATTTCCCTGGGGCTGCTGACATCCCTACCAGATATGTTAAGGAGCAGGAAACCAGTGTTTGGAACCCCAGCTTTCATCCAGTGGCTCAAGGCTCTCTGGGCTCAAGGGAAGCAACTCCGGGAGAGATGGAGAATAGCATCACCCCTGGCTGCCCAGTGATTGGGGTGGTAAATGATAACTCTGAGCAGCTGAAGTGTGAGTCCCCACTCCTGGTGTCTCTAGCCCACCCAGCCCCCATTATTGAGCATTCACCCACCACCATTCCGCCAATCACTATGGTGTTCACCCAGGAACATTTGAATGCAAGCTGTCACATCAGAGACCATGATAAGGAGTTGGAGAAATTGAGTTCTACCGAGGAGGCTGTGCTCAACCAAGCCCCCCAGCAGAAAAAGGCAGTGCGCAGGGCCCTGTCTGAATGTTCTCACCTCTCAGTTCCCCCAGCTGTCAACCTTGCAGATAAGTACCCTGAACTCCCTGCCCGAGAAGAGCCTTCTTCTGGCCTGCTGCCTCCCCCTAGTAGCCCAATGCCTAGTCCTACACCTGGGAAACTGGGAGCTCCTGCTATGAAGCGCTCCATGACTGTGGGTGAGGAACAGACAGCTAGCTACAAATTGAGCCCTGGGAAACTGCCCATCTTGTCTACTAAAGAGATACCTCCTTTCATCTGTGAGGAACCAGTGGCCAAGAAGAGAGAAGAATTGGCTCACTTCAGCAACAGCAGCAGCAACTCTGGGAAGAAGGAACTCGGCACTGCTGGATTATATCTCCATAGTAAGCTGGAGCAGATTCCTGAAGGAAGCAGCAAGGAAAAAGGGCAGGAAGATTTTAGTGAAACTAGAATTGATTCATGCTCGCAGGTTTGCCAGCGAGGAGAGAAACAGCCAGGACAGACGGCTCTGGCAGGGAAGAAAGAAATTGAGGTCACTGCAACCCAGAGCACTCCATCGTTCCTGTTTGAAAAGCCCCCACGTGATGGTATGTTTCTAAATTTTGCCTCCATTGGGAACAAGCAGACAGCAAGGAAGGAACCAAAGTGACAGATTACCGGCAGAGCACTAAGCAGCTTTTTACAGCTGGGTTCTGTGACTGCCTGGGGAAAGCTTAATTCCCTTGTGTTGGAAGCTTGCTGGGAGTGAGGCAAGGAAGAGAACAAAGTGAATCTTGCAGGGTCAAGCTGAATGTCTTGCTAGCATGACAGATAATGTGAATTGAGTGTGCAAGTTTGGGGTGGAATGGGGTCAGAGAATGGTGGGTATAAAAACTAGACCCCCTTTCTTGACCTCATGTCACCCTGTCCAACCCATCCCCCATCCACCCAGCCCTCAGCTCCCTGTTGGTTTGAACCAGATGATTCCTGAGCTCTAAATCCTTCAATCCCAACTGATTGATTTCCTTGCTTGAAAATCTGTCACTTTATATAGATTCACAATGGGTTTATCAGCACTAACCTCCTCTCATTAAGTTGCACAATCTGGGTGGAAGCTCTGTTTTCTGTTTTTGCTTTGGAGAACGTTTTACTTTTGTTCAAACTGAAAAAGAGCCCTTTAAAGCTAGCTATTTAATATTCTTTCTGTGTTCTTCATGTTTGACCCAATCTTGCTTCTAGTTTTCTCTTTTTGTATGTGTTTTGAGAGGATTTGTGGGGAGAAAAAGAAGAAAGAGAAAGCAGGGAGAGAAGGAGAGACTTGCAACCTAATAAACAGCTAAATTTTGCGGTCTTTGTGACAGCCTTTTGTGTCTTTCTTCCTGGCCCTTTCTTTTCTTCCCCATCTCCCATCCCCCCACAGCTCTTATTGTGGTGGTCTAAAAAAGCTTGTGTTTCTCCGAGTCCAGTTTGAGCACAAAGGGCCATAATTCACAAACTTGTAAATGGGGATTTAAAACATGTGTTTTGCTTGTTTAAAAAAAAATAGTCTTGTTTCCTGGGACCTGTTTTCTCTAATATTTATTACTCTCAGTATATTTTTATGAAATTGTACTTTTTTTCTTTGAAAGTAAGAAATGGTATTTTCTAGGGGAGTGGTAAGTAGAAGACATACAGATGTTTTGGGTTTTTTTTTTTTATGGAGATAAAAAACATTTTTTGTTTTTTATGGAGATAAAAAACACGTTTTTTTATGGAGGCAAAGAAGCTTAATAGTTCCTCTTTGATTTCTTATGACTCCAGAATTACAAGCATTCAGGTGTCCCATGCTGTTGCTTCCTTCTAGCTGGGACAGAACTGTAAGCTCTTCCTGGACAGGACTTTGTCATCTTTTTCTTGATCCCCAGGTGCTTTGTTCAGTACCACATAACTTCTAGGTGATCATGAGTGAAGACTTTGTTTCAGAACAAGTTCTTTCTAATTCAGACTAACAGAAGTTTGTGCTAATAGAAAAAAATTTCAGATGACTGACAAATCCACCGATCCATTCACCCGATAAATGTTTAAATGCTGACTCTGCTAACCACTCTGTAGATAAAACTTTTATAGGAAGATTGTTTCATTTAACATGCCTACCATTTGCATTCACTATCTAGGCACTGGAAATTATCCTTATCCTCAAGCAACTTTTGATCCAGTTGGAGGACTGGGAGGCAGTGGGAGGGTTGTGAATTGTGGAAACATTTTGGAGGAAGTCACATTTGAGGTGGGCCTTGGAACCCTGGGATGCCAAATAATGCGGAGGGAAAGCCTTCCAGGCAAGGGAACTCATATTAAACAAAGATATGAAGCCTAGACAGCTCATGTTAGGTAAAAGAACAATGGAGGAATCTCAGGGCATCCAGTCACAGGAAATGTGGCCAGGCTGCTGCCATTGTGTATATCTCTCTTGGGACCTCTGCTTCTCCCTGCACATGTACTCCATTCTCTTCCCTTTAAAAATCTGTATTTCCTCTGTCATCTCTTTTTGCTTCCCTTGTAACTCTGCCCAGGACAGAATAGCATTGAGTTGCCATGGTTTGAGCTCTGTGGCCAGCTTTGTTACCACCATATATGTCAGGGTTCCGATGTTGCATGACTGTCATTTCCATGTCTTTGTCTATACTGACAATGAGTGAGTAATTATATCTTATTGGCTCAGCTTGGTCCAGTCAACTCTATACCAGGTCCCATAGCCTTCTTAACCAATCTGAGCCATTTAGACCCACCCGCTTCATTCACCTTGAGGCTTCTCTAAAGGAGAGAGTATAGGTTAAGGAAATATTCCAAAGCCGTCTTTACATATGT